>NC_000005.10:175155263-175458293 GCF_000001405.40 Homo sapiens | reverse complement strand
GTTAGGAGACAGTTCACCATGTATGGAGGGATCTTTAGGCTAAACTTAAAATATGTAAGCAGTCAGCTTTAGGCTAAGCTTAATTTAACACCACAAATTAGACAATGACTCCCCCTCTGCCCAGCCCCCACAACCACTATTCTGTTTCTATGAATTTGACTATGGACCCCCTATGAGGGGAATCACACAGAGTTTGTTATTTTTGTGACTGGCTTATCTTACTTAGCGTAATGTCTTCAAAGTTCATCCACATTATGGCATGGGTCAGAATTTTCTTCCTTTTTAAGGCTGAATAATATTTAATTGTATGTATATACCACATTTTGTTTACTCATTCATGGACAAGTAAACAAATTAATTGACTCATTCCATCAGTGGACATTTGAGCTGATTAACCTTTTGGCTATTGTTAAAAACAATTAATTTGGAGTCCATTTGGCTGAGAACCCAGCACCTTGGATTCCTACATAAGCAAACTGAAACCCCATTCAGTGTGAGTGACCATAGCCTGGGAAAATGAAACCCCAGCTTAACCATTCAGAAACTGCTAACTAACCTCTCACTACAGAATTTACCAATCAGAAACCTCCAGCTGACCTCTAACTGGAGACTTCCTGCCTTAGCCAATCAAATATTTTCTTTGTCTTGCTTTCATGATCACCTTTTAACAATTTTCCCCTCACACCCTCTTGGTGGAGCCCAAACTACTTGCAGTTTGGTGCTACCAGATTCATGAATCATTGTCTGCTCACATAAATGCTTTAAAATGTTAACATGCCCACGGTGATCTTTTCACACTACTGTAAATGATGCTGTTGCAAACATAGGTGTACAAATAACTCTTTGAGTTCCAGCCTTCAATTCCTTTGGGTATGCACCTAGAAACAAAATTGCTGGATCATATGGTAATTCTATTTTTAAGTTTTTGAGGAACTTCTGTGCTGCTTTCCATAGTAGCTGCACCATTTTACATTTCCACCAGCAATGCGCAAGAGTTCCTTCCAATCCCTCTACATCCTCACCAACACCTGCTATTCTCTGCTTGTTTGATAGTAGCCATCCTAATGGGTGTGAGGTGGGATCTCACTGTGGTTTTGGTTTCCATTTCCCTAATGATTAGTGATGCTGAACATCTCTTCCTGGGCTCATTGGCCATTTGTATAACTTATTTGGAGAAATGTCTATTGAAGTCCTTTGCCTAGTTTTTAATTGTTGTTGTTGAGTTATAGGAGTCCTTTACATATTATGAATATTAATTTTTTATTAGGAATTTGATTTACAAACATTTTCTCGCATTCTATAGGTTGTCTTTTTTTCTTTTCTTTTTTTTTTTTTTTTGAGACGGAGTCTTGCTCTGTAGTGCAGTGGCGCGATCTCGGCTCGCTGCAAGCTCCGCCTCCTGGGTTCACGCCATTCTCCCGCCTCAGCCTCTCTAGTAGCTGGGACTACAGGTGCCCGCCACCACGCCCGGCTCATTTTGTTTTTGTATTTTTAAGGTTTCACCGTGTTAGCCAGGATGGTCTCGATCTCCTGACTTCATGATCCACCTGCCTCGGCTTCCCAAAGTGTTGGGATTACAGGCGTGAGCCCCACGCGCCCGGCCTATAGGTTGTCTTTTTACTCTGTTTACAGTGCCTTTTGATGTGCAAAATTCTTCATTTTGGAGTCCAATTTCCGTCTTTTTTCTTTTGTCGCCTGTGCTTTTAGTGTCATAAAGAAGAAATCACTGCCAAATCCAATGCCATGAAGCTTTCTCCTTATGTTTTATAATTTTAACTTTTCCGTTTAGCTCTTTAGTCTATTTTAAGCTAGTTTTTGTAGATACTGTGAGATAAGGGTATGACTTCATTCTTCGGCAAGTAGATATCCAGTTCTCCCAGCAACATTTGTTGAAAAGACAGCTCTGTCCTTTTGTCCTTCTGTCTCCATGGAAATTTCAGATGCCTGAGAGAGAGTCTGAACAGAGTACTGTGGGTCTTGTGCCTGTCCCACGTGGTCAGGGGAGTTGAGGCCCATGATGGGCAGCCTGTGAGGACCACGTGGTCTGGGAGAGACCAATCCAATTGTTGTTTTTTGTCAGGTGAACAAAAAAAGAGGTGCCCTCTGCAGCCAGGGACAGAGTGTCAGCATGAACCATCATTGTTTGAAGATGGGAAATCTGCCAGGTTCATCAGTTCATTTGCCTCTGTAACACGAGAGAAGACACAAACAAGATTGGATTCTGAGTCTCCTATTTCTGGCAAAGTAAAATGTCAGTTTATAAACCTTCCGAAAATGATAGATGCTGATTTGAATACCATTTCCTGTGATGGTCAATCAGCATGAAAGACCTTGAGAGATTCAAGGTACATTATTTACAGACAACCTCTTAAGGCCCCTTTTGTGGTTTCTAATCAGGGAATGGAGGTTTTTTTTTTGTTTTTTTTTTTTTTTAATTTTTAGTTCAACTGTTTTTGGGGAACAGGTGGTGTTTGGTTACATGGATAAATTCTTTAGTGGTGATTTCTGAGATTTTGGGGGATTCATCACCTGAGCAGTGTACACTCTACCCAATATGTAGTCTTTTATCCTTCATCCCCCTTCTAAACTTCGCCCCAGAGTTTTATTCTTGAGATGTTTCCTACTTCCAATTTTATCATTTTTTTTTTTCCTAAAAGGCTGTACTGTTCAGGATTTCATCTACAGGTGAAGCCGCACCAGCTTTTTTCCTTCCTTTACCTACATTTAGGAGGACCTTCTTCAGCAAGATTGCACACAGAATTTCTTCCAATAAGGCAAGACCTAAAGAAATCTAAGACCTAGTAAAAGTTTATATAACGAAGCAATAGATTTTAAAGTAAGGGGCAAATAGGGTATAATATTTGCTACCATATCCGGTTGCCTCAGGTAGAAATAGAAGAGTCAATTAGAGGTGCTGCTCCTCTGATTTTACAGAGTTTCTCTGAAAGCTGGAGACACATAGCCCATGACCTAACAACTCAGGTCCATGGTGTATGCCTTGGGGAGGCTGGGATGTTGATGCGGATGCTGGTTGAGGTAACCCATACAAGAGACATTGAGACCTGGATTAGAACACTGGGTATTAAAATTAGGTGAAAGGAGCAGATGTCTCCCCGAATCCCAGAAGAACGAGCAAGAGTGTATGATTCTGAACGTGGTGTAGGCAGGGGAAGCATTACACAATGCTTATATGTAATGTATTTTTAGTAGAGACGGGGTTTCACCGTGTTAGCCAGGATGCTCTCAATCTCCTGACCTCATGATCCTCAGCCTCCCAAAGTGCTGGGATTACAGGCGTGAGCCACTGCTCCTGACCTATAGGTTGTCTTTTTACTCTGTTTACAGTGCCATTTGATGTGCAAAAGTTCATTTTGAAGTCCAATTGTTGTCGTGTATGGAGAAGATGGAGTGTTTTTCACCAACGGAGGAATTACAAGAGGAGCAGCGAGTTTTGGAGGAAGATGATAGGTTTGATAAAAAACACAAGTAAAATCTGGGGGAGCTGTTGAGTGGACAGATGATATAATAGAAAAATTCCAGAGAGGTGGAGGGCTGGAGATTGGGGTCACAGTGTCTTGTGGGTGGCATGGAGAGGAAGCCTTTACCCAAGGTACCCAGGATTCTGTCTGTGAGGTTGCTGGTCATTCTCCGGGACCTCCTCAAAGTTTTCCATCTCTTCCAAATTAAAGCTGTCAGAGGTGTTGAACCAGAGCAACTCCATCTTGAATAGGAGCTGCGTAAAATGAGGCTGAGACCTGTTGGGCTGCATTCCAAGATGGTTAGGGCATTCTAAGTCACAGGATGAGACAGGAGGTTAGCACAAGATACAGGTCATAAAGACCTTGCTGATAAAACAGGCTGCAGTAAAAAAGCCAGCCAAAACCCACCAAAACCAAGATGGCGACGAGAGTGACCTCTGGTCGTCCTCACTACTACACTCCCACCAGCCTCATGACAGTTTACAAATGCCATGACAATGTCAGGAAGTTGCCCTATATGGTCTAAAGAGGAGAGGCCTGAATAATCCACCCCTTGTTTAGCATATAATCAATAAATAGTCATAAAAATGGGCAACCAGCAGCCCTCGGGGCTGCTCTGTCTACGGAGTAGCCATTATTTATTCCTTTACTTTCCTAATAAATTTGCTTTCGCTTTACTCTATGGACTCACCCTGAATTCTTTCTTGCACAAGATCCAAGAACCCTCTTGGTGTCTAGATTGAGTCTCCTTTCCAGTAACAAAACTACTAAAATATGTGGACTTCTTCCAGTTTCTCTACTTCATGAGCATAACAAGGTCTCTCGGGTATCCTTGAGACTCTATAAATCTCTGGATAAAAGTACATTGACCTCAAAAGTGCTCTGATTTTAAAAGGACCCTCTTTCTCCCCTCCCCACACACTCCCACCTGAGTCTTTGCATACATTGTTCCTTCTGCGAACATGCTTTTCCCTCCTTCTTCGTCTAAGCATGTCCTATGAGATCTTTCTTTAAGATCAGATTCAGTGTTGCATCCTCCGTAAAGTCTCTTTTGGTGCTCTATCCACCCTCCCAAAGCTGGGATGGGCACCTCCATTAGCTGTATTTCTGGAGGTACAGCTAATCAGGCCAATCTCAGTGTCCAAAATTGGGCGATTTGGTGTCTGCTAGCTCTGATGATTCCAGGTAAGATAGCAGGGGATTGCCCACTAGAAGCAGGTAATACACTTCATTTATTTAATCTATTAAATATGTTTATTATAGGGAATGAAGTTTGTAAATGAAGTAAATTATGGGGGAAGATACATCATTATATAGATGATGTAGGGTCATCAGTCATCTGCTAATTGGGAAAAAACCTGAGGTTCCTTGTGTTTAATTCTTCTCTTCGCTGGCCAGGCAAGCCAAAACTGTGGCTCCAGCTGTGTTAAATCCAAATAAGACATAAAACGTGTTTCCCTCCCTATTCCTTCTCCTCTCCTTTCTCCTTCTGCCCTTTTCCCTCCTCCTCTTTCCCTCTTCCCCTCTCTCTCTTTCTCCTCTCCCTCCTCCTCCTCTTCCTTCTTCTCTTCCTCTTCTTCTTCAGCTGATCAGATAGAGCTCTCTGATTGTAAGTCACAGAAATGTACCATGGCTAACCTAATCAAATGGAAATTCACTGGAAAGGTAACACTGAGTGGAGGGGAGGCTGTAGAGCCAGGCTTGGGAAAGGACAAGGAACAAAGCACCCAGGGCTTCTGGAAGCAAGAGTTCCATGAATAGTCTCACAGCAGAATCAGTCTGGTCAGAGGGATGCTGATGAGGCTGATGCTGTTTCATTCATATGTGTTCAATTTCTCTGTCCTTCTGCTGAAGATACAAATCTCAGGGAGGAAGCATCTGGTCAACCTGTCTCAGGTTATGTGTCTACTCCCTTAGCTAGGGAGGGGCAGGCCCTATCAGACCAACAGAATGTATTCAATAAAGAACACGCCATTCCCCCAAAATAATCTGGGATGTTTTCTTCAGAGAAGGTGAAATGGATGCTGGGCTGGAAAAGACCAGTGAATGTACACTTTACATACAGCCTTTGCCAAGACAAAATGCAATGCAAGGGAAGGTTTCCTGATCTGTGCTTATATACTTGATACTTTGGTCGGGATTTCATGTAAGCTTCTTGGCAGCTGTATTTGCATTTTCAGGGGTGGGAAATAAGGAGGGCATGTAGGTGAAGAAACTTGACCAAGGCCCCACAGCTTGATAGTAATGGAGCCAAGATTCAAACCCAGGTCTGTCTGACCCACTGTTCCTACCACTGCAGCCCCAGGCTCATCTCCTGAATTGGGATACCTGAAGCTGGGGGTGAGAGTGACCAGTGCTTGTGTTCTAGGGAGGGGAAGTAATTAAATCATTGCAGAGGCAGGCTGAGAGGAAAGCCCTTTGTGAATTGAAGGATACTCTCTGGGCTCCTCCAGTGATATATAATCTCATGGGCCGAGCAGACAAATTAGCAGCTTTCATTTCTTCGCAAAGCATTGATTTCCAGCCTCAAGAGCCCACTTCAGCATTTTTCACTGCAGAGACTCTCCCCTGGGCTTCATTCATGTTTTCTATAAATGGCCTAAAGAAGACTCTCTAAGGTGACTTAAATAGATTCTATGTTTACACAGGATAAACAATTTTTGTGGATTAGCCTGTCTTTCATCTCAGCTTAGGTTATGACTTTGCTAGCAAGTGCATTTTTCTTTTTCAACGAAATCAAAGCTTATAGCAATTCTACATTGTGTTGTGCTAAAGGTATTTATCATTTATCACTGGGATATAAATTCTATGAGGACAGGGAGGTTTGTTTTGTTCACTGCTATGATCCCAACACCTAGAACAGTACCTGGCCAATAATAGGCACTCAAAAAATACTTAGGGAAGGCATGGTGGTGTTCGTAACCGTTCCATCCCTTCTCAAAGCATTGGCACTCCCCAAAGCCCCTAAAGACCAGGCTGAGCCAAATGGACCCTCTATGTCTCCTAAAAGTGAAGGATTTAGATGGGGGAAGATGAGAATGCTGGAACCGTAATGACAGGTGTGGCCAGGGCTAGATTTGATGCTATGGAGGGCCAGAGCCATGAACCAAGAGCAGTTTTGGGGTATTAAAGTATTACTGGACTAGTCTCCATTTCTAACCTCAGTTCTTCTTGCCTGATTAGATTCCTTTGCCTTTTTAGATTTAAAACCTAAAAAGTTGAGACTTAAATCTAAAAGTTGTGACTTTTCTTGATCTCTGCTTCCAGACAATATGGAATAACAGGGATTAGATTTGCCCTCCCACCAGATACAACCAATAATATGAACAAAATACATGTTTCTCCAGATATTGGATGTCAGGAAACAAAGGACAGCGATCCCCGAAAGATGGGGAAAAATGAGGTAAGACTTACTGTCACCCAGCTTACTGCCTCAAAAGATGGTCCAAGCCATGGCGCAGGGAGGGGGAATACAGGTGGAGTCCGGGAGACTCCCTGAGTTGGGTGAACAGAACTAAGGGTCCAGGGAGATCAAGACAACCAGAGGTCACAGAACAGAGTACTGCAAAGGAGAGACCTGCAGAGAAAGAGACAGAGAGAGAGAGAGAGAGAGAGAGAGAGAGGAGAGAGACAGAAAGGACTCCAGAGATCTTCAGAGAGTCCCCTTTGAGCGTTCAGCAGAGGACTAACCAGTACATGAGTGTGCAGAAATATAAGTGTGGAAATTATAAGGAACAGTATCTCAGTGTCTGGCACTGACACAGGGCCATGAACAGGGTTTGCCACCACCAGCCAGATACACTGAAAAAGAATCTTGCTTCCGTAACACAAAATAAATAACCCCAGATTAAACTCTGCTCTGGTTCTACCTAGCACCTCTTAAAAGCAATACCTGAATCCTTTTGTGGTTCATAAGCATGATGATTGGGTTTTCATGCTTATGTGTGTGATGTGCTGCCTTAAACCTTGTTACAGTGTCAGCACGTCACTCATCTGATGTGAGGAAAAAAAGGGGAAAAAAAGAACAAAAGAAAAAAGAGGGGAAAAAAGAAAGAAAAAGAAAAAAAGCAAGAACTGAAGGATCACATTATTTCCAAATAACTTAATTACGTTCTAGAGCAAAGCGCAAGAATATTTTTAAGAATAAAAAAGGCTAGCACCAACTAGATAAAATTTGCAATGTAGGGCATCCAAAAAAATTAGCAGGCATGAAAAGAATTAGACAAATATGACCCATAATGAAGAGAAAAATCAATTGAATGGACACAGAGGTTAGACTTAGCAAAGAAGGACATTAAAATAGTTATTATAACCATATTTCATATATTCAGAAACTTAAGTAGATACACAGGAAATTTAAAAAAGACATAAAATGAACTTTCAGAGAAGAAAACTACAAAATGTGAAATGAAAAATACACAGAATGAGATCTGACAACACATTAGACCTTGCAGAAGAAAAATGTTAGTTGACTCAAAAATATAACAATAGAAACTATCCAAAATGTAATACCGAGGGAAAAGAGAGTAAGGAGGAGAGAACTTGCTTCAGTGAGTTGGAGGCCAACTGCAAGCAGTCCATGCATTTGAAGAACCCAAAGAAGAGAATAAAAGGGGAAAAATTCAAAAAAAATATTTAGACCAGGTGCAGTGGCTCACGCCGGTAATCCCAACAGTTTGGTAGGCCAAAGTGGGCAGATCACTTGAGGTTAGGAATTCGAGACCAGCCTGGCCAACCTGCTGAAACCCCATCTTTACTAAAAATACAAAAATTAGCTGGGCATGGTGGTGTGCACCTGTAATCCCAGCTACTCAGGAGGCTGGGGCAGAAGAATCACTTGAGCCCAGGAGGCCAACATTGCAGTGAGCAGAGATTGTGCCACTGCACTCTAGCCTGAATGACAGAGTGAGACTCTGTCTCAAAAAAACAAAACAAAACAAAACAAAACAAAACAAAACAAAACAAAACAAAATTAAGGAATAATGACCAAAGTTTTCGAAATTTGACAAAAACTGTAAGCCTACAGATTAGAAAAACTCAACAAATCCCAAACGTGCTAAAGATTTGAAGAAAACTACTCTGAGGTAGATCTTGATCAAATTGCCCAAAACCAGTGATAAAGAAAAGAAAAATCTTAATAGCCAGAGGAAAGAAAGACATGCTATGTAGAGAAGGACAAAGATAAGGGTGATGGCAGATATTTTGTTGGAAACAATATAAATAAGAAGATAGCAGATCAACATCTGAAACCATTAAAATGAAAAATCTGTCCATCTAGAATTCTATATCTAGCAAAAATATCTTTCAAGAATGAAAGCAAAATGGATACTTTTTAGAGATATAAAAGCTGAAGAAAATCAACCACCAGCAGCCCTGCACTTCAGGAAATGTTAAAGGTAGTCCTTCTAGCAGAAAGTTGATCCCAGATGGCGATAGGGATCTATATAAAAAGGAAGAACATCAGAAATGGCACATGGGAAACATATAGTATTTATTTCTTATTACTTAGAGTTCTTTAAAAGAAAATTGACCATTTAAGAAGACTTGGAAGAATACTATTGTAGTGTTCTTAATGATATATGGAATGATATAATATCACTTGAATGCAGGCTTTGAAAAATATTACATATGTATATTGTAAAATATATATATGTGTATGTGTGTGTATATATATATATAGACAGAGAAATGATATAAACTCTAAAGCAACCATGAAAATAACAAAAAATATAGAAAATTAGCCAATAAAAAAGATGAAACGGAATTATAAAAACTACTCAGTTAAGCCTATAAAAGGCAGAAAAGAGGGGAAAAACGGAACGAAGAGCAGGTGCAACAATAGAAAACACATTATGCATGTTACACTACCCACCAACCACTGCAGAAACTGATATATATTGATTTTGAAATTTTAAAGTGTTGATTTTTGAATTGTATAACTATAGGAGGGGAAAATATGACATGGGATTAGGAATTTCAGAAAAGTTACATTTATTGTCTGAAACATGCATTCTAGTTACTTAGTCAGGTCGGCCAAACTTTATCTTCTTTTCACTAACATCGTAAGCTAATCATTTTGTGTATAAAGTCCGCTTTAATAATCCCAAAGAGTCTTAAATACATCATTTGATATACTTGACCGTTCTGTTGCTTTATTTAGTCTTTTATGAGATTAAGCTTCCCTTTGATAGTGTGCCTTCTGTATTCACTGACTTTTATATACTCCAAATAAAGATTTGTTGAAAAGCATCATTTTGACATCCTCCTCTTCGCAGTGCATAAATCACCCACAGTAGAGCTTAAAAGACACACTAAATTGGGAAACAAAGGTGCTTTTGTGTTGGGTTTACATTCTCAGCATGATCTAATACCTGATTGCATTTACATTTGTGTTCTTGAGGTTTGTGGGGGAGATTTTTATAGAACAAAATAGAAGGCTTTGTTTCACCGTAGCTTCAAATAAGAAAATAGGAAAAACTCCAAACCTCTAGCAAAACTGTAAGTTCCTCTGAAATTCACACTCTGTGCAAAGTGAAACACTGAGATTTCAGCTCCATTTTACTCTTTCCTGTTCTCTCAGCAATGACGTTCAAAAGCCAGTGACCTATGTCTGTTAGGAAGGAATCTCAGGCAGTGAGTTATAGAATGATAGACAAACTGGTCCAACCCTCTGGTTTTCCTGGTGATCTTAAACAAAATCACCTCCTTGGTTATTCTCAGGTTCTCTCCTTCTCTACCTGTTAGTCGTTTTTGCTTTGCTGGCTGGGTTTCTGAGCCTTTTTTGTATGTTATGATGTCTAGTCTGTTTTCTGCTACTGTAACAGAATACCACCAACTGGGTAAATTATAAACAATGTAAGTTTATTTGGCTCATAGTTCCTGGAGGCTGGGAAGTCTCAGATCGTGGGGTGGCATCATAACTTGGCAGAAGAAGAGACTACACAAGAGGCAGGGAGGGAATGGAGGCTGAACTTATCCTTTTATCAGGAGCTCTCTCCAGCAGTAACTAACCCACTCCAGAGATAACGAGATAATGGCATTAGTCCACCCAGGAGGGCAGAACCCTTTGGCCTAATCACCTCTTAAAGGTCCCAACTCTTAATCCTGTCACAATGGCAATTAAATTTCAACATGAGTTTTGGCAGAGACATTCAAACCATAGCATATGGGTAGGGAGGAGATTTAATATTGAAATGACAGAAATTTACTTGTGGTCAAGAAATAGCTCTCAATCACTACCAAAATGGTATGTGTTGATTTGATCACCTGGACTTGTCAGATAAATGGGTTGAGAGAAAAAGATAAAGGTCAGTATGGGCTAGTTTGAAATAATTTAGGTGATTTTTCAAGCAAAACAAAAAGGTTTTTTGAGCAGCTGGTGGGCTTGAGAGAAATGAGAATATGAAGTATGTTATGAATGTTCCTTTGAACAAAATTTTGATTAATATTTAAATGTTGTGTCAAATATTTTCCCACTGTTAAACTGCTGTTTTCTTGAGCATGATACCACCTGAAGCCCAGGTGTTGTGCTGTGTTTGTCATCCTTGTTTTTTAATTACAAGAGCAGTGGCATTGTTGTTGGCTCTGAGAAGACTTGGGAATTGGGGGCACTTCTGAAAGGCAGTCATTAGACAGAAATTTTATCCCTCAAATTGGCCTTATCCTTACCTCCAGAGTCTGCTATCTCGATTTTGGGGTGGCAGGGCAGGTAGTGTGTTCTTTTGAGGTTACTTCCTGAAGTACATTTTCTTGCCATATGGAATATTCCTATGGAGTCCTGCTTTGCCCAGTCCAATTCCACTGGCTCATTATCCCACAGATCAGGATCCTACCCGTTCCTGCTTTCCAAGGTTAATGCTGAATTTCTCCTACCTATTTTATTTCTGGGTAGTTTCAGTGGAAAATTGCAGATGCCAGGGTAGAATGTCAGGAGTTAAATGCTCAGGCTTACATGACAAGTCTCGAACCAGAAACATATCTTTAATTTGTGTTTATTAGTAAAAGGGAAAGAAAGAAAATGAAACAAAGTCAAGAAGTTTGGAGAATGACGGCCTTGGGGAAAGTGATCTGAAAGTGTTACGTTAAGCGTGACTTAGGGCTCTACAGAAATGCAGTTCTTGGGGAATGTGTGTGGCAACAATTGCGTCTCTGACCCCCAGTCTGTTGGACGCTGTGTGTGACGGCGAGGCCATGGGTGGGAGGAGACAGCTGTAAGCACAGGCACCGGAGGGTCTGTGCCAGCAATATGGTCCTTTCATCTTAAGCCAAGGTGCCAAAGGCCGGGCGCGATGGCTCACGCTTGTAATCCCAGCACTTGGGGAGGCCAAGGCCGGTGGATCACCTGAGGTCAGGAGTTCAAGACCAGGCTGGCCAACATGGTGAAACCCCATCTCTACTAAAAATACAAAAAATTAGCCGGATGTGGTGGCAGACATCTGTAATCCCAGCTACTTGGGCGGCTGAGGCAGGAGAAGCGCTTGAACCCTGGAGACGGAGGTTGCAGTGAGCTAAGATAGCACCATTACACTCCAGCCTGGGCGACAGAGCAAGACTCTGTCTCTAAATAAACAAACAACCAAAGTACAGTTTGTGCTGGCGAACTAAATGGAATTATTACTTTGGTTTAGGGTTTTTTTTTTTTTTCCCAGAGAAAATTCTTGCTTCTGATATGGTGCATGGCTGTTGTGGAGATTGGACTGTTAGTTTTTTTTTTTTTTTTTTTTTGAGACGGGGTCTCGCTCTGTCGCCCAGGCTGGGGTGCAGTGGCGCGATCTCGGCTCACTGCAAGCTCCGTCTACCGGGTTCACGCCATTCTCCTGCCTCAGCCTCCCGAGTAGCTGGGACTACAGGTGCCTGCCACCACGCCCGGCTAATTTTGTTTTGTATTTTTGCCGTTTTAGCCAGGATGGTCTCGATCTCCTGACCTCATGATCCGCCCTCCTCGGCCTCCCAAAGTGCTGGGATTACAGGCGTGAGCCACCGCGCTTGGCCTGGACTGTTGGTTTGTTAATGGGTCCCAGGGGTTCCTGCCTATGGAGGGCTGACGGGGTCCTAGGTTTGGTGCCAAGCCCTCTGGAAACACCGTCTCAGTTAATAGTTATGACAATCCTGTTATGTCCTCACCGTTTCACAGAGGAAGAACCCGAGCTCAGAGAGGAGAGAGTGCACATGCAGCCGACAGTGGCAGGGCAGGACCAGGAAGTCAGGCAGTGTGACTTGGGGGATCCATGCTTATTCTCCTCCCACCTTTCGGAAGGCACAGGAAGGCACCACAGTGTCGCAATTTATGCACAATTAGTGCAAAGTCTCACCTGTGAGCTTGCCTGGGGCAACCAGGGGAGGCTGGGGGCTCCTTCTCCACCAGGCCCCGCTGCCTCCATATGACTCTTCCCTGTATTTTAGCCCTGTAGGTAATTTTCCAGTTTGTGGGCTCCTGTACCACATGCGGTGAGTTAAAAGAACAGGTGGGCAGCGGCGCGGCTCCCGCGTGAGCTGTGTGACTTTGAGCAGGCCCCACTACCTTTCCGAGCCGCATTTCCACCTGGGCGAAGCGGGTTGAGCCGGCCTGGCGGGGAAAGATTCTTTTAACGGGGGAACAACGTAAGGCGTGCACCGGGGAACACGGATGCTGCTGAGTCAATGCCCGCTCTGCCGTTCTCTTTGAGAGTAAGGCTTGCGTCTCGCCTGCTCTAGCGCCCCAGGTTTGAACGCAGTGGGCGCGCAGGAGGAAACATAGATTCACGAATGCAATGCCAGCAAAGTAAAATTTTTCACCCTTGTCCGTTTTTCAGGGTGTTTCAAGCGGAGGAGTCCTGAGTGGAGAAGATTCCGCTTCCCTGTTTTCAGGTTCTGGCAGTCATGGACCGGGAAGAGCGAGTCGGGGCGCGGGTCCCTGGCGGTCGCTGGAACCCTTGTGAGTGAGGTTGGTGCCCGCGAGGGCACAGCGGGCGCTCGGGAAGTCGCAGCCGCCGGCAGAGGGCGCCCCGGGCACACGGAGCGCGCGGCGCTGGGGTTGGGGCGCTCGGGAGGTGCGGGGCACCGGCTGGAGTCCGGCGTTGACCGCAGCCGGGACGCGCCCGCCACCTGGGCGGGGAAGGAGTGAGTCCCCTCGGGGCGCAGCGGCGCGCGCTGGCCCGGATCCCAGCTGCGCCGCGCCCTCCCTGCGAGCGGTGAGTACAGGCGCCCACGGGCATCTCCAACCCTAGTTAGGGGACACTTGGAGACAACGCAGGTCGGACGTCCGCCGGCCGTTCTAGGAGTTGGTGTGCGGGGAATGGGGGGTGCTCCCGCTCGCTTAGGGCTTTGGGTCCGGCTAGGGGTTGACCCCAAGAGGCGCTGGATGTCGGGGCTGAGCTTTGCTTTCAGGGGACTCAAGCTTACTTGAGGTTCTGACATTGGATTTGCCTCGCGGGCCCTGCGCGTGCTGCGCGGGGATCCGGAGACTGGCGAGGTAACCAGGGAGGGCAAGCACTCACCGGGGCGTCCTCCGCCCACCTCGCCCGCAGAACCATCCAGGGGGACCACGTGCGGCTGTCGCCCGCAACTCTGCCTGTCAAGCGAGGACCGCCCCCAGGGCAGGGGAGGGGACGCGCGGGCGGGGTGGGCTGTGCCCCGCGGGAACCCCGCCGGCCTGTGCGCTTGCTGGTGCCAGCTCGGCTCGCTGCCTCGCATTGCCACAGGCTCCTGAGAGGTCGCGGGCAGTGCCTGCGGGGAGGCGCGGGGCCCTGCTCTGTAGGGCTGAAGGCCGCCCGAGGTTCGCCAAGGCTCTGGGCTCTCGAAAGGAAGCCAAGAAAAGAAGCTGCCCAGGTGACCAGTCCTGGGAGTGCTCTCTCCCAAGGAAGCTCCGAGCGCCCAGGAGCCCTTAGCCGGGGTCTAGTGCCCTTTGAACAATCTCCAGCTCTTCAAGGAAGTGGGCTGCCGCCGCCTCTCTTGGGACCTGGCCTGGGATCCTTTCCCCAAACGCACCCCGGCGATTTTTGCGCACCGGGAGCCGAACCCCTGCTGCGCGCAGCTGGCTGGGCTCAGGCGCGCTTCCTCAACGTTTCGGAGCCGCTGCCCCCAGCGAAGTCCACATTCCAAGCTCCAGGGGCTTTGAGAGAGACGACCCCAAGGCAAGGTAGGTGGCTCGGACGGGCTCGCCCTGGGAATTATTAGGTTGGGCTTGACGTGAGTAATGATGCCATCTGCTTAAGTCTTGGAGAAAGACCGTGTGTTTTCCTTTTGCTTTTTAAGGCGTTTGGAGAGCTGCTGAGGAGCCAGGGGCTTGGAGGAGCGAGAAGACATGTATTTTCAGCTGAGTCTCAGAAGGGGAGAATCTCCTGTCACCACCAGAAAAGCAACAGCCCCGAAATGTGATTGCAACTGACTAGCAGAGCAGAGGCCCAGGAGTCACTGGATTGATGATTTAGAATATGCTAAAAAGCCAGTGCTTTATTTGGGGAATTCAGGGGCTTTCTGGTGCCCAAGACAGTGACCTGCAGCAAGGGAGTCAGAAGACAGATGTAGAAATCAAGAGTGACCATCCACGGGATTGACTTGGATTGCCACTCAAGCGGTCCTCTCATGGAATGTTGGTGAGGCCCTCTGCCAGGGAAGCAATCTGGCTGTGCAAAGTGCTGCCTGGTGGGGAGGACTCCTGGAAATCTGACTGACCCCTATTCCCTGCTTGGGAACTTGAGGGGTGTCAGAGCCCCTGATGTGCTTTCTCTTAGGAAGATGAGGACTCTGAACACCTCTGCCATGGACGGGACTGGGCTGGTGGTGGAGAGGGACTTCTCTGTTCGTATCCTCACTGCCTGTTTCCTGTCGCTGCTCATCCTGTCCACGCTCCTGGGGAACACGCTGGTCTGTGCTGCCGTTATCAGGTTCCGACACCTGCGGTCCAAGGTGACCAACTTCTTTGTCATCTCCTTGGCTGTGTCAGATCTCTTGGTGGCCGTCCTGGTCATGCCCTGGAAGGCAGTGGCTGAGATTGCTGGCTTCTGGCCCTTTGGGTCCTTCTGTAACATCTGGGTGGCCTTTGACATCATGTGCTCCACTGCATCCATCCTCAACCTCTGTGTGATCAGCGTGGACAGGTATTGGGCTATCTCCAGCCCTTTCCGGTATGAGAGAAAGATGACCCCCAAGGCAGCCTTCATCCTGATCAGTGTGGCATGGACCTTGTCTGTACTCATCTCCTTCATCCCAGTGCAGCTCAGCTGGCACAAGGCAAAACCCACAAGCCCCTCTGATGGAAATGCCACTTCCCTGGCTGAGACCATAGACAACTGTGACTCCAGCCTCAGCAGGACATATGCCATCTCATCCTCTGTAATAAGCTTTTACATCCCTGTGGCCATCATGATTGTCACCTACACCAGGATCTACAGGATTGCTCAGAAACAAATACGGCGCATTGCGGCCTTGGAGAGGGCAGCAGTCCACGCCAAGAATTGCCAGACCACCACAGGTAATGGAAAGCCTGTCGAATGTTCTCAACCGGAAAGTTCTTTTAAGATGTCCTTCAAAAGAGAAACTAAAGTCCTGAAGACTCTGTCGGTGATCATGGGTGTGTTTGTGTGCTGTTGGCTACCTTTCTTCATCTTGAACTGCATTTTGCCCTTCTGTGGGTCTGGGGAGACGCAGCCCTTCTGCATTGATTCCAACACCTTTGACGTGTTTGTGTGGTTTGGGTGGGCTAATTCATCCTTGAACCCCATCATTTATGCCTTTAATGCTGATTTTCGGAAGGCATTTTCAACCCTCTTAGGATGCTACAGACTTTGCCCTGCGACGAATAATGCCATAGAGACGGTGAGTATCAATAACAATGGGGCCGCGATGTTTTCCAGCCATCATGAGCCACGAGGCTCCATCTCCAAGGAGTGCAATCTGGTTTACCTGATCCCACATGCTGTGGGCTCCTCTGAGGACCTGAAAAAGGAGGAGGCAGCTGGCATCGCCAGACCCTTGGAGAAGCTGTCCCCAGCCCTATCAGTCATATTGGACTATGACACTGACGTCTCTCTGGAGAAGATCCAACCCATCACACAAAACGGTCAGCACCCAACCTGAACTCGCAGATGAATCCTGCCACACATGCTCATCCCAAAAGCTAGAGGAGATTGCTCTGGGGCTTGCTATTAAGAAACTAAGGTACGGTGAGACTCTGAGGTGTCAGGAGAGCCCTCTGCTGCTTTCCAACACACAATTAACTCCGTTTCCAAATACATTCCAGTGTATTTTCTGTGTTGTTCATAGTCAATCAAACAGGGACACTACAAACATGGGGAGCCATAAGGGACATGTCTTTGGCTTCAGAATTGTTTTTAGAAATTTATTCTTATCTTAGGATTTACCAAATAGGGCAAAGAATCAACAGTGAACAGCTTCACTTAAAATCAAATTTTTCTGGGAAGAAAATGAGATGGGTTGAGTTTGCTGTATACAAACAGGTGCTAACACTGTTCCCAGCAAAGTTTTCAGATTGTAAAGGTAGGTGCATGCCTTCATAAATTATTTCTAAAACATTAATTGAGGCTTACAGTAGGAGTGAGAAATTTTTTTCCAGAATTGAGAGATGTTTTGTTGATATTGGTTCTATTTATTTATTGTATATATGGATATTTTTAATTTATGATATAATAAATATATATTTATCATATTTAATAGGATAAATTAATGAGTTTTATCCAAGACCTTACAACCACATTTCTGGCCATTTAACTAGCACTTTATAAGCCAATGAAGCAAACACACAGACTCTGTGAGATTCTAAATGTTCATGTGTAACTTCTAGAAACACAGCAGAAACTGATAGATAAGGGAATAAAGTTGAAATGATTCCTTAAAATTCATGGACACAGATAAATGCAAGGTGAGAATTGACAAATGCTATAAATGCTTTCTTTTTCTGAAAAGATTTTGAAAAATTTAAAAAAGTATAGCTACTACTGTGTTCAAAACGTTTTAAATGACAAATGACTTTCCCAGGGGAATTTGCAGTTCTGTAAATATCTTAAATAAAAGCCAACTTAAGAAGAGCCCAGCATTAAATTTACGATCTTAGGTGGTAATGAAAAGTATATGCTGCTTTGTATTTATGTAAAATAATTGGCCCTCTCCATCTTTTCTCATTTCATGTGTCAGGTAGTTTTTCTGAACCACACAAATGGCTTTCCTGGAGAGAGATCTGTAGCACAGACAGTGGGTTACAGCAGCCCCACTGAGGGACCAAACTCAAACCCTGCATTTCCATCTTACCAGGTCAAACCAAACCAGTCAGTGGGGCTACTTTTTATAGTGCTTTAATCTGAATTTAGAGCTGATTTTTAAAGGAGTCTTTAAATGTTAATGGTATACTAACTAACGAATAGTGCCTCATTATCATTCTTGAGTCAGATACTTCTGTTGATGGGAGAAACAGAAGAATCCTTCCCTTTGGGTGTGTTGAGCTCCCCCAAAGCCATCAGCATCTCTTTTGACAAATGCTAGTCCTTTCTCTGTGCTTTGGAATCAGGTTCCTGCATCATCACCCGGACTGTAAAAAGTATCATAAGCCTCCCTTGCCAGATGCCAACTCGTGGGGCATTTCAACAGAGTTTCTTTGAAATGTTTACAACGTATTCTTCTTGATAAGCAATGAACTTAACATTTAGATGCAATCCGTGAAAAGAAAAAAAAATCTGAAAAATATCTCCTGCATCAGGTCTGTGTTATTTATGTATTGTGAATGTTTTCTTAATTTTATTGGCTGTATGCTTTCTTACACATAATAAAAATATTTTGTGAACTCAAATCAACCCTGAATGAGCTGTGTTGCATTTGCTAAATGTGTTTTTAAAACTAGAACATTTCAGATCTACAAGGAAGAAAACACAGGCATTTTCAAGTATATATTACTTTTTTTTTCTTTAATGGAAGTTTCTTCAGTTATGTATGGCACATGTTGCCTTCGAATATTTAAAGTGAAAATGTTTTCTGATTTGGGCTATGTGCTATTTTTCCTTCTGTCTTCATAATTTTTTTTTGAAAAAAGGAATTACTTGAGGAATTATTTTACTTTTCATTTCACAGATTTTAAAACTTTCTAAAATCTCTGCTTTTTCTTTCAAAAAGCCTATTTTAAAGAAAATAAAAATTTCAGAAAAGACCATGGCTTGCTATTGGGTTGGGTTGTTGTAGCCTCTCAGCTGATGGCAACCACTGTACATGTGATGGTTGTTTTAAAAGTAAAATATAACAATTTTTTTTTCTGGAGAAAATATACAGGTTGTGATGCTGAGCTTATCAAAACGTCTTATGAGGCACATCCGTAGGTCCTGCCAAAGCTACTCAGTTAATATGCTAAGCCATTTTTCTCCCCCTGTACTGAGGAAAGAGAACAGCGGAACAGCAGGTGACATAGAAATTAAGGGTTAAGTTTACAATTTGGAACATCACATAACAGATGGTGTCTTTTTAAATTCTGTATTTGCCTTCTCTGGGCTTTGGCATATAATGAACATACCTAGAATGAGCACCCAAAAAGCATGATGCTTTTTCTTTCTGTTTCATAACTTTATGGATATCTTTTTTCTTTGAAGCCTAATTTTGTTCTTAAATTAGAAGCTCAGCAACACAAGCTACAATGCTCAGGCAGAATTGTCAAACCCATGAAATATGAGCCTTTACCATTTATCTCCTTGGCAAAAGAGTGCAAATGAATGATATGTCTAGAAATTATGTTCAATAATTATAAAATTCAATACACCTTCAATGAGACTACTTTGGATTCCTGGCATATTGGATTGATAAAGGGCATCTTACGAAATGTTAATTTTACTCAAAGAACCTTTCGGAGAATTTGATTTATAATTATAAAAGCGAAATTACAAGATGACTTTCACTTCATTTTTAACTGTATTGGTGAGCCTTAATAATGCTAAATATATGTGAAACACTTTACCAAGATTAAGACAACTTGAAAGAGGTGCTTTTTTCCCCTCTCCGTCCAAGAAGACATCTTTCCTAATCAACTAGATACACAGCTCTTATTGGTAACTGACACAGCAGGAAGTTTTGTGGAAGTGGGGACTGAGCACCGGGCTTCAATGCGTAGGGTAGGTTTCATTCAGGAAAGTGACTGGTTTCTCTTGGCATCTGAGCAAGTCATGCTTTCTGAGCCTCAGTTATCCTGATCCATTAAATGGGAGGAGCAAAACCTCTGCATTAACTTTCTCATTGGGGGTGTTGCCCCCCAAAGCAAATTGATATGTAGTCTAACTTCAGTGACTTTCTGAACTCTCCACTCTCTGGGGGCTCCATCATGATTTATCTCCAGGCCTGCACCAGCAGCATTTCAGCCACTCTTTCCCCCAGAGCCAGCCCACAGTTGAGGGCCTGGAATGCAAAAAAGCTCAGGCTTTGTTTCAGGCAGGGGAGGGCTGACATTTCAGATAGGAATTGCAACTACCTGTGTGAGCATAGCCCTATGCCTTTGCCTCTCAGCCTGTTTGCCCATTTGTGAAATGGAAATAAATATGCAGGTTCTTGGGAGGGTTAAAATGAAGTTAATGCCTATAAGAGCTCTGAGCACTGAGAAGTGCTCACTGATTCTTTGCAAGATCTCTATTCTGAAGGGGTTAATCACAATATTTGTTGCATTAGTAATAATGGATTTGCTATATACTTGATTTGTTGCATGTTTGCTTAAAGCAAATGGAAATGACTTTCAGAGTACAGGTGGTTTGGGATTTTCCCAGACACTATTGTCTTTTGCTGTGGTTATCTGGTATTCCAAAAGCAAGTGGCTTTTTATATCTGCGTGGTTAAGAAAATTGCTTTAAGTTACCACTAGATACTGATTGAATAAATCTATCCACAACATTTTCTTCTTAAAATGTCTTTATCTTGTAGAATTTGTTTCAGGAGTAATAAATCAGTTGATGGCCTGCCGGCTGTTAAATTTAGGACTTACTGCTTTGCACGATCTGGTTACTTCGGTCATGAGAAGGATTGAGCCCTCTGGGCTATGAAATTGTAGTACTATATAGGTAAGATGCAACTCTATGGATATGTTTGAGACTTCCTGGATATGAACGATGACAAATCAACCTGTTTATTTTATGGAGGATTGAGAAGATGGTGAGCATTCTAGCACAGACAAAACCTCCAGGATTTTGTTAGCAGGCCAATCTATGTTGCCTTCTGTCACGTTAAGTAACTTCCGTGTGATGCACAGAATTTAAAAAGCAGCATTTGGACTTTAGTCTGTTACATCATTCAAGATTTGGGAGTTGTAATTTAAATAGTATTAGAAGCTCAAGAATAATCTCTGATTTAAAAGGGTTTAACTTTCTAATCACTATGAGAAAATATACAAAGCCAGTTGGAATTTTTCTCATGCTCATAGAATACAGACTCTACCAGCTTTCAAAATGGGTAAATGTTTTCAGCCATTGAAAAGGGTCTACCCTGAGCTGTGTACTCAGAAGTGATACTACTTCTTATGCTTCCACTGGCAGAAATGCTAGCAAAATGGTAGTGGTGGTGGGACCTAGGAAGGCTGAATTGTAGGGCAAGATGTTCCATTTCATTTAAAAAAAAAATGGACAGGCTGCTTTACATCCCTTGAAAATAAGGTGGGGGTTTGGTCTCTACAACAAGGAGGTTAGATAAGATGCTTTCTAAGATATTTTCTGGCTTAGAAATAGGAGATATATGGCTAACACCGTGAAACCCTGTCTCTACTAAAAATACAAAAAATTAGCCGGGCGTGGTGGTGCATGCCTGTAGTCCCAGCTACTCGGGAGGCTGAGGCAGGAGAATCGTTTGAACCTGGGAAGCAGAGGTTGCAGTGAGCCGAGATTGGCCACTGCACTCCAACCTGGGTGACAGAGCAAGACTCCGTCTCAAAAAAAAAAAAGGAAAGAAAAGAAAAGAAGTAGGAGGTATAAAATCTATTATAGGCAAAATATGACTCTGATAGTTCCCCCGCTGTGTTTCTCAAGTGCCCATTCTCTTTGCTTTCAGAAAGCTAACAGAGGGATATTTACAAAATGCAAATTTGATGGCTATGCCATTGCTTAACATTCTTCGATGGCTCCTGATTACTTTTAGTAAAAAAATAAAGTTCATTCAGGGCCTTTCATGATCCTGCCTCTGGTGGCCTCTGCAGCCTCGTCTATTGCTACCACCCCAGCGGCACCACCCTGCAGGCATTGTGAGCTTCGTCCAGTTTGTGGAGTCCTTTCCTGTCCTTAGGCCTCTGTGCTTGCCGCTCCCTGACCTGGGGCGCCCTTCCCTGTTGCCTCTGTCTGTCCACTCTGACTCAGTCAGGCATCAACGTCAGAATTCTTCCTTGACGCCTTCTTCCCAGCTCTACTCCCTAATTTCTTCCCAAGGGCTTACCACATTGTCATGAAGTGATCTCCTTACTTCCTTATTATTTTCCCTAAATTATGTGCATATGAGGGCAAAAGCTATTTTATTTTTTCCCTCTTCTCTTTGTATATTCCTAAGCCTCTGACACACTGCCTGGCTTATAGGAGTTGCTTATTAAGTCTTTGTTAAATGAATGAAAGAATGAACAAGTCAAAGTAAGGAATGCTGGAGTCACAATTTCAGTGAAGTTTATTTCTGGGTGCTTGATGTATTTGTGTAAGTCTGCTAGGCTTTCTCTAAAGTCTTTGGGTACAACTTCCACATGATTTCTGAGGCTTGCAGTTCCCTAGAGTGACATGGTTGTATAGAGGTAATTGCATATATATATATATATTGCAATTATATATATATATTGCATAATATATATACACATATATATGTATTGCATAATATATATATTGAATCATATATATACATATACACACATATGTATGTGTATGCATATATGTACATGTATATGTATGTATATGTCTCTAAGTACCTATGCATATCATATATGATATATATGCATAGGTACTTAGAGACATATACATACATATACATGTACATATATGCATACACATACTAGTCTTAGAGGAGAAAGACACATATGCAAATAAACCATCACCAAAAAATGTTTTGAAAGTATGATGTAAGGAGAAGGAGTTTTTTTTTTCCAGGTAATGCCACTAATTCAATTTTACCGAGCCTTGATAACCACATGCCCTGCATTGTGTCAAGCACTATGCATTCCTTATTTCATTCCATTCTTATACTTATCCTACGAGGTGGGCGCAATTATCATCATTGCTATCTTACAGATCATAATTAATATTGAGAGAGGGCATGTAATGTGTTCAAGGTCACACAGCTGGTAAATGATGGGGCCAGCTCTGAATTTAGGCTCTCTGACTTGAAAGCCTATAGTTTTAATCAAGAATCTGTTTACCAGGAAATAGTCCTAACCAAACAAGGACTTCCTAAGAGGGTCCCAAATATCTCAAATACTGTGCCTTAAAAAATTCTTATTATTATTGACATTTTTCAAGGATATACAAAAAGTAGAGAGAATGGTTTTATAAACTGTGAACGAGCTGTGAACATTACCCAGTTGTGAACATTAGCAACACTGAGGTTGATGGTCTTTGAAAGAATTAAGTGAGCAAGGACAACAGGAAGCTTCTGTCTTTGGGTAGAGTGTAAGAAAACGTTTGAGACATTTAAATTTCAAAAACACGGCCTTGTGGAGTTCAAAGATAACAAAACAGGGAGATGGCTTACTCAAGGGCTGAAACATTCCTATGTTTGCAGATCAATTCAATCAGGGTACACTTTATTTCAGCAAGCATTTACCTACACTTGCCTGGTGCTTTTGGAGAGGGACATGAGAGGGTAAAGGCAGGATGGGGAAGATGGGAGAGTGTTGCTGGCAGAGCATGGGAACCGAGCACAGGGCTGGGAAGGAAGTGGCATTGGAGGTGGGCTTGAAGGACGGACAGAGCTTTGACAGGTGGAAAGAGACAGGGAATGAGGAGAGCTGGGGTGGGAGCTCCAGCGCCTGAAAACATGGGACTGGGAAGTGGGTGCTAGATGGATTTTCTGGATATAGGCCGTGAAGTGGAGACGAATTTAAATATATTAGGTTTGATCCAAATGGGGACTTACAGGCTGCCAAATTAGTGGCTTTGGGGTGATCTCTACCCTCTGCAGAAGCCCCTTCTTGGTCACCTGAAGAATTAACCAGATGATTTCCCGATAGCCCCAGGGTGTGAGCATGCCCTTCCCTTCTGCAAACTCTCTCCAGCTGTGCTCATCTGCCCATTGCTCTCAAAGGCATACTGGTGGCACCTCTTTGCTTTTCTTCCAAATGGGACACCCTTCCTCCTTGTCGTCCTCATCTGTTTGAGACTCATTTCAAGTGTAGGCCTCAGAGCTGGAATCCTTCCCTCCAGACTACAGCCCCTTGCAGGACATCCGTCTTGTCCTGTGTGCTGTTTGGTTCCCGTTCTCTCCAGTGAGTGAGGCAGCCCTTGGAGGGCTCAGTGTGTCCTTTTCAACACTGTATTCCAGCACCCAGCATGGCCTGGCATGCAATAGCCATCCAAGTTAATATTTTAGTTCATTAGATGAATAAGTGAATTGATAACTTTATGAAAAGTTTAGGGTAGGTGCTTATTATACACAAACCTTAATTTTTGTTGTGGCATTGACTCTGCTGAGTTTATAAGGGCTGATCCTTTCTGCTAAATTAGGTTTCTCCATCACTGACACAATCACAGGAAAAATAATTGAAATAGTGTTTAAATGGCAAACTAGGGCTCTCTCTCATGGGGATGTGCCTGGATGGCAATCAACCCTTTTACCCAGGAGAGAGAGGAAATGTCAACCGAATGTCACAAATGCGCTCCCAGATTATCTAGCCACATGCACGCTGTTTTGAGATTGAGTTTTTAGGACAGATGTATTTAGCATTATAAACATGTTGACTGTAATTAAGATAATGGTCAGCCCCATTTGTAAGATGCTTCTTTAATGCACACTGCTGTTTACTGTTAAATGGTTGAGGGGGGGTGTCAGGGGAGACAGTGCTCCACACTAATTCTGCTGAAACAGCTGTGGGTTTTTACTTGCTGTAAAACAGTATGTTCCTGACTGGCAAAGGAGAGGATTAAAGAGGATCCAGTCCAGGGGCAATAAGGTGAGGGTTCTAGTTTGTTTAACAAGACTGGTCATAATACCTTCAAGGCAAGAGCAAATTGGCATGCCATTTTTAGAAAGCTTTCATTGGTACTAATAACATTGCTTGCTCCTAGGGTCATGACATTTAGAATGTCACACTTGGATGAGGTTCCACTGACTAGCAGAACTTCTGGGTTAGAGGCAAGAAACAGACACTTTCCTGCTCTATTCATAGCAGCGTAAATGGATATGGACAAGTGCAAGGGGGATTTGGCTAGGACAACCAAACTTTAAAGCATGCACACAATTTGGCTCAGCAATCCCACTTCCATGAATCTCTTTTGCATGCCTCCTCACCTATGTGCTCAGAGATGTGTGTGTAAAGGATGCACACTGCAGCCTTGCTTGTGAAAGTCAACTGAAGACAACCCAAGTGTCCAGCAGGAGGGGAATGAATTACTAAAATGTACATTGTTGCTAGTATGCGGTAGTTTAAAAGAAAGGTAGATCCATAAGCATAGTTAAGAAAGAACTTTCAGAGCATATTAGTGAAAAAACAAGTTGTCAAGCAATACAGTTCCTTTTATTTCAAAAAGTGTAAGAAGTATATATTTCTTAATGTAAATACATAGAAAAAGATGTAGAAAAGTGCCTACCCACCTGAATAATGGAAACAAATAATAAATAAATAAATGTGGGTGCATAGACAGATCTCCCATGCAGAAGAATTCCAAATAATTTATGTAGGTAAGTCCCAGTCCTCAAGTGTAAGCTCCACCCCGTGACTGTGCACCTCTGTGGTATCTCTCAGGAGAAGAGTGAGGTTTGGGGAGAACCAAGGCGGGGAGGCCTTAACGTTTTACTTTGTATATTTCTTGCTTTTTACAAGAATCTTGTGTTTACGTGTATCGTAGGTTTAATTAAAATAAAATTATTAGAGAAGCATGCTGGACTGGGTGTTAGGCAGGAAGAGCTCCAGCTGTGGTTGCTTTGCTGGCGGGGTTGGGACGAGGGTGCTGAGTCCCTGAAAGAAGGTACAGTCTTGAGCACTGTGTGTGTTTCTGAGCTCACCTGTGCACATCTCTGGCTTGATCATCAGTGCCTAGTTTGGCTGAGGCTGGCTGGGACTGGGGCCTGGCTTGTAGAGGCTCAGCTGACCAGTGCAGATCATAGGGTTACAGGGCCTGCCCTGCTCCCAGCCCTTGCCCTTTCCCCCAGGACATGACTTTCACCACTACGTGGAGGTCTTACACAAAGGGACCCTTTTACTGAGCTTCCTCAGAGTCCATATTTGCAATAATGCTGATGAAATGCATCTCATTTGGAAAATAATGCACTGTGTGCCCTTCTTATAAGTTCAATCATTTTCTCTGTTCAGCTTTTGGGAAATGATGAAACACACCCACAAGGGGGTCCTTGGGGACTCCAGGTTGGGGATCATTAGTGGGAACAGGTCCGAAATCCTAGAAGTTGACACAAAGTGGCTCTTCGCAGGGGCCTGCCTTGTTTTAAGACCTTCATAGACCTCAACTACGCTTACTTTTGGTGCCACATTGCAAATCAGATCAAACATATTAAAATGCTCCCACCTCGTTCTTAAATATATACATATATATATTTGCTGCAAAAAAGAAGGATTTTTAGATGTTGTTTGTGAAATTGTTCTTAATTTTAATTTTGCAGTCCTTTTGTCATATTTTGGAGCCAATGCATTTCCCCTCAGGTCAGTTTTGGATATTTTATTAATGGTAAAAGCTCAGAGCCCTGGAGACTTCTAGTACCCTGGCTCTGAAAAAAACCACAGCAAGAATTTTCTCCAAGTTTTGAGAGCAAAGATGTCAGGTGCTACTGGACACAGCAGGAATGACCACTGCCATTTTCCCGATTGAATTCTCTAGGTTTTCTAGCTTGGTTGCTGTTGCTCAAATGTTTAAGAGCCTCTTCTAAAAAGCAGTCTACATCGTGACATCAACCACTTCTGATTATTTTGAAACTGAAAAACACTCCAGTGTTTGTTCTTAGGTTTAACCTTTTGGGAGGTTTTCAAATTCTATTTTTCTCATCATTGACATAGATATTAAATGTTTTGTGATATTTTTATGTTAAATGTTCCCACAGGCTCCTAATTATAGATGTTTCCAGAGAATAGCAATGAAGGCTTCAAGTTCTAAATCCAAGGTTTGAGGATCAAATTTTTAGGGCAGTATTGAGGGAGGAATACTCAGAAAGAGTATTCAGAAGGAGGAAGAAATTTAAGTGTAAAGCATCAGACTGTATAACCTGCAAAAGATTAGAAGAATGAGTCAAATGCAGAGGGGCCTCAGAGGTGAGATACTCAATCAGGGAGCATTGCTAATATGTAGTCAATTGTAGACAGAGATTGGTAAATGAGGTTAAGTGATTTCAAACACAAGTTTGTATAGGAGAACGTCTTTGCGGACCTCTTCTTAGAGCATCAGTTCCTGAGTGGCCGACTGCTTTGGCCAGACTAAGTTTGCATGTCATGAGACCTCTGCTCACACTCACTCTACATTCACAGGAATGAGCATAAAGAGTCAACAGTCAGCTTGATTTTTCTTGTTTTTCTCCCTGACAGTTATTAAACTACTGATGTGCATTTAATAGAGATTTCAAATTCAACAGAGAAGGAGGTGGGCATGGAGGGAGGGAGAGAGGGCACGGAGGAGGAGAGGAGAGCTGGCGGAGGAGAGAGCTTGGGGTTTGTCAAGAAATATGGGCTACCAGTTTACGTTTTTTAAATGCAAGTTTTGGCTAGGCGCGGTGACTCATGCCTGTAATCCCAGCACTTTGGGAGGCTGAGGCAGGCGGGTCACCTGAAGCCAGGAGTTCGAGACCAGCCTGGCCAACATGGTGAAACCCCATTTCTACAAAAATACAAAAGAAAACAATTAGCCAGGCATGATGGCAGGTGCCTGTAATCCCAGCTACTCGGGAGGCTGAGGCAGGAAAATTGCTTGAACCCAGGAAGTGGAGATTGCACTGGACTTTAGCCTGGGCGACAGAATGAGACTCTGTCTCAAAAAATAAAAAATAAAAAACAAACAAAAACTAAAAGCAAGTTTGTATTATAGGATAGATTTAGATTTACAGAAAAGCTGCAAGGGTAGTATGGAGAGTTCCCATAGACACCACACCCAGTTTCCCTTATTGGTAACACCTTACGCTAATATGGTGTCAGTGAACTAATATTGATATATTATTAATTAAAATCCATATCTTGTTTACATTTCTTTCGTTTTCCCCTAAAGTCTTTTTTTCCATTCCAGGATCCCATTCAGGACAGCACATTACATTTAGTCATACATTCTCAGGGTCCTCTTGGCTGTGACAGTTTCTCAGATTTTTCTTATTTGGATGACTTTGACAGTTTTGAGGAGTAGTGGTCATTTGTAGATTGTCCCTAAGTTGGGATTTGTCTGCTTTTCTCATAATTAGACTGAGGTTATGGGGTTTTGGAAGGAAGATTGCCGAGCCATTTTTATCACATCATATCAAGGATGTATACTATCAACATGACTTATTACCTTTGATCACCTGGCTGAAATAGTGTTTATCAGGTTTCTCCACTGTAAAGTTACCCCCACTTTCCATATGATATTTTTTTGAAGAACATCATTATGTGCAGTTTGCACTTAGGGGTGGGGTTATCTATGTGAATTATTTGGAATTCTTCTGCATAGGAGATGTGTCTATTCTTCCATGGTTGTTTGTTTATGTAGTCAATTATTTATTTATGTTGGTATGGCTCATGTAACCTACGTTTGACTTTGAGTAATAATCCAATACCACTTTATTCTGTTGCTCAGATCGTTCCACCTTTGGCCATTGGGAACTCTGTCGTTGGCTCCTGGATCCCTTTGACATACTCCTATCATTGTGGGTTTTTTCTTTTTTTCTGCACTTCCTTACTTTCTGGCTCTATAAGATGTTCCAGGTTCATTTCGGATATTTCCTGCCCCAGCCCTAGAATCAGTCCTCTCTCCAGGGAGCTCTGGTTCCTTTTATTGGAGGATGGTGTTAGAAACCAAGATCTGGGTACTTAGGTGTGCTCATTGCTACTGGAGTGTTGTTACTTATAGGTCTTCCTAGCTTATAGAGCAAATAAATGTATGCATCTTCAAGCCCATGTGCATACATGTAAATATTTTTATGTGTAACCATTTGTATCTATACTAAGTTAAACTTGAGTTCTTGCTGACGTCTCCAACTTGAATCCATTACCACATGGGTCATTCTAGCCTCCTCCCCTTGCTTGTCAATAACTCCCATTCTAACAGTGAGGAATCTGGATCCTAACTACTTTCCATCCATTTACTGAATTTTATTTATTAATATTATTATTTTGAGATACAGTCTTGCTCTGTCGCCCAGGCTGGAGTGCAGTGGTGCTATCTCGGCTCACTGCAAGCTCCGCCTCCTGGGTTCACACCATTCATGCCTCAGCCTCCCGCATAGCCAGGACTACAGGTGCCCACCACCACACCAGACTAATTTTTTTTTTTTGTATTTTTAGCAGAGACAGTGTTTCACTGTATTAGCCAGGATGGTCTCGATCTCCTGACCTCATGATCCACCTGCCTTGGCCTCCCAAAGTGCTGGGATCACAGGCATGAGCCACCACGCCCAGCTATTATTATTATTTTCTAATTTCAGCTTTTATTTTAGATATGGGGGTACATGTGTAGGATTGATACTTGGGTATTTTGGACCCAGGTAGTGAGCATAATACCTAATGGGTAGTTCTTCAACCCATGTCCCTCTCCCTCCCTTCCCTTTCTCGTAGTCTGCAGTGTCAAAGTATACACTGTTGGTGGGAATGTACACTAGTTCAGCCACTGTGAAAAAGTCATTTGGACGTTTCTCAAAGAGCTTAAAACAGTGCTACCATTCAACCCAGCAACCCCATTACTGAGTATATGCCCAAAGGAATATAGATCATTATACAAAAAAGACACACGCACTCATATGTTCATCACTGCACTATTCACAATAGCAAAGACATGGAATCAAACAAGGTGCTCATCAATGGTGGTGGATTGGATTAAAAAAATGTGGTACATATATACCATGAAATACTATGCAGCCATGAAAAAGAATAAAATCATGCCCTTTGCTGCAACATGGATGGAGTTGGAGGCCATAACCCGCAGCAAACTGATGCAGGAACAGAAAACCAAATACCGCATGTTCTCACTTATAAGTGGGAGCTAAACATTAAGCACGCATGGACAATTACTGAATTTTAGTTGTTCAATTCCATGACACAGGTATAGTGGTTTCAGAGTTGTTAGCTCATATCCCTGTGGGAATCAATTTTATCAAGTGTGTAGGTACAATGTTTATGTGCAGTTCCTTAAGGCCTTTTGTCTTACAGACTCCACCATTTCCAAAGCTACTTAATGTCAGTCCTTTTTTCTTCTACCCCCTTCAGTAAGGTTGTTTCATACATTTGTAATATAGTTAGATTATTTTGTCATAGTCTACATTCCATCCTAGGATATGCTGAACTCCCAAATGATTAAAAAAATCCATACATTAAAGTACACTGTTTATGCTGTAAAGTTCTGTGGTATTTGAGAAATACCTAATGCTATGTATCCAGCATTATAATATCATGTAGAGTAGTTTCACTGCCCTAAAATACCTCCTGTGCTTTACCTATTCAACCTTCCTTCTGCCAAGCCACAGCAACCGCTGATCTGTTTACCCTTTGTGTAGTTTTGCCTTTTCCAGAATGTCATATACATGAATTCATACAGTATGCATTGCCTTTAGACTGCTTCTTTCACTTAGCAATGTGCATTTAAGATTCATCCATGTCTCTGTGTAGCTTTCTCTTTCTCATTTCTTTTTATTGCTCAATGGTATTCCATTGTATGGATGGACAGTGAATGGTATTCCATTGCATGGATGGACAGTTTATCCATTCCCCTATTAAATAAAGTACGACTTGGTTGCCTCCAGTTATTGGTGATTATTTAAAAAGCTGCTATCAATATTTGCATGCAGATTTTTGTGTAGATACAACTTTTAAAATCAGTTGGGTGAATATGTAGGACTGCTTGTAGTTTCCAGATCATATGGGGCTTCTGTTTAGTTTTGTAAAAACCCACCAAATTATCTTCCAAAGTGGCTATACCGTTTTGCATTCCCACCGGCAATGAGTAAGAGTTCTTGCTTCTCCACACCCTCACCAGCAAATTGTATTGGCATTTAAACAGTAGCCATTTCAATAGGTGTGCAGTAGTATATCATTGTTGTTTTAACTTGAAGTTCCTTAATGACAAGTGATATTGAGCATCTGTTCTTAGGCTTATTGGTCATCTGTATACCTTCTCTGGTGAGGTGTCTTTTCATATCTTTTGCCCAACACTGGATTGTTTTCTTGTTGAGTGTTCTTTGTATATTTTGGATGCAATTTTTAAAAATTAAATATATGTTTTACGAACATTTTCTCCCAGTCTGTGGCTTGTCTTTTAATTCTCTTAATAGTGTCTTTCACAAAGCAGAAGTTTGAAATTTTAATAAAATACAACATATTAATATTTTCTTTTGTGGACTGTGCTTTTGCTGTTGTATCTAGAAATATATCACAAAACCCAATGGTATAGAGATTTTCTCCTGTGTTTTCTCATAAGTATTTTATTTTATTTTAATTTTTTTTGAGACAGGGTCTCTGTACTCCCAGGCTGGAGTGCAGTGGCATGCGTATAGCTTACTGCAGCCTTAAACTCCTAGGCTCAAGCAATCCTCCTGCCTCAGCCTCCTGAGTAGCGGGGACTACAGGTACGCACCACTAGGCTCAGCTAATTTTTTTTTTTATTTTTAGTAGAGATGAGATCTCATTATGTTGCCCAGGCTGGTCTTGAGTTCCTGAGCTCAAGCAATCCTCCTGCCTTGGTCTCCCAAAGTTCTGAGATTACAGGCTTGAGCCACCACGCCAGGTCCTCTTCTAGATATTTTAAAGGTTTCCATGTCGCACTGCTCTATGGTCAACTTTGAGTTAATTTTTGTGTAAGGTATGAGGTCTGTGTCTAGGTGCATTGGTTTACATCTAGACATCCAATTATTCCAGTATCATTTGTTGAAAACACAAAAAGCAACTTGCTTTAGGTCCTTGTTCAAAGATCAGTTGACTACATGTATGTGGGTCTATTTTTGTGCTCTTCATTCTGTTCCATTAATTTATGTTTACCTTTTCACCAATATCGCACTGTCTTATTTATTGTATCTTATAGTAAGTCTTGAAATTGGGTAATGTGAGTCTGTCAACTTTGTTCATTTCCAAAATTATTTTGGCTATCGTAGGTCCCTTGTATTTCTATATAAACTTTAGAATCAGTTTGTCAATATCTACAAAATTGCTGGCTGGGATTTTGATTCTGATTGCATTGAATCTATAGATCAAGTTAGAAAGAATTGGCACCTTCACGATATTGAGTCTTTAAATCCCTGAGCACAGAATCTCTCCATTTATTTGTATCTTGCATTTCTTTCATCATTGCTCTGTAGTTTTGTGCATACAGATTCTGTACACATTTTGTTATATCTATAAGTATTTCATTTTATTGTGCTGTATGACATTAAAAAAATAAATTCCATTGTTCATTGCTAGTATATGGGAAAGCAATTGACTTTAGTATGTTGACCTTGTATCCCACAATCTTGCTATAATCACTTTAGTTCCAGGAGTTTTCTTTTTGTAGGTTCTTTGAGGTTTTTAAAATAGACAATCATATAATCTGTGAAAATAATATTTTTATTTGTTTCCAATCTGTATACTTTGTATTTGCTTTTCTTGTCTCACTGCATTAACTAGGATTTCTAGTATGATATTGAATAGAAATGGTTGAAGAAAAAAATCTTTTTCTTGTTCCTTATTTTAGGGGAAAAGCATCTGGCTTGTCACCATTAAATATGACATTAACTATAGAATTCTGTAAATATTCTTATTTTTATTTTTTGAGGAGGTTCACATCTATTCCTAGTTTCCTAAGAGTTTTAAAAATCAGGATTGGCTGCTAGATTTTTGTCAAACGTCTTTACTTCATCAACTGATATTATACAATTTTTCTTCTTTAGCTTGTTTATATGGTGGATTACATTGATTGATTTTTTAAAATTCCAGCTACTTGGGAGGCTGAGGCAGGAGAATCGCTTGAACCCAGGAGGCAGAGGTTGCAGTGAGCCGAGATCTCTTCATTGCACTCCAGCCTGGGTGACAGAGACTCCATCTAAAAAAAAATTATTTTTATTTTAGATTCGGGGATACACGTGTAGGGTTGTTACAAGGGCATATTGCATGATGCTGAGGTTTGGGTATTCTATTGATCCCATGACCCAGATAGTAAACACAGTATGCAAAAGAAAGTTTTCCAGCCCTTGCCCCGCTCCCTGTCTTCCTTTATTTTGGAGTCCTCAGTGTCTGTTTTTTCCATTGTTATGTTTATGTGAACCCAAGTGGGATTTAGTTTCTACTTATAAGGGAAAACATGTGATACTTGGTTTTCTGTTTCTGCATTAGTTCACGCAGGGTAACAGCTTCCAAGTGCACTCATGTTGCTTTGAAGGACATGATTTCATTCTTTTTTATGGTTGGGTACTATTCCATGGTGTATATGTACCATATTTTCTTCATCTAATCCACTGCTGATGGGAATCTAGGTTGATTCCATGCCTTTGCTATTTTGAACAGTGCTGCAGTGAACATATGAGTGCATGTAGAATGACTTATTGACTTATTATCTTCTTAGTAGAATGACTTATTTTTCTTTGGGTATATACCCAGTAATGAGATTTCTGGATCAAATGTTAGTTCTATTTTTAGTTCTTTGAGAAATCTCCAAACTGCTTTTCACAGGGGCTGAACTAATTTGCATTTCCTCCAACAATGTATGAGTGTTCTCTTTTCTCCACAATCTTGCCAACATCTGCTATTTTTTGAATTTTTAATAATAGCCATTCTGACTGGGGTGTGAGGGAATATCTCACTGAGGTTTTGATTTGCATCTCTCTGATGATTAGTGATGTTGAGCATTTTTTTAAATGTTTGTTGGTTGCTTGTATGTCTTCTTTTGAGAAGTGTCTGTTCATGTCCTTTGCCCACTTTTAGTGGGGTTTTTTGTTATTTTCTTGTTGATTCATTTAAGTTCCTTAAAGATTCTTAATATTAGTTCTTTGTTGGATGCATAGTTTGCAAAAATTTTCTCCCATCCTGTAGGCTGTCTGTTTGCTCTGTTGAGGGTTTCTTTTACTATGCAGAAGCTCCTTTAGTTTAATGAAACTTTTGATTGTGTTGCATTTGCTTTTGGGGTCTTCATCATAAATTCTTTGAAAAATAAACAATGAAGAAAGGACACCTTACCCAATAAATGGTGCTGGGACAACTGGCTAACCATATGCAGAATCCTACTTCTCACCATATACAAAAACTAACTCAAGATGGATTAAAGACATAAATGTAAGATTTCAGACCATTGATTGATTTTTGAATGTTGAAATAGCCTTGCATATCTGGAATAAATCCAATATGGTCATCATGTAAATTTCTTTCTAAACACTGCTGGATTTGATTTAATAATATTTTGTTGAGGATTCTTGTGCTTATGTTCATGAGAGATTTTGATCTACAGTGTTTCTTTTTCGTAATGTCTTGTGATGCCTTTATCTGGTTATGGTACTGGCCTCATGCTAATAGAATGAGTTAGAAATTGTTTCCTGGAAGAGATTGTAGGGAGTTGATACTGTTTCTTCCTTAAATCCTTAAATGTTTGGTAGAATTCACTTGTGAAACTCTCTAAGCCTGGTGTTTTCTTTTTTTGGAAGGTTAAGAGCAACATTATTGATTTGATTTTTAAATAAATATAGGGATATTCAGGTTATCTTTTTCTTTGTATGAGTTTGGTAGTTTGTATCTTTTAAGGAATTGTCTTTCATTTCACCTACTTTATCAAATTTTTGGGCATAGAGTTGTTCACATTATTCTTTTCTTATCCTTTTAACGTCCATGGAATCAGTTGTAAAGTCATTTACCCCCCCCATTTCCAATATTTTAATTTGTGACATCTCTCCTTTTTTCTTGATTTGTCAAATTTATCAATTTTATTGAAACCAGCTTGCTGATTTTATTGTTTTTTTCTGTTTTCAGTCTCATTGATTTATGCTCTAGCTTTTAAAATTCTTGTTTTCCTTTTGTTTTCTTTAGGCTTAAGTTACTCTTGCTTTTGTAGTTTCCTAAGGTGGAGACCTAGCTTATTGATTTGGGATTTTTTTTCTTATATGCACTTAATATTATAAATTTCCTTTGAAGAACTGTTTTTGTTGTATCACACATATTTTGATATTCAGACTTTCATTTAGTTTGAAATATTTGTTAACTTTGAGACTTCTTCTTTGACCCATGTGATATTTAGAAACGTGCTGTTTAACTTATAAATATACGGGGTTATCTTCCTGTTGTTGATTTTTAGTTTAATTCCATTGTGGTCTGAGAACATACTTTGTATGCTTTTATCTGTTTAAATTTGTTAAGGTGTATCCTATGGCCCAGAATGTGGTCTATCTTGGTGAATGTTCTGTATGAGCTTGAGAAGAATGTATACTCTATTCTTGTTTGATAAAGTATTCTGTACAATTTATATACAAAAATAGGCTAAGTGGCATAAACATACTCAGAACTAAATCTGTCTCAGTGCAGTAATTTCATGTTACGTTGCACCTGTAAGTCAGGCTTTGCCCAGGAAACTTCTCTTAGGTTATTTGTAAACATCTCACCAATCTTATGAGTTGGGGTACTATAAACAAATTCAGGCTTACAGGAGTAAAATTACTTGTCTGAGGTCTATCTGCCAGTAAATGCCACCTCTCAGGACTGACAGCAATATTCCTGCTCTTTCCACAAATACCACCACACAAAGTAGCTCAAGTTCTAAAATGATTGATTAATTGGAGTTTTATGGAGGAAGCACTAGTCCTCCTTTTCAATCTAGCTAAATTAATCAGTGTAGGAGGCAGCAAGACTTACACAGGTGAATAGAAAAGTCATCTTTAACACGAACAATAGGAATGTAGGAGGAACTAGCAAGAATGGATTAGTAACGAAGAATGGGCTAAAGAATGTGAAGTCAAGGGCAATTAGAAAAGAAGTGTTAGTTTCACAGAAAATTAAGTAGTTTGAAGAAGGGGGAAGACAGCTGAAGCTTATTGGTGCTTTTATGTGTCAGGCACTGTGCTGGGCACTTTTGCATTCATTTCCTCATTTAATGCCTAGATGAAGCCTATGAAATATCCCCACAGCCTGTGGATTCTCCCTCCCATCCCCAGGCCACAGCATAGCGATGCTTCTCAGGGGAAAAGAGGAGGATACCAGAAAATGAAGTGGTGGAAAATTTGAAAAGAAATATAGGGTGGTAACTGAGGATCTTGAACTGAGAGAAATTTGCTGGTATCAGTCTTTAGGGAAACAGGAGGCAAGAGAATGGGCATTCTGGCTGCCAATCATCATGGGTCAGGGAGTGGGTGGGCCCTGGGATGGGGGAGGGTAGGACTTCCCCTAGACCGGACTGGAGTGTGTGTGGAGGCCAAACTGAAGTTCTGATGCTGGGATGATCTCCTTGGCCTGTGAGGCACCATTGGACCCAACACTCTGACCCACTCACCTCTTTGTATAAGCTCTCCAAAATTTAGGGGAGGACTAGTTCTAGGCAGAACACATGGCATAATGGACTGAATTCTTTCTAACATAGACTCCCTGGATTATAAATGTTGCACAGAACTATGTGTGTGTGTGTCATGTGTTGAGAGAGTTGAGTACCCAAAGAGCTTCACTATGGAGGTAGAGGTTTGGTGCAGCAACCACAACAAAGCAAGACACTTAAGAAGAGGAGATTGTGTATTCCCTACTCCCTTTGCTGTCTTCATTAAGCATTTGGAGAAAATAGTACCTATACCATTTGGCCATGGGGATGCATGTCCCAGCTGGACATGGCCTTGGTGTTATGCATCTTCAGAAATAAAATAGTGTGTCCCTATCAGTCACCAAAGTCCCAGAGCCCAAGCTGCCTAAGGCAACAATTGAGTCAAGCAGAGCTTTTTGTGTTCTGATCTTTTGATAGTTGCTACAAGAACTGCTTCCTTAGACTGAATAGACACCCTGCAAGTTCTTGGGATCACCCTGGGTGGGAAGACAGACCTGCTCCTGATAGGGAGTGTCTTAGTCAGTTTGGGCTGCTACAATAAAATATCATAGACTGGGTATCTCATAAACAGTAGAAACTTATTTCTCACAGTTCTGGAGGCTGGGAAGCCCAAGATCAAGCAGAGTCAGTGTCTGTTGAGGGCCCATTTCCTGGTTCAAAGATGGTATTTTCTCCCTGTGTTCTCACAGCTGTGTCCTCATGTCAAGGTGAAAGACAGCTCTCTGGAACTTCTTTTATAAGGGCACTAAACTCATGAACTCTCATAATCTAATCAGCCCAAAGATCCCACCTCCTAATTCCATCACATTGGTCATTAGGTTTCAACATGCAAGTTTTTGGAGAAGACAAATATTCAGACCATAGCAGGTAGATGGGAGATTGAAGTTGTTTCATCTGAATATTAAGAAAAATATATATCTTAAGCTAGCAAAGTTGGATGTGTCAGCTGTCCAAATAACAAGGCCCTTTGCCTTGGATGCAAATCAGGAACTGTCTCATGAGTAATTCTTTTCTTGTTGCGGGGCGGGGTGGTGGTGGGCACAGAGGGTAAATGATAAATATATTCTGGGTGCCAGTGTTGAAGGGTGTACATTTGTGGTTGAGATCTGTCAGATAGCCTTTTTATATCCCGGTAGCACCCAGCACATAATTCAGTAAGCAGTTCAACTTGGAATTATTTTAAAGATTTTTAGCAGTTTTACCGGGAAGGACAAGGAGTATGATCTCTGTAAATATTTGATATGTGGACGAATGGGTGAATAGGTAGAGGGATGGATGGACATGTGAGTGGATGGAAGGATGGGTGTGTGGGTGAATGGAAGGATGGAGGGATGGATTTATAGAAGGATGGATGGATAGGTGGGTGGGTGGATGAAGGGATGGATGGGTGTGTGTGTGGGTGGATGAAAGGATGGATGGGTGGGTGTGTGGGTGGATGAAAGGAGGGATGGGTGGATGTGTAGGTGGATGGAAGGATAGATGGATGGGTGTGTGGATGAATGGAAGGATGGAGGGATGGATTTGTGGGTATATGGAAGGATGGATGGATGGGTGTGTGGGTGGATGGAAGGATGGATGGATAAATGGGTGAGTGGATGAAGGGATGGATGGGTGAGTGTGTGGGTGGATGGAAGGATGGATGGATGGAAGACAGTGTCATTAAAATTTCTGAGACTGAGTATAAGTAGCAGAACCAGACACAACCAGATTATAGTGTGTGTTTGATTGCCAGCTATCTGTGTATACTGTCCTATGTTGACAGCACTTCTACCTTGTGGGTTTCTCCTTGTGGGTTATTACTTACCGGGATTGTGAAACTTGAAAATATTGGCATAGTGCCCATCAGCTGGAGGTGAGGGAGTGCAGACCACAGGCCCATGCTTTGCCTGACCAGGGCTAAATTCATCTCTTCCAGTCACTTCCCCAGCCACTGTTGCCTTGTTGCTCTGAGCTGCAGTTTCCTCATCTACCAGAAGAGGATGAGAACCACTATCTCACAGAGTGGGTGTAAGAATCGAAAAAGACAGTAGTAATAATTATGGTTAATATTTAAAGAAAGAGAACTCTTACTGTGTACCAGGAATTACTTTATGCTCTCTGTATATCCCAACCCACAACAATACAATGAGGAAGCTAGTGTTACAGCCCTCATTGTGCAGAGGAGAAACTGAGGCATGGAGAGGTTAAGAGACTTGACTAAGGCCTCCAGCCAATAGCCCAGATTTGGGCTTCAAACCCAGAGAGGCTGTTTCCAGGGTGTGTGCATTTAGCCTTTTAGCTATGCATCCCTAGACTGTGTAGAGTGCTTGGCAAGTGGTATGCCCCTGGCATGTGGTGGGCCTTCAGTAAAGGGGTAGTTCCTTTTTTCTTGGTTCATTAGTTGCCCTGATCTGGCAATGGTGGCCTGTCCCCTGTGGCCAGAGCTGACAGCAGCCTGGAGAGATGGCTGGTGAATTCACTCTTGACCAGTCACGCAAAGCCCTTCAATAAGGACTTTTCTTTGATGCTTTAATCCTATTTCTTAAAAAGTGAAAGACATGGATTTCAAGACCCATAAGAATAAAATGAGTGTTCTTTACCTCAGCCCAGGACTTGTTAAAGAACAGGAAGCAAATCTACTCCCAAATGTGTTTTAAGACAGTTCTTTAAACTCCTTTGCAATTTTGGTGCATAGATACTTTAGAATACAATAATAAGAAAAGGGTTTTTTTGAAAGAATGCCAAGGGCTACATTCTCTACTGTTCTTCTTCTTGTTTGTTCTGTGCAAAAGGGTGAGATAATGAGGTGGTGGTCAACTTTAGATTCTTTTCTACTGTAATTTAGGTTGATGCATTAACATGAGCAGATTACTCAGCCATTTGGAGTCAGAAATAGAAGGTACGTATCAATCCAGGCAGGTGCAAAACTCCTACAGTGAAATGAACAGTGTTTCCCTGTGATTAGAACAATTGTCTCAGGAGGTTGAATAGAAACATTGCTTCTACTCCTTGCTGTGTGATCCCAGCTCAGTCATTTCCCCTCTCTAAGCCTCAGCCCATGCACCTGAAAAAAAAATGTCAATTGTTTTATAGAGAGTGGCTGTGATGATTAAACAACCTAACATTATATTACTGTAAATCTGAAGTGCTGGATAAATGTGAAAGATAGTACTCATTTTTGGAAGGCATGGGGTCCCAGTTACACAGACTGGATTCGAGTCTCAGCTCAGGTACTTCCTTGCTGAGACTTGGTTTTCTCTTCTTCAAAATTGGGATAGTAATACTGACATAACAGGATCTTTTCTTCTTTTTGGATTCAATGAGATGAATACATTAATGTGCATGCTCACTAAATTTTAGCAATTATAGTCTGATGATGACCTCTGGCTTAGAAGCAATGCCACAAAGGTTAGGACACAGATAGAAATAAAGAAATGGCTTACGCCATTGACTGATTGCAATTAAGTGTTCTTTTCATTTCATCTTGTGTGCATTTGGATGTGTTTACATTTTTGTGTGTGTGTGTGTGTGTGTGCTTTGGCATGGTTAAGGACAGATTTCCATAGTGAGAACTGGGATGAGTCACAGAATCAATTTAGTCTTTACAATAGTTGAAAGCACAATGGAGCACATTCTCCTTCTGGAGGCCACACCCAACCCATGGCTGACTCTGGCCTAATTCTCTGCAATCCAATTATCATAGGCACTTGCTGGGCAGTTCAGCAGGTCACCTAGAAAAGAGTGATATTCATTGTTGGTGGCAGGGGTATGGTTTTTGGTGTGATGGGGCACTTCCCTAATGTAGGATGTGCTGTCCACACCTGCAGCTCCCACTGGGCTGAATGTGTGCTTGTGGCGGAATGTGGAAGTACTTTACACTCCTTTTCTTTCTTCCATTCAAGGGGAAGTCATTTGAATATTCTTCACGGGCCATGTGCACATCGCATCACACCTGGAGTATTGCACACCTTCCTCATTGGCTGGCTAAACCCTAGTCTCATTCCATTCATTTATCTTTCACATTACAGTCACATCCACAGTTTACACAACGCACCTGATCATGTCACCCCCCTGCCAAAAAGCTTTCCCTGGGTCCCCATCACCCTCAGGATAGAGTCCTGGCTGCTTTGCGTATTACGGGACTTTTCCTGAATTGGCCTCCACTTGTCTCTTCAGGCATGTTCCTGCATTCCCTGCTGTGCTATAATGATTTGTGTACAAATTTGCTTATCCCATTAGCTCACGAGCAACTCATGAGGAAAAACTAATTGATTCCTCTCTGTGCATAGATGGTGTTCAATAAATATTTTTTAGACACAGTTTAGCCAAGTGTTTAAGAATTCAACTTTGGAGTCAGTTTGACTCTTGGATTCACCAGTTTATTGATCTATAACTTAGGTCGGGGAGCTAAGATGGCTAAGTCTTAGTTTCTCCCTGTGTAGGAAGAGGCAGTGGTGCTTATCTCATAGGAATGTTGTAAGAATTAGATGAAAGAATGCAGCAAAGGGCTTGGTAAAGAGACTGGTATGTATTAAGAACTTAACAGATGTTAGCTTTTATTGATAAGCGTTTGTTGGTCCCATACAATAGCATAGTCTATGAAAAAACAGAATCATAAAAGGGACACTGAGTAATGGTTTTTTGATTCTGGAAACCACCTGGGACACAGGATTAAAGATGGTCTTTTGCTGAGAATGTGTTAATGATGGTGATGGGAATTGTTGGGAAACTTTGCTGTCTGATAATATGATAGAGTACATTTAGCTGCAAGTAAGAGACAACCAAACTCAAATGGGCATAACCATTTTGAAGAAGGTTAATTGGCTTATTTACCACAGAGTGAAGAGGTTGGATGGGCTCCAGTGTTGCTTTGATTCAGATGTGCAACAATATCATCAAGGATCCAGGGTCTTTTTCTCTCTGTGTTTCCTCTCTGTCATGGTAGCCTCATCTCAAGACCATAACCCTTTCCTGTTGCAGTTTTAAGAGGGCTCTCAAAATCTTCTGGGACTTGATGACCGTGTCAAGGGAGAGGGACAAGGTTGCTCTTAGAAATTCCCTCAGAAGAGTAAAACCTTGCTTTTCTAAAACCACCAGCTAACATCTTTTACAATCTCATTGGCCCTGAATTAATCAAATACCCATCAATGAACAAATGGATCGTGGTCAGGGAATGAGGTTGTGCTAATTGGCTTGGCTTGAGCCATTGGCCCAGAACCAAGACATGTGTTCTGTAGAGGTGGGGATAGAAAACCTAAGTATGGAGAGGAGGGACAGGATGCAAGGAATTAACCTATTTTCTGAGCTTCTGTAAGAATCAGCAGCTCTCACTGTTCCTGTGCAGATTTAGCAGAATGGAAGACATATCTCTGTACTTTTAGTACCTTTTCATCTAGGTGTTTTAAAAACTGCATTCTCATATCTTTTATTCTCTAGTCACCACCAACAATGCAATGAAAGAATTATAATAATTATGTTTTCAGGCCAGGTCCAGTGGCTGACGTCTGTAATCCCAGCACCTTGGGAGGGTGAGATGGGCGGATCACCTGAGGTCAGAAGTTTGAGACCAGCCTGGCCAACATGGTGAAACCCCATCTCTACTAAAAACAAAAACAAAAAAACCAAAAAAACCAAACAAAAAAAAAAACCAAAAAAAAAAAAAAAACCAAACTAGCTGGTTGTGGTGGCGCATGCCTGTAATCACAGCTACTCAGGAGGCTAAGGCAGGAGACTCACTTTAACCTGGGAGGCAGAGGTTGTAGTGAGCCGAGATCATGCCACTGCACTCCAGCCTGGGTGACAGAGTGAGACTGTCTCAAAAAAAAAAAAAAAAAAAATAGGTTTTCATTTCATGTTTTGGTGTGCCTACTATTTGCACTGCTAGATGCTGTCCATATTTTAGCTTTCATTCTCTGAAGATGTTCTTTTTAATAACTCTGAGATAAGTGTTACTAGATCCTTTTTATAGATTGAAGAAACAAACTGGAGCTCAGAGAGGTCAGTGTAAATTTTTCAAATTCACACAGAAATTAGTGGCAGACCCAGGATCTGATTCAGGTCCGTCTGATTCTAAAGCCCACATTTGTTCCAAGACTCCATGCTACTTTCTTATTCTAGAAGCAAGGCAGACTTCCATTTGAAAATGGATGTGCAAACTTCATAATCTCTTCGTTTCTTCCTGGAAATCATCCAAAGCAATAAGGAGAACAGAAAACAAAAATTCAAACTCCTTTTTCAGTGAAGCTAGGAGACAGACTGAAAAATATTTGGTAAGAGCTGCCAAGAGCACCCAGGAGCTGTGCAAGAGGGAGAAGCCAACAGCAGAGGAGAGAGCTCAGTAACGCATTGGACCAAAAAAATTACAAAAACTTCTTGAAGCTGGGGGAACCACTCTGAAGGGAAAAAACTGTATCATTTAATTAAAAAAGAGAGTGAAGAAATAGAATACATTAAGATGTGGAAGAAGTCCCCCTGAGCTTGGTTAGGTGCAGAGAAGTGAGGAGGCTGGATGTATCAGTCAGCTTTTGCTATATAACAAACACGCCCAAACAATAGACATTTGTTCTTGCTCATGTGTCTTCAAGGTGGCTGGGGTTAATGTATGTAGGCTGTTCTAAGCTAGGTTTGACCCAAGTTTGACGGTTGAGTGCTGGTCTTTTCCACATGTATCTCAACCTCCTTAAATCAATGGCTACCTGAGGCATGTTCTTCTCATGATGAAAAGCAAGAGTCAAGAGGATAAACTCAACTGCATGAGTCAATGTCATGCTTTTGATCGTGGCATACTCACTAATGGCTCCTTAGCCAAGTGTCATGCCTTTGGTCATGGGATACTCACTAATAGCTCATTAGCCAAAGCAAGTTGCATGACCAAGTCCAAGTCAAGGGGTAGACAAGTACAATCCATCCACCAGAAGGCAGTAGCAAAGATGTAGATATATGGCGTTACTACAGGGAGAAAAGAAGGGAGAATGGGAATTTAATCTTCCACACCAGGTTACATGCAGAAGCATGTTAGACAATCCTTGTTTAAGAGAAGCAGCCTAACTTTGTAGCAAGTGAGGAGAAGAGAACCTCTGAGTTGTGAAAGCTGACTTGATTATAATTCCACCCTGGCCTCTCTCCGTCTATAGCAAATACATGGCTCATGAAATCCTAACGCGTTTAACAATAAGTGATAAAAAATACACTAGTGCTGCATTTTTAAGAAGATACTATGAAAAAAAGGAGGAAGGGAACAGCAAAATTTATGAATAAAAATGTTCAGTAGTAAAATGGCTTTGGAACAGATCAGAATTGTGAACAAACACTACTATGAATTAAACATCACAATGAAGCAATAATCTCTAAAAATAACCATTATGTAATACCTCAGAGATGAGCTTGCAGGGCAGCAGAAGATGAAACGTGATCTGGCAAAACTCAGAGAAGAAGGGGAAGAAAAAACAGAATAGAACCATGATGAAAATGAAGACAATACTTGAAAGAGCATAAGTGTTAATAAACACTACAAAAATATAAGAAATGACATAGAAAATAGAAATGAGAAGCGCAAACAAAGTAAAATGTAAATAGAGTTAAAGAGGAATAGATAGTGATAGATTTAATGCACAGGAAAAGGACATTAAATATATGCATAACTGGCATTCCCAAAGAAGAAAACAAAACCCAAAACAGAACAAATATTAAAGGTATAAATCAAGAAAGCATTCCTAAAATAAAATAACACTTGAATCTACACATTGCCAAGGACACATTTTGTACCTGAGAAAGGTGACTGTGAATGGTCAATGCTGAGACATTTCCTAGAAAAATTAGTGAACTGTGAATATAAAGATTCCTAGTATTAGATCTTATATAGGACTTTATTTCCTTTGTCCCCAGCTGGCTTCAGATTTTTCCAGAACAACATTCAATTCTAAACGACAGTAGAACAACACTTAATATTTAAGGAAAGAGAGTATGAATCAATGATTTTATACCCAGTGAAAAAGTTCTTTAAATAGAAAGGTTAAAAAAATACAATTTTAAAAACACAAGAGCTCAGAGAATGTGTTCCCATGAGCCTTCCTTGAGGAAAATAAAAATGACAAACTTCAACCAACCAAACATTTTTTGAGAAACTATATACAAGGACTGGCAGTGAGCATTATACATATTTGATGGAAGAACTAAGAGATATTAATGAGGGTATTCAATTGGCAGGAGAGAAGGTGAATGTTATATATTGTAAAACATTACAGAAATGATAGACCTTACCCAAACTGGGGGAAGAAAAGGTAAAAACAAAAAATAGATGGGGAATAAATTATATTGAAGATTTCATGTAATGGCTGAGAGTAAAAACATAACGTTTAAACTTCCAGCCCCTGGAAGCTGGAAAAAAAGGCAGTCGCAATACAAATCATATAGCCAGGTTTTGCTATATAACAACCAACCTCAAGAAGTTAGTGGTGTACCAGAACATCACAACATCATTGTTGTTGATGTGTCCTTTGTCTGACCGAGGTTTGGGCTGATTAGAAATGATATTGTCAGATAGCCCTGCCTGAGGCTGTGGGCCATCTGGGCTTGGCTCCAGGCCATGGACTGGGTTTAGATATCCACCTGTATTAGCTCTGGATCCAGGTGAAAGGGCAGCAGATACCCAGAGGAAATCTTCTCATAGCACACCACAAGAGCATAAGCAACCAAGCCAACCAGTAAAGCACATTTCATGCCTCTGCTCATGCTGCATCTGCAAAAAATTCACTGGCCGAAGCAAGTCACATGTCTAGGCCCAACATCAATGGGGTAGAAATAATATATTGCTCTGGAGTGAGGAATTTTAGACAATAATCCAATTTACCATGGCATATTTAAAGTACAAATATAAATATTTTTAAAAATTCACTAAAATTTGCTAATAAAGAACTAATAAATAAGTAAAAACATAGAGGACTAAGAAAATAGAGGAATGCTCCCTGGTAGCTGTGAATTTGTTATGTTACATGGTGAGGGTTGCAGATGGAATTTAGGTTGTTAATCAGCCAATCTTAAATAGGAGGTTACCCTGGATTATCTGTGGGCCTGATGCCATCACAAGGGTTTCTTAAAGAGGCAGAGGGAAGATTTAACTCTAGAACAGAAGGTCAGAGTGACGCAATCTGAGGAGGATTCAGCCCACCATTGCTGGCTTTGAAGATGGAGAAAGGGACTGTAAGTCAAGAAATGTAGACAGCCTCTGAAAGCTGGAAAAAAATAAGGAAACAAATTCTCCCCTAGAAGCTCCAGAAGGAACACAGCCAGGTCAGCACTTTGGTTTTAGCCTAGTGAGACATATTTCAGACTTCTGACCTCCAGAACTGTAAGATAATACATTCCTGTTGTTTTAAGCCATTGAGTCTGTGTTAATTTGTTACAGCCCAATAGGAAAGTAATACACTTACCTATGAATGAAAGAATAAATTCAGGATGGATCACCAACGAAAACTAGTATTATGGTATTTGTAAGACACATGTATGAAATTGAGGGATTCAGTAAGCTGAGAAACAAAAAATGGACAAAGAGTATAGTTCTCAATGAAGAACTAAATAAAAGTATCAGCGTTAATTAAAGTGAAAACTACAAGAATTACCTAAAGAAAAAAACAGATACATAACAGATATATAGTAAGATTAAGAACTTTAATTCAACTTTCTTAGTCAATTACAAACCAAGTAGATCTAAACAGTATAATCAATTAGTAATGTAGATGTAGTTAGCACAAAGGAAACTTTTTACCTTGAAAATAAAGAACAGAGTTCCTTTTAAAACATGTACCTATGGAAGAAGTGCAAAATTTGACCACATATTAGTCCACAAAGAAAGTCCCAATACATTTCCAGAGGTAGATATGGTACAGGAAAATTTCCTAATTTTAATGCAGTAGAAGTAGGAATTAAAGATAAAATCAGAAAAAACCCTCATCTCTTCAAAGTAAACAAACAAACAAAACTCTTTTAAGTCAGGGCAAAGAAAAAATTTCAACCAAAATTAGATTATATGAAGGAAATGATAAATGAATTCTACTATAAGTACCTATAGATGGTGTTCAGGGGAAAATTCATGGTTTAAAAGACTTATATTAATAAGTGAGAAGGGGTAAACACAAACTAAGCTACCACCCTAAGAAGTTACAATAGAAATTTAAAAAAAGAAAACAAATGGAGCAAAAATAAGATCACAAAATGGGATGGGGGTGGATATTACCATAGATTCCATACAGATTAAAAGGCAACAAGAGAATACTAGGAACAATTGTATGTACATACATTTGGCAATTTATATAAAATAAATTTGTTGAAAGACACAAACTACCAAAAGTCACCAAAGAAAAAAGTAGATAACCTGAATTGTCCTAAATCTATTTTCAAAATTGAATTTGTAGTGAAAATCCTTCCAAGAAAGAAATTTTCAGGTCCAGACAATCTCACTGGCGAGTCCTACAAAGCATTTACAAAAGAAATAATGCCAATTTTACGTAACTTCTTCCAGAAAAGAGAAGAGGAAGGAAACTTCCCAACTCATTTTGTGAGTTTTAAATCATCCTGATTCCAAAACCAGACAAAGATAATATGGGAAAAGAAAACTATGGGCCAATATCATTCATGAACATTGTGGTAAAAGTTCTCAAGAAAACATAAAAAAAAGAACTCAGCAGCATATGAAATGAATAATATACCATGAGTAAGTGGGGTTTATTGCTGTGATGAAAGACTAGTTCAGTAGTTGAACCCGATCAATGTAATTCACCATATCAATTGAGTAAGGAAAAAAAACTCTATATGATTATTTTGATTGATGCAGAAAAAACATTTGAAAAAAATACATCATCGTTTGTGATAAAAACTCTTAGTGAGGTAGAAACAGAAGGGAACTTCCTTATCCTGATAAGGGGCAGATAACATCATACTTAATGACTGAATGCTTTCCTCTAAGATTAGGGATAAGGCAAGAATGTCCATTCTCCTTCTCTCTTTTAATAGTGGATTAAAGCAGGATAGAGAAATACAGGCATATAGGTTAGAAAGGAAGAAATAAAACCTGCTAGAACTATGTAAGTGAACTTATCAAGTTTACAGATTCAAAGTCAGCACATGAACATGAAAATCAATTATATTTTTATATACTAGCAATGAGCAATGATAATGCAAAATGCAGAAAGACAGAAATAAATGGAGAGACATGCCCTGCTCATGGATTGGAACCTTCAATAGAGTTAATACATTTCTCTGTATATTGATCTATGAATTTAATGCTGGTCCAATCAAAATTGCAACAGGATTTTTTATAGATATAGACATACTTATTATAAAATGTATATGGCAAGAAGAAGAATCTAGAATAGCCAGAAACATTTTGACAAAGAAGAATGAAGTTGCATTTTAAGATTAACTATAAAACTATAATAATCAAACAGTATGGTATTGGTGAGGGCATACTCACATAGATCAATGAAACAGAGTAGAGGGTTCAGAAACAGTGTTTGGAATAGAGAGCTTAAAAAACAATCAATATGGCCAATTAATTTTTGATAAAAATGCAAAAGGAATTCAATGGAGGATAGTTTTTCAGCAAATGGCATCAGAACCATTGGATATTCATTTGCAGAAATATGAAGCTTGATCTAAACCTCATGTCTTATTCACAAATTATCTCAAAATAAATTATAAATATAAATGTAAAATATAAAAACTCTAACAACTTTAAAAGAAAACATAGGAGAAGATCTATATGACTTTAGGTTAAGCAAATAAGTTTTAGACATGACACAAAAAGCATAATCTATGAAACAAAATGATAAATTGATCTTAATCAAAATTTAAAACTTTTTTTTATACTTTAAGTTCTAGGGTACATGTGCACAACATGCAGGTTTGTTACATATGTATACATGTGCCATGTTGGTTTGCTGCACCCATTAACTCGTCATTTACATTAGGTATTTCTCCTAATGTTATCCCTCCCCAACCCCCCAACCCCATGACAGGCCCCTGTGTGTGATGTTCCCTGCCCTGTGTCCAAGTGTTCTCATTGTTCAGTTCCCACCTATGAGTGAGAACATGTGGTGTTTGGTTTTCTGTCCTTGAGATAGTTTGCTCAGAATGATGGTTTCCAGCTTCATCCATGCCCCTGTAAAGGACATGAACTCATCCTTTTTTATGGCTCATAGTATTCCATGGTGTATAAGTGCCACATTTTCTTAATCTAGTCTATCACTGATGGACATTTGGGTTGGTTCCAAGTCTTTGCTATTGTGAATAGTGCTGCAATAAACATACATGTGCATGTGTCTTTATGGTAGCATGACTTATAATCCTTAGGGTATATACCCAGTAATGGGATGGCTGGGTCAAATGGTATTTCTAGTTCTAGATCCTTGAGGAAATGCCACACTGTCTTCCACAATGGTTGAACTGGTTTACACTCCCACCAACAGTGTAAAAGCATTCCTATTTCTCCACATCCTCTCCAGCACCTGTTGTTTCCTGACTTTTTAATGATAGGCATTCTAACTGGTGTGAGATGGTATCTCATTGTGGTTTTGTTTTGCATTTCTCTGATGACCAGGGATGATGAGCATTTTTTCATGTGTCTGTTGGCTGCATAAATGTCTTCTTTTGAGAAGTGTCTGTTCATATCCTTTGCCCATTCTTTGATGGGGTTAATTTAAAACTTTTCTAAGTGAAATAAACTGTTACGAGAATGAGAAGAAAAGCCACAGACTGGCGGAAAACATTTTCAAGACACTTATTTGACAAACAACTTATATCCAGAATATAGAAAGGATATTCTGAACTCAATAGAAGGAAACAGGAAACAAATAACCCAATAAAAGCATGGACAAAACATTTGAACAGACACTTGTTTAACAAGCATATACACATGGCAGTAAGCACATGAAAAGATGTTCAACATCATTAGCCATCAAGAAAATATAAATTAAAACTGTGATGAGATACACCAACATACCCACTGGAATGACTAAAATTAAAAGCAGAAAAAATCTGGTGATAGCAAACACCAGCAAGTGTGTGGAGTAACTGGGAGTCTCCTACATTCCTGGTGGGAGTGTAAAATGGTACAGCCACTGAAAAATAGTTTGACAGTTTCTTATAAAGTAAAACATACACTATCAATTAAAACCAAGCAATTCACTCCGAGGGTATTTACCCTAGATATAAATACTGTGCTCACACAAAACTCTTTACACAGATGTTTATAGCAGCTCTACTCATAATCACCTCAAGCTGGAAACGACCCAAATGATCTTTAACAGGTGAATGGATAAACAAACTGGTACAGCTATCCAACAGAATATTATTCAGCCATTAAAAGGAACAGACTATTGATACAGGCAACAATATAGGCAAATCTCAAATGCATTAGACTGAGTGAAAGAAGCCAGTCTCAAAATGTTACATACTTTATGTTTTCATTTATATGGCATTCTGAAGAAGCAAAACTGTAGGGACAGAGAACAGATCAGTGGTTGTCCGGGGTTAGGAATTGGGAAATGGAGTGATTACAAAAGGCCAGCTTAAGGAAATTTGGGGAGTAATGGAAGTTTTGAAATAGTTACCATTCCATCCATTAGAAAAAATGCTATGTTTCTAGGGGAATTTTACCGAACTATTAAGGAACAGACATTCTTTACAGTGGACAACCTGGCAGACAACACAATCAAATGATCAAAGATAACATCACTTGTAATGAGACAAACATACATGTGCCTCCTGATATAACTCACTGAGAAGGACAGAAAATCATTTCTGTGGTATTTCTGACCAAAAATGTGTGGCCCGAATCTAGTCATGACAAACTACAATTGAGGGATGTTACATAAAACAAATAGCCTATACCCTTCAAAAATATCAGGGTTAAGAAAGAAAAAGACTGATAAATTGCTCCAGATTGAATGAGACTAGAGGAACATGACAACTAAATGCCTGTGTGATGCTGTATTGGATTCTGAACCAGAAAAAATATTTTTCTGGAAAAGATATTATTGGGAAAACTAATAAAATTTGAATAAGGCCTATGGATTAGATGATAGTATTGTATCTGTTAATTTCCTGATTTTGATAATTGTATTGTGGTTATATAAGCCTATGTCCTTGTTTTTAGGAAATATACACTAAAGAATTCAGGGTTAAAAAATATATCTACAACTTAATCTCAAGCACTTCAGAAAAACATGTATGTACCTCCAGGGAATCTAGGTATATAGCAACTTTTGTAGTTTTAAAATAATTTTTTTTCTGAAAATCTGTAATTCTTCAAAACAAAATGTTAAGTAATAAACAACTGATAATTCTAATTTTGTTTAAATTTATCTGGAGCAAAAGAAAAGGAACATATTTTTCCAATTTCTTTTACATAATGAGATTAACTTTAATAAAACCTGATAAAGATAGAGATGAACAAAAAACTACAGACCACTGTCACTTATGAATGTCAATAGAAAATTCTAAAAATCACGCCTGTAATCCCAGCACTTTGGGAGGTCAAGACGGGTGGATTACTTGAGGTCAGGAGTTCACGACCAGCTTGTCCAACATGGTGAAACCCTTTCTCTACTAAAAATACAAAAATAAGCATTTTTTTTGTGGCATTGTGGCCTGTGCCTGTAATCCCAGCTACCTGGGAGGCTGAAGCAGGAAAATTGCTTGAACCCAGGAGGCAGAGGTGCAGTGAGCCAAGATCATGCCACTGCACTCCAGCTGGGTGACAGAGTGAGTCTCCATCTCAAAAAAAAAAAAAAAAAAAGTGCAGCACAGCAAAAGAAACCATCAACGGAGTAAACAGACTATATATAGAATGGGAGAAAATTTCTGCAAACTATGCATTGACAAAGGTCTAATATAGGGCATCTATAATAAACTTAAAAAAAAACCCATAAAAAAGTGGGCAAAGGATATGAACAGACACTTTTCAAAAGAAGACATATGTGCAGCCAACAATCATATAAAAAAAAATAGCTCCCGAGGTGGGCAGATCCCTCGAGGACAGGAGTTTGAGACCAGTCTGGCCCATATAGCGAAACACCGTCTCTACTAAAAATTCAAAAAATTAGCTGGGTGTGGTGATGTGCACTTGTAATCCCAGCTACTTGGGGGGGCTGAGGCATGAGAATCCCTTGAACCCAGGAGTTGCAGGTTGCAGTGAGCCAAGATCATGCCACTGCACTCTAGCCTGGGTGACACAGTGAGATTCTGTCAAAAAAAACAAAAAAAGAAAAAAAAGCTCAACATCACTGATTATGAGAGAAATGCAAGTCAAAACAACAATGAGATACCATCTCACACCAATCAGAATGGCTGTTATTAAAAAGTAAAAAAAAAAAAAATAACAGATGCTGGCAAGGTTGTGGAGAAAAAAGAACGCTTATGTACTGTTGGTGGGAGTGTAAATTTGTTCAACCATTGTGGGAGACAATGCGGTGATTTCTCAAAGACCTAAAGACAGAAATACCATTTGACTCAGCAATTCCAAATCGTTCTATTAAAATGCACATGTATGTTCATTGCAAATGCACATGTATATTCATTGCAACACTACTCACAATAGCAAAGACATGGAATCAACCTAAATGCCCATCAGTGACAGGCTGGATAAAGAAAATGTGGCACACACATACCATGGGATACTATGCAGCCATAAAAAGAATGAGATAATGTCCTTTCCAGGGACATGGATGGAGCTGGAGGCCATTATCCTTAGCAAACTAACACAGAAACAGAAAACCAAATACCATATGTTCTCACTTGTAAGTGGGAGCTAAATGATGAGAACACATGGACACATAGAGGGGAACAACACACACTGGGGCCTATCGGAGGGTGGACGGTGGGAGGAGGGAGAGGATCAGGAAAAATAATTAATGGGTACTAGGCTTAATATCTAGATGATGAAATAATATGTACAACATCCCTGCCATGAAACAAGTTTACCTGTGTAAGAAACCTGAACATGTATGTTTGAACTTAAAATAAAAGTTAAAGAATTAAAGTTACACATTTCCTTCTGAGCACAGTTTTAGCTGTGACCCACCAGCATGTAATAGTTTCATTACCATTGAGTCCAAGATAATTTCTAATGTCTATTTTTGAATTATTCCTTGACCAATAGGTTTTTTGGAAGCATGTTGCTTAATGTCCAAATATTCTGGTTAAAAAATTGTGTTGTTATTGATAGCTAGCTTAATTTCATTGTTGTTAGAGAACATACTCAGAATAATTTTAGTCGTTTAGAATTTGTGGAGATTTGCTTTATGGCCCAGTATATGGCTAGTCTTGGTAAATAATCAATGTGTACTTAAAAAGCATGAATTTTCCATGGTTGGGTATAGTGTTCTATATATGTAAACTGCATCAAATTTGTTAGTTGTGTTGTTTAGACAGTCTATATCTTCAGGACGGTTAATTTTATGTGCCAACTTGACTGGGCTAAGGGATGCCCAGATAGCTGGCAAAACGCTATTTCTGATGTGCCTGTGATAGTGTTCCTGGAGGAGATTAGCATTTGACTCCATAGACACAGTAAAGAAGATCACCCTCACTAATGCGGGTGGACATCATCCAATGTGCTGAGGGCCAAAATAGAACAAAAAGGGGAGGGAGAGTGAGTTTTCTCTCCCTGTCAGAACTGGGACATCCATCTCCTCCTGCCTTTGAATGTCAGCATTCCTGGTTCTCAGACCTGGTTCTCCGGACTTGGACCTGACAGATCTTGAGCCTTATAATTGCATGAGCCAATCTCCCATAATAAATCTCTTTTCATATGTCTCTATATATATTATGTGGTTCTGTTTCCCCGAAGAACTCTAATACAATCTTTATGCCTTTTTTTGTGCATTTTTTGTTCTGTTACTGAGAGAGAAGTATCTAAGTTTCCTTCCTTATTCAAAGTAGTACCTATAAAAATGTATCTTTTTAAAAAAAATTTTTGAGATGGAGTCTCACTCTATCACCCAGACCAGAGTGCAGTGGTGCGATCTTGGCTCACTGCAACCTCTGCTTCCCGGGTTCAAGTGATTCTCCTGCCTCAACCTCCTGAGTAGCTGGGACTACAGGTGTGCACTACCATGCCCAGCTAATTTTTTTTGTATTTTTAGTAGAGACAGAGTTTTACAATGTTGGCCAAGCTGGTCTTGAACTCCTGAGCTCAGGTAATCTGCCCACCTCGGCCTCCCAAACTGCTGGGATTATAGGCATGAGCCAGCACCCCAGCCCTACAAATGTATCTTAAACATTTCATTTTATTTAATACCATGTCAATATACATGTAGTTGCTAATCTTTGGACATGGGGCCAATGTCTTTCCTTTGAGTATGGGTCCTTTCAAGATGGTTTCAGCCCAGGCATTCTCATGAGTCCACTTGACCCAAGAACACACTCATTCTTGTCCAGCCAAGCAGGGAGAGTGTGGGCTTCACTTGGGCCCCTCTCCATACCACCAGCTCTCTCCAGTTCACCTCTCTCATGCATAGGTAGCCACCTTCAGGACAGGCAACCAGTAGGTTCTTCCTATGCTGCCATCCTCTCCAGCTCAGATGTCTTAGTTCATTTGTGTTGTTATAAAGTAATACCTAAGAGGCTGGGTAATTTATAAAGAAAAGAGGTTTATTTGACTCACAGTTCTGCAGGCTGTACAAGAAGCATGGCTCCTGCATCTGCTTCTGGTGAGGGCTTCAGGAAGCTTTCACTCACGTTGGAAGGTGAAGGAGAGCCAAGGTGTGCAATGATCACATGGTGAGAGAGGAAACAAAAGAGAATGGGAAGGTGTCAGGTCTCTTAAACAATCAGCTCTTGGGGGGAACTAACAGAGTGAGAATTGAGAATTCACTCATAACCATGAGGATGAGACCAAGACATTCATGAGGGCTCCATCCCTATGAGCCAAACATCTTCCACAAGGCCCCATCTCCAAAACTGGGGATAAAATTCCAGCATAAGATTTGGAGGGACATGCATCCAAACCATAGCACCAGAAATGCAAGTTTATTAATCTAAGCTACTTGGCTGGTTCTAAACTTCTGGTTGCATCAGGATCACCTGGAGGGCCCATTAAGCCATAGACTGCAGGGCCCCGCCCTCAGAGTTTCTGATTTTATTGGCTGAGATGAAGCTCAATAATTTGCATTTCTAATAATTCCCAAGTGGTGCTGATGTTACTGATGCAGGGGCCACATTTTGGGAGTCGCTGGTTTAGCCAATCATCTTAATTTCATTCTTTTTTTTTTTATTATACTTTAAGTTTTAGGGTACATGTGCACATTGTGCAGGTTAGTTACATATGTATACATGTGCCATGCTGGTGCGCTGCACCCACTAACTCATCATCTAGCCTTAGGTATATCTCCCAATGCTATCCCTCTCCCCTCCCCCAACCCCACAACAGTCCCCAGAGTGTGATATTCCCCTTCCTGTGTCCATGTGATCTCATTGTTCAATTCCCACCTATGAGTGAGAATATGTGGTGTTTGGTTTTTTGTTCTTGCGATAGTTTACTGAGAATGATGATTTCCAGTTTCATCCATGTCTCTACAAAGGACATGAACTCATCATTTTTTATGGCTGCATAGTATTCCGTGGTGTATATGTGCCACATTTTCTTAATCCAGTCTATCATTGTTGGATATTTGGGTTGGTTCCAAGTCTTTGCTATTGTGAATAATGCCGCAATAAACATACGTGTGCATGTGTCTTTATAGCAGCATGATTTATAGTCCTTTGGGTATATACCCAGTAATGGGATGGCTGGGTCAAATGGTATTTCCAGTTCTAGATCCCTGAGGAATAGCCACACTGACTTCCACAATGGTTGAACTAGTTTACAGTCCCACCAACAGTGTAAAAGTGTTCCTATTTCTCCACATCCTCTCCAGCACCTGTTGTTTCCTGACTTTTTAATGATTGCCATTCTAACTGGTGTGAGATGGTATCATTGTGGTTTTGATTTGCATTTCTCTGATGGCCAGTGATGATGAGCATTTTTTCATGTGTTTTTTTGGCTGCATAAATGTCTTCTTTTGAGAAGTGTCTGTTCATGTCCTTTGCCCACTTTTTGATGGGGTTATTTGTTTTTTTCTTGTAAATTTGTTTGAGTTCATTGTAGATTCTGGATATTAGCCCTTTGTCAGATGAGTAGGTTGTGAAAATTTTCTCCCATTTTGTAGGTTGCCTGTTCACTCTGATGGTAGTTTCTTTTGCTGTGCAGAAGCTCTTTAGTTTAATTAGATCTCATTTGTCAATTTTGTCTTTTGTTGCCATTGCTTTTGGTGTTTTAGACACGAAGTCCTTGCCCATGCCTATGTCCTGAATGGTAATGCCTAGGTTTTCTTCTAGGGTTTTTATGGTTTTAGGTCTAATGTTTAAGTCTTTAATCCATCTTGAATTGATTTTTGTATAAGGTGTAAGGAAGGGATCCAGTTTCAGCTTTCTACCTATGGCTAGCCAGTTTTCCCAGCACCATTTATTAAATAGGGAATCCTTTCCCCATTGCTTGTTTTTCTCAGGTTTGTCAAAGATCAGATAGTTGTAGATATGTGGCATTATTTCTGAGGGCTCTGTTCTGTTCCATTGATCTATATCTCTGTTTTGGTACCAGTACCATGCTGTTTTGGTTACTGTAGCCTTGTAGTATAGTTTGAAGTCAGGTAGTGTGATGCCTCCAGCTTTGTTCTTTTGGCTTAGGATTGACTTGGCGATACGGGCTCTTTTTTGGTTCCATATGAATTTTAAAGTAGTTTTTTCCAATTCTGTGAAGAAAGGCATTGGTAGCTTGATGGGGATGGCATTGAATCTGTAAATTACCTTGGGCAGTATGGCCATTTTCATGATATTGATTCTTCCTACCCATGAGCATGGAATGTTCTTCCATTTGTTTGTATCCTCTTTTATTTCCTTGAGCAGTGGTTTGTAGTTCTCCTTGAAGAGGTCCTTCACATCCCTTGTAAGTTGGATTCCTAGGTATTTTATTCTCTTTGAAGCAATTGTGAATGGGAGTTCACTCATGATTTGGCTCTCTGTTTGTCTGTTGTTGGTGTATAAGAATGCTTGTGATTTTTGTACATTGATTTTGTATCCTGAGACTTTGCTGAAGTTGCTTATCAGCTTAAGGAGATTTTGGGCTGAGACAATGGGGTTTTCTAGATATACAATCATGTCGTCTGCAAACAGGGACAATTTGACTTCCTCTTTTCCTAATTGAATACCCTTTATTTCCTTCTCCTGCCTAATTGCCCTGGCCAGAACTTCCAACACTATGTTGAATAGGAGTGGTGAGAGAGGGCATCCCTGTCTTGTGCCAGTTTTCAAAGGGAATGCTTCCAGTTTTTGCCCATTCAGTATGATATTGGCTGTGGGTTTGTCATAGATAGCTCTTATTATTTTGAAATATGTCCCATCAATACCTAATTTATTGAGAGTTTTTAGCATGAAGCGTTGTTGAATTTTGTCAAAGGCTTTTTCTGCATCTATTGAGATAATCATGTGGTTTTTGTCTTTGGCTCCGTTTATATGCTGAATTACATTTATTGATTTGTGCATATTGAATCAGCCTTGCATCCCAGGGATGAAGCCCACTTGATCATGGTGGATAAGCTTTTTGATGTGCTGCTGGATTTGGTTTGCCAGTATTTTATTGAGGATTTTTGCATCAATGTTCATCAAGGATATTGGTCTAAAATTCTCTTTTTTTTGTTGTGTCTCTGCCTGGCTTTGGTATCAGAATGATGCTGGCCTCATAAAATGAGTTAGGGAGGATTCCCTCTTTTTCTGTTGATTGGAATAGTTTCAGAAGGAATGGTACCAGTTCCTCCTTGTACTTCTGGTAGAATTCGGCTGTGAATCCATCTGGTCCTGGACTCTTTTTGGTTGGTAAGCTATTGATTATTGCCACAATTTCAGATCCTGTTATTGGTCTATTCAGAGATTCAACTTCTTCCTGGTTTAGTCTTGGGAGAGTGTATGTGTCGAGGAATTTATCCATTTCTTCTAGATTTTCTAGTTTATTTGCATAGAGGTGTTTGTAGTATTCTCTGATGGTAGTTTGTATTTCTGTGGGATTGGTGGTGATATCCCCTTTATCATTTTTTATTGCATCTATTTGATTCTTCTCTCTTTTTTTCTTTATTAGTCTTGCTAGCGGTCTATCAATTTTGTTGATCCTTTCAAAAAACCAGCTCCTGGATTCATTAATTTTTTGAAGGGTTTTTTGTGTCTCTATTTCCTTCAGTTCTGGTCTGATTTTAGTTATTTCTTGCCTTCTGCTAGCTTTTGAATGTGTTTGCTCTTGCTTTTCTAGTTCTTTTAATTGTGATGTTAGGGTGTCAATTTTGGATCTTTCCTGCTTTCTCTTGTGGGCATTTAGTGCTATAAATTTCCCTCTACACACTGCCTTGAATGCGTCCCAGAGATTCTGGTATGTTGTGTCTTTGTTCTCGTTGGTTTCAAAGAACATCTTTATTTCTGCCTTCATTTCATTATGTACCCAGTAGTCATTCAGGAGCAAGTTGTTCAGTTTCCATGTAGTTGAGTGGTTTTGCGTGAGATTCTTAATCCTGAGTTCTAGTTTGATTGCACTATGGTCTGAGAGATAGTTTGTTATAATTTCTGTTCTTTTACATTTGCTGAGGAGTGCTTTACTTCCAACTATGTGGTCAATTTTGGAATAGGTGTGGTGTGGTGCTGAAAAAAATGTACACTCTGTTGATTTGGGGTGGAGAGTTCTGTAGATGTCTATTAGGTCTGCTTGGTGCAGAACTGAGTTCAATTCCTGGGTATCCTTGTTGACTTTCTGTCTCGTTGATCTGTCTAATGTTGACAGTGGGGTGTTAAAGTCTCCCATTATTAATGTGTGGGAGTCTAAGTCTCTTTGTAGGTCACTTAGGACTTGCTTTATGAATCTTGGTGCTCCTGTATTGGGTGCATATATATTTAGGATAGTTAGCTCTTCTTGTTAAATTGATCCCTTTACCATTATGTAATGGCCTTCTTTGTCTCTTTTGACCTTTGTTGGTTTAAAGTCTGTTTTATCAGAGACTAGGATTGCAACCCCTGCCTTTTTTTGTTTTCCATTTGCTTGGTAGATCTTCCTCCATCCTTTTATTTTGAGCCTATGTGTGTCTCTGCACGTGAGATGGGTTTCCTGAATACAGCACACTGATGGGTCTTGACTCTTTATCCAATTTGCCAGTCTGTGTCTTTTAATTGGAGCATTTAGTCCATTTACATTTAAAGTTAATATTGTTATGTGTGAGTTTGATCCTGTCATTATGATGTTAGCTGGTTATTTTGCTCATTAGTTGATGCAGTTTCTTCCTAGTCTCGATGGCCTTTACATTTTGGCATGATTTTGCAGTGGCTGGTACCGGTTGTTCCTTTCCATATTTAGCACTTCCTTCAGGAGCTCTTTTAGAGCAGGCCTGGTGGTGACAAAATCTCTCAGCATTTGCTTGTCTGTAAAGTATTTTATTTCTCTTTCGCTTATGAAGCTTAGTTTGGCTGGATATGAAATTCTGGGTTGAAAATTCTTTTCTTTAAGAATGTTAAATATTGGCCCCCACTCTCTTCTGGCTTGTAGGGTTTCTGCCAAGAGATCCGCTGTTAGTCTGATGGGCTTCCCTTTGAGGGTAATCCAACCTTTCTCTCTGGCTGCCCTTAACATTTTTTCCTTCATTTCAACTTTGGTGAATCTGACAATTATGTGTCTTGGAGTTGCTCTTCTCGAGGAGTATCTTTGTGGCGTTCTCTGTATTTCCTGAATCTGAACGTTGGCCTGCCTTGCTAGATTGGGGAAGTTCTCCTGGATAATATCCTTCAGCGTGTTTTCCAACTTGGTTCCATTCTCCTCATCACTTTCAGGTACACCAATCAGACGTAGATTTGGTCTTTTCACATAGTCCCATATTTCTTGGAGGCTTTGCTCATTTCTTTTTATTCTTTTTTCTCTAAACTTCCCTTCTCACTTCATTTCATTCATTTCATCTTCCATTGCTGATACTCTTTCTTCCAGTTGATCGCATCAGCTCCTGAGGCTTCTGCATTCTTCACGTAGTTCTCGAGCCTTGGTTTTCAGCTCCATCAGCTCCTTTAAGCACTTCTCTGTATTGGTTATTCTAGTTATACATTCTTCTAAATTTTTTTCAAAGTTTTCAACTTCTTTCCCTTTGGTTTGAATGTCCTCCTGTAGCTCAGAGTAATTTGATCGTCTGAAGCCTTCTTCTCTCAGCTCGTCAAAGTCATTCTCCATCCAGCTTTGTTCCGTTGCTGGTGAGGAACTGCGTTCCTTTGGAGGAGGAGAGGCGCTCTGCTTTTTAGAGTTTCCAGTTTTTCTGTTCTGTATTTTCCCCATCTTTGTGGTTTTATCTACTTTTGGTCTTTGATGATGGTGATGTACAGACGGGTTTTTGGTGTGGATGTCCTTTCTGTTTGTTAGCTTTCCTTCTAACAGACAGGACCCTCAGCTGCAGGTCTGTTGGAATACCCTGCCGTGTGAGGTGTCAGTGTGCCCCTGCTGGGGGGTGCCTCCCAGTTAGGCTGCCCGGGGCTCAGGGGTCAGGGACCCACTTGAGGAGGCAGTCTGCCCGTTCTCAGATCTCCAGCTGTGTGCTGGGAGAACCACTGCTCTCTTCAAAGCTGTCAGACAGGGACATTTAAGTCTGCAGAGGTTACTGCTGTCTTTTTGTTTGTCTGTGCCCTGCCCCCAGAGGTGGAGCCTACAGAGGCAGGCAGGCCTCCTTGAGCTGTGGTGGGCTCCACCCAGTTCGAGCTTCCCGGCTGCTTTGTTTACCTAATCAAGTCTGGGCAATGGCGGGCTCCCCTCCCCCAGCCTCGCTGCCGCCTTGCAGTTTGATCTCAGACTGCTGTGCTAGCAATCAGCGAGACTCCGTGGGCGTAGGACCCTCCCAGCCAGGTGCTGGATATAATCTTGTGGTGTGACGTTTTTTAAGCCCGTCGGAAAAGCGCAGTATTCGGGTGGGAGTGACCCGATTTTCCAGGTGCTGTCCCTCACCCCTTTCTTTGACTCGGAAAGGGAACTCCCTGACCCCTTGCGCTTCCCGAGTGAGGCAATGCCTCGCCCTGCTTCGGCTCGCGCACGGTGCGCGCACCCACTGACCTGCACCCACTGTCTGGCACTCCCTAGTGAGATGAACCCGGTACCTCAGATGGAAATGCAGAAATCACCCGTCTTTGCGTCTCTCACGCTGGGAGCTGTAGACCAGAGCTGTTCCTATTCAGCCATCTTGGCTCCTCCCCCTTAATTTCATTCTTTTGGCCTCTGGTTGCTGTGGCCAAGGACCTGTGATAGACCACTTATTGCTGAGCAGTGTGCTGGGGGCTGAGGGGTTGGGGTGGGATTCTGGGGAAGTTTTCCTCACTCTTAAAAAGTTTTATAGAATAGTGATTCACTACTTTTTTTTAGAATAGTGATTCACCACTTTTCCACCTCTGGATGTGGCTGTAAATGTGGCAGCCAGTGGGAACCATGGGGGGAGACACGGCCCATGTGCTGAGGATGGTCGGGGTGGGGGAAGACGGAAGGCACCGGAGCCTTAGAGGATAAGGATGTTCAGCTGGTGAATGAACCAATCCTGAGACGCTTCACCTCTGGGCCTTGCATTCTTGAGCGAATACCTCCTGGTTGTTTAACTTTTTGACGGGTCTTCCATGGCTTGCACTCTCACGGGAGCGGATACAAAAACCAAACCCCGGCCATCTTCCTGGGCCTCCATGGACTGTGAGACTTGGGTGGGATTTTCTCCTTCTCCCTGTAGTGTTGTCCGGGATGCACGATGTCTCCCAAGTTTCTCTGTTCCTAGACTCACCTGCCTGGGGTCCACCTGCTGCTCCTTTGTGTATTCACCTTCCTTTGCTCCCCTCACCCATGCAAATCTCAGCCCTCTCACTTTTTTTTCCCACCAGAAATATATGCCAGTGGAACACTTGGGTGTGTGTGTTGAATTTCTTGAAGATTTGCAGGTTGACAGGAAGTCTCAGTGTGTCCCGTGTGGGCTCCCGTCCCGCTGGCTCTGCCCCAGCCTCTCTTTTCCATCCCTCTCCAGGAACACGCACACCAAGGGTCTCACCTTCTACCCAAAGCACTTCTTAAGGTATTTTCCCCATACAATGATCTTCCCCTTCCTAAGAGGAGTTGGGGTGATAAAGGGTGTGAATGTCCCTTTATCACCTGTGACTGTGGGTCTCAGACCATGTGAACATTTGGGGCAAAGTCATCCCAGAAGCCTTGAGACATGCAAAATCCCCCAAAGAAGAGGAAGGTTGGTGTTGCATGCTGTGTTCTAAGATGGTCTTTCTCTGGAGGTTTAGGGGTTTCCCCAAAAGCCCAGTGATTCCACCTGTCATGACTGAGGAAGAGGCAGTGCTCAGACAAAAGGCTTGAAATAGGTGGAGAGGGAACCACCTCTCCCAGAGCTAGACTATGCATTCTCAGTGGGGTGATAGCTTTCCCCAGGGAGCAAATATTGGTTCTTGGGCAGGGGAGGGCAAAAGCCCCTCTCACGTTCTTTATGCATAAAGCACAGATAGGCATTGGTGCATAAAAAGATATATCACTTCTGTGGTATTACAATTGTATGGGTGCACAATTAAGAAAATAATGTCTGAAAAGGCTCCTACTTGGGGGTTGACAATTTCTTTGAAAGTCTGAGAAGCACTGACGCAGATGAGCTTCTGCCTTGGGACAGCCTCAGCAGGCACCATCCAGTTGCTTGGGACAGACATCTAGGAGGCATCATCCTACATTGCTCCTGTCCTCCAATAGGTCTCAAAGGCTCCAAAAATATATCCCCAACTATTCAAGGACCTGCTCGAATAGTGGCAACAGAAATGTTATTACCTGTAAAGCCTAAAATATTTACACATAGCCTTTCTTTGAAACAGTTTGTGAACCCTGGCTGTAAATTATGAGCTACTTAGGGCAAAGGATGGGTCTTAGGCCAGGTGTGGTGGCTCACACCTATAATCCCCATACTTTGGGAGGCCAAGGTAAGAGAATTGCTTGAGCTTAAGAGTTTGAGACCAGCCTGGGCAACATAGTGAGACCCTATCTCTATTAAAAAAAAAAAGACAGGTCTCACTGAACTCTCTCTGGAGCTCTGCCCAGAGCCTGGTGAATAGAAGTCAGTAAGTGTTGAAAGAGGAATAGCTCCTCAAGGATCTAGAACTAGAAATACCATTTGACCCAGCCATCCCATTACTAGGTATATACCCAAAGAATTATGAATCATGCTACTGTAAAGAGACATGCACATGTATGTTTATTGCAGCACTAGTCACAATAGCAAAGACTTGGAACCAACCCAAATGTCCATCAGTGATAGACTGGATTAAGAAAATGTGGCACATATACATCATGGAATACTATGCAGCCATAAAAAAGGATGAATTCACATCCTTTGTAGGGACATGGATGAAGCTGGAAACCATCATTCTGAGCAAACTATCGCAAGTACAGAAAACCAAACACCGCATGTTCTCACTCACAGGTGGGAATTGAACAACGAGAACACTTGGACACATGGCGGGGAACATCACACACCAGGGCCTGTTGTGGGGTGGGGGGAGGGGGGAGGGATAGCATTAGGTGAAATACCTAATGTAAATGACGAGTTAATGGGTGCAGCACACCAACATGGCACATGCATACGTATGTAACAAACCTGCATGTTGTGCACATGTACCCTAGAACTTAAAGTATAATAATAAAAAAAAAAGAAAGAGGAATAGCTGAGTGGATGAGTAATGAATGCAGTGCAAGCTCATTTGGTAGAAGGTGCATCTGTACAGTGTGAGAACCAGAAAGCTATGGAGTTTTCTTCTAAAAGCAGAGTCCACAGTTCAAGTTTAAATCCAGCAACCCTACCTTTCCCTCTGCTCCTGCCCTCATTTCTGTTATGCCATATTTGAATAAGACAGAACTTTTTCTTGTGAGGCTCAGATGATTAAAAATGAATTCTCTAAGTACTGCTCTCCTTTGGGAATCTTGAGCAGAGTCTAATGGTGGTGAGGAAAAAAAAATCCCTGGTTTAACGCTGATCCTCAGAAAGGGGGAGTGTTTGCTTCATAATGAAAAATTCCACATGTTGCAGACTCATTTGGGGCCTGTCCGGCTGGATTTAATGATGACTTTGCTATGAAGAACTTGTTACTGGGCTTTCTTAGACCTATAAAACTTTACAGCACCAAAAATTACAGTCACAGTTGCTAACAGGAGTTGAGTGCTTGCTGTATTCAGGTTCTTGGCCAGCGGCTGACATGCGTTACAAAAATGATGAAGCTCAGAGGGGGAAGTGACCTGCTCAAGTTCACACGACTGCCAAGTGGTGGGGCAGGGATTTGACAAGATCTCATAGATTGCAAATTCTCTGTTCTTTTTACTCAATCAGGAGATTAATCATAGTACTAAAATAATACTAGTTGACTGTTAGGAGACAGATTCTATAGACCAGGCTCTTTTAGGATGAACAAAGAGGATAAGGAAGGTTCCTTAATCTAGGGGATGGTATTCCAGGATTTTAATGAAGGAAGAAGGAAAAGAATTGGCTTTTAGGGTAGTGCCTCATGCATGAGAGTCACACTCAAAGGCTGGTCTTCATGCCACCTATCCTATCTGGATGGCAATTGGCCATCTTGCTTGCCTCCCCCTCTGTCCTACCTCCCTACTGGTCATAGCCTGACCACTGCTCTGTCCCTCCCAGGTCCCTCCTGGTTATCTTCAGACTCCCTCCCTTCCTTCAGTTCTCACTGCTCCTGACCAGGCTCAGGCTGGAAACCTGGCCTCTCTCCTCCACCACCTCAAGTGCTTTGAAAGTTCTGTCTCGCAGAAAGCCATCAATTCCACTCTTGGCTCTATCACCACTCTGCTTTGATCACATGTTGTTCTGCCGCCCAGCGACCATTCCCTGCCCTGGTGACAGCACGGTGTGTGCTTTTGGAGAGCTGTAACTCTCTGGCACTTATCCAGGGTGTTTGGGTGTCTCCAATGCTGTCTCAAACTCCAGGGCTGAGCCCAAGCCTGTCTGGTCAGCCTCTGTCCATAGTGACAGAGGTTCATGGATGGAGACATGACCCAAGACAGACCATGGGGACTCAGTTCTGGGACTTATGTTGCAGCTGTTGGAAAACTTCTCTTTTGTAGACTGGAGATTCCTGAAGCATCAGTGACGTAAACCTGAATCTAAATAAAGTCAGCCTAGAGGAAAACAGAGCTGAGAAGTGGAGAGAGCCACCATGATCCAGCCATTCCTGAGGCTAAGATACTGCCTGCACTTCCAAATACCAGAACCAATAAATCCTGTCACCTCGGTTAAACTGGGTTTCTGTCCATTTATTAGTTGTGACTAATGAGAAAATGGAATGGAATGGCATTCCCTCTCCCTATTTCAGTTTCTTCAACAAGAACAAAAAAATTATGGTTCTTTGTCCAATGAGTTACAATGCTGAAGCTGTAAAATTAAGACTAAAACAATTTTGCAAAATTATTTTATCAAAATTTATGTTCTCCATAACTGCTATATAAATATAATATATATTCTCATGTACGAACCAAATTATATATGTATTTATATGTTAACATATACAAATGTTAGGCCCCGGAATTATAATAGCCAGGTGAGTAAGCTTGTTCTGATCACAAGGAGACCTTTCTCCAACGTGGCAACACAGACAGACAGGGAAATCAGCAAGTACTTTCCAATGTGATGCATGCTGTGATGGAGGTGGGGTGAGGGGGTGATGGGTGCTGTGATGGAGGTGGGGTGGGGGGGTGATGCGTGCTGTGATGGAGGTGGGGTGGGGGGGGTGATGGGTGCTGTGATGGAGGTGGGGTGGGGGGTGATGTGTGCTGTGATGGAGGTGGGGTGGGGGGTGATGGGTGCTGTGATGGAGGTGGGGTGGGGGGTGATGGGTGCTGTGATGGAGGTGGGGTGGGGGGTGATGGGTGCTGTGATGGAGGTGGGGTGGGGGGTGATGGGTGCTGTGATGGAGGTGGGGTGGGGGGTGATGGGTGCTGTGATGGAGGTGGGGTGGGGGGTGATGGGTGCTGTGATGGAGGTGGGGTGGGGGGTGATGGGTGCTGTGATGGAGGTGGGGTGGGGGGTGATGGGTGCTGTGATGGAGGTGGGGTGGGGGGTGATGGGTGCTGTGATGGAGGTGGGGTGGGGGGTGATGGGTGCTGTGATGGAGGTGGGGTGGGGGGTGATGGGTGCTGTGATGGAGGTGGGGTGGGGGGTGATGGGTGCTGTGATGGAGGTGGGGTGGGGGGTGATGGGTGCTGTGATGGAGGTGGGGTGGGGGGTGATGGGTGCTGTGATGGAGGTGGGGTGGGGGGTGATGGGTGCTGTGATGGAGGTGGGGTTGGGGGGGGTGTCTGAACTAGACTGGGATGATAGTGGAGAAAGGGGATGGAAGGCTATCTATCTGAACAAGAGGGATGGAAGGCTATCTGAAGGATGAGGAAGAGAAGAAGAGAAATCCATTCAAGTGGTAACAGCTTGCATACTGCACCATGTGGCTGAAACCAGGCAAGCCCATCAGTGCGGCTGGAGCCTACAGTGGCTATAGCAGTTACCAGGTAGCCCCTGACAGCGATGTTCCCGGCCTACTGCCTGAGCTACAGAGAGACTGAAGGATACGCTTTAACAGCTCTCCATTGTCAAGATGATGCTGTCTTGCAACGTTGGATTTTGAGAACATCCACCCCCAACAGTGTAAATTCACCAAAAGCCCAGCCTGAGAATGTATGTCTGACACATAGATGCTTCACAAATATTTGTTGAGTGATGAAAGCTAAGAATATGTTCCAAAAATTGTTCTAAAATTAAGCTTCATTTAAAATTCATATCTAGTAGCTAATAGCTCCTTCATAGTCACCCTACTTTCTTTTTTTACGTGAAATGTACACATCTATGAGATTTTAAAAGGATCATGGATATTCAGTTATTAAACTCCCCCTCCTCGAATATTTTACCTTCATAGTAGATGAGGAAGGTTGGATAAAATAAGGAAGAAGGGAAGACATTTTATACTTAATAAGTATTACTGTATAGATCTGTGGATGTTATTATATTTAATTCTCATCACCACCCTGGAAGTAGGAAGTGTTCTCCTGGATTTACAGACAAATAAATGGAGGCGGTCAGGGTCGCAAGTGGTAAGGCGAGGGCTTGTATTAAAACTCTGACTCGGCCGGCCGCGGTGGCTCATGTCTGTAATCCCAGCACTTTGGGGGGCCAAGGTGGGTGGATCACGAGGTCAGGATATTGAGACCATCCTGGCTAACACGGTGAAACCTTGTCTCTGCTAAAAATACACAAATTAGCCGGAAGTGGTGGCACGTGCCTGTAGTCCCAGCTACTCGGGAGGCTGAGGCAGGAGAATCACTTGAACCTGGAAGGCGGAGATTGCAGTGAGCTGAGATTGTGCTATTGTACTCCAGCCTGGGTAACAGAGCAAGACTCCGTCTCAAAACAAACAAAGAAACAAACAAACAAACAAACAAAAAGGTGGGGGGAAACATCTTCAGCTCATGTGGAACAATACGTTAAAAGGCCTTTTAACTCCCCCTAGTCCAGCAGTGCTGAGGAGAGGCAAGTTTTCCCCCATAATGTAATATAGTGTTGAATATGAGGTGAATCTTTCTCTGCTGTGATGGTTAATTTTTTTTTTTTTCTTGAGATGGAATCTCACTCTGTTGCCAGGCTGTAGTGCAATGGTGCGATCTCGGCTCACTGCAACCTCTGCCTCCCAGGTTCAAGCGATTCTTCTGCCTCAGCCTCCCGAGTAGCTGGGACTACAGGCATGTGCCACCATGCTCGGCTAATTTTTGTATTTGTAGTAGAGACAGGGTTTCACCATGTTGGCCAGGATGGTTTCAATCTGACCTCGTGATCTGCCCACCTCGGCCTCTCAAAGTGCTGGGGTTACAGGCATGAGCCACTGTGCCCGGCCTGTGATGGTCACTTTTATGTGTCAATGTGGCTAGTCTGTGGTGCCCAGTAATTTGGTGAAATGCCAGCCTAAATGTTGTTGCGAAGGCATTTTTTAGATATGATTAACATTTAAATCGGTGGACTTTGAGTGAAGCCAATTAGCCTCTGTAATGTAGGTGGGCCTCATCCAATCAGTTGAAGGCCTTATGAGAAAAAGACAGATTTTCTGGAGGAAGAAGAAATTGTCCATAAGAGGGCAAGGGTTTCCAGATTGCTGCTTTGTGGAATTCAGACTCAATATTGCAGGATTAACTCTCACCTAAGTCTGCAGCCTGCTGACCTGCCCCACAGAGTTTAGACTTTCCAGCCCCCACAGTATCATAAACCATATTTTAAAATCTTTCTATAAATACATATTCTGTTTCTCTGGAGAACCTGACTTTTATACCCCCTAAAAATATCAGAGAAGATAATACAAAATATTTAGTTTGGAGTCCCCTTGAAATTATTTTATTTATTTATTTATTTATTTATTTATTTATTTATTATTGTAGAGATGAGGTCTTACTATGTTGCCCAGGCTGGTCTCAAACTCTTGGGTTCAAGTGATTCTCCCACCTCAGACCCTCAAAATGCTGGGATTACAGGTATGAGCCACTGTGCTAGCCCCCAAATTATTTTAAACAGCAGCAAAATACTATTTGAAAAAAATATATTGACGTGAAGCAATCTCATCCAGTGTCATTTTGGATACCTACAGAGGTCACTGCCGGAATCTGTAAATAAAGGAAGCGGATAAGTTATCCCCCAATTACTTCACATGATGGAAGAGATTCAAGTCAATTATTGATGGCATCAGATAGAAATATTATGGTCTTCTTGGCTCATTTACCATTTCTTTGGGTAGCATGATTGATGGAGAGAGCATCTGCCCAGCTCTGACTCTGTGCCAGGCATTGCACTGGACGTTGGGAATATAGTGGTGACAGAATGGAGGCCCTGTCCTAGAGCTCATGTGGCCCCGTGGGTCAGAGGACATCCACAGATAAAACAAAGGTGTTGAGCAAACGCGGCTCATGCCATATTAAAACATGGCTTAAAACAATTCTGCCGCCCCTTTAAAATTTTCTCCAGTGGGAGTTATTCCCCCTGTCTCTGCATAAAAATCCTAGCAGGTACCATGGCTTTTCCCCTCACTCAGACTCTAAGGTTTGAGGTAGTTCAACAGTCACTTCAAGCTGGAAATATAGCTTTAATGCAATAACTAGAAAGCTTAGTGCAATACTATTCACAATAGCAAAGACTTGGAACCAACCCAAATGTCCAACAATGATAGACTGGATTAAGAAAATGTGGCACATATACATCATGGAATACTATGCAGCCATAAAAAATGATGAGTTCATGTCCTTTGTAGGGACATGGATGAAGCTGGAAACCATCATTCTGAGCAAACTATTGCAAGGACAGAAAACCAAACACCACATGATCTCACTCACAGGTGGGAATTGAACAACGAGAACACATGGACACAGGAAGGGGAACATCACACACTGAGGCCTGTTGTGGGGTGGCGGAATGGGGGAGGGATAGCATTAGGAAATATACCTAATGTTAAATGACAGGTTAATGGGTGCAGCACACCAACATGGCACATGTATACATATGTAACAAACCTGCACGTTGTGCACATGTACCCTAAAACTTAAAGTATAATTTTTAAAAAAAGTAAGAATGTGGCACATAATAGGAAAAAAAAAAAAAAAAAGAAAGCTTAGAGCAATATACTAATCCAAGTTCTGAAGTGATTTGGCTTTAAATCTTTTCTGCCTGATGTGATCTGGAAGCCGGCTATGGGGAAGAAGGCTCTCCTAGAATCTTCTCTCTCCTCCGTTTTGTCCTTTTCTCATCCCCAGTTGCCCCAGCTTGCTGCCCAGTGTCTGACCTCTTGGGGTGAGAAGGGGAGAAGATTCCTAAGGGGAAGAGGGGTCTTTCTCGAGTTGCTTCTGTCCTCTGTGTGAAACATGGATTCTTGGTGAGGCAGGTGCCTATGATGCTCCTTCTCTTGTGGGCTGCTTTTGTGTACTTTTTGGAAGTTCCCTGATGGGCTCCTCTCCCTGTAGGTCCTTTGACCCATCTTTATTTTGGGTGATTAGTTTCCACTCCTTTCTCCAACCTGTAGTTCAATCCAGCTATCTGCTGCTGGGGTATCTTGGTCTCTCTCAGCTGCCCTGATTGAGATGGGGTCTGACAGGCTCTGTGGCAAGCCCACTCGGGCCTTCTCTCCTACATGACCTCATTTGGTCCCTAGGAAGCACTGAGGCATTCTTGGCCTTGACAGCCTGGAAGTGTGGCAGTGCTGTTGCCAGCCCATCACACCTTCATTTCCCTGGCGGAAGTCAAACTCCAGCCCAAGTGTGGCACTCCCAGTGTGGGGGTCAGGGCCACATCTAAGTAGCCTTGCAGAAGGAACCCCCTTTCCGGGTGGGGGTCATGTCTGAGTTGAGTAGCCCCGGGAAAGGACACCTCTTACTAAGTGGGCGAGAGGATGGGACTTCCAGCACAGCTCTCTCCATAATAAGCCAACTCACAAAATTCTCGCTCCTCCATTTTTTGAACTTTTTGTATTCTGGAAATGGTTCTCAAGAATTTCCTTTGAACATCTGCAGTGGTTCCTCCTTTAGAAATGTCATGTCTGTTGTATCTTGGTGTCTGGATGAAAATTCAACTTTAATGCCTTTTTACATACATAAATAAAATTGTGCAACATAACACACAATATATAACATATTGTGTCCTTTGAATTCAGTCTTCATCACTTACCACGTGGCCTTCAGCTGTGACTTAAAACTCTTGGCTTAATTTCCTTCTCTGAAAATTGGGAATAATAGTATTGACCTCACAGGATTGTTGTGAAGACCTAAGATGATAGAAAGTTCTAGCACTGTGCCTAGCATCTCCCAGGCACTCAATAATTTGAGCTGTGATGATCTATTGTATGGTAATGGATAGGCAAGAAGTAACTCACTGGGAGGACTCATGCCCTGTTATGAAGACAGACTGAAAACAAAAAAGGACTGAAGTATTGCTCCAGGTTTCGTTTTCCTATTTAAAATACCCACAAACAAAAAATTAGTTTCTCCATTTGAATAAAAGTTTAATCAGTAAAATTTTTTAAATATAAAAGGGAACAAAGCCACATAATCTCAACATGATTATTATTTTGAAATTCTTCTATGCATCTTTTTACATGGTCGTAATCATACTGCATATCAAATTTTGTACCCCTTTTCCCCATAGATATTATATTGTAGACACTTTCTATTTTATTATATATCTTAATAACTATAATTTTTAATGACAGCATAATATTTCTTTGAGGAGATAAATGATAATTTACTTTGCTGTCTTCCAATTCTTTGACATTTAGGTGGTTTCTATTTTCTCCTACTTTCATAAATTGAGTCAGTTAGAGTTCTTTGTTGGCAAGTAACAGAAATCAACTCTGGATAGCTTAGGCAGGAAGGAATTTGCTTGAAGGATACCCATGAACTCATAGAATTTGCAAGGGGGTTGAGGAACCAGGTGAATAAAAAACCAGGATTTGAGGATGTTCTGGGGGTCTGAGCATCAGGAGCTGCTTGAAAGTGGGGTGATGGCTGTGCTGTTAGAATGAATGCATGCTGGCTGTGGTTTCCCGTCCTTGTCAGATCCAGACACAAAGTCCCTAGAGAGAAGGCGATGAAACTAGCCTGGGGCTTGTACTTAGCCCTAGGAGCAGTGAAGTCTGAATGCCTAGATTCACAGCAGGACCAAAATAGTATGTGGTGGGGGCAGGGGCATAAACTCCTCAAAGAAAATAAGGGCATTGGTAGTAGGTGACCAGTGAACCAAGTTTGCACTACATAAATACTCCATCCTTGCACATATAGCTCTTTCTAGATTTTGGAATTATTTCTTAGATCAAATTTTCCAAAGTGGAATGACTAGGTCAGAGGATAGAATTTTGGGGGCGGCTGTTGATGTACATTATTGAACAAGAGAGTACAGGAACGATCCTATTAGAAGTATTTGAGAGAGGTAGTCAGTTAAAATGAGGGAATCAAGAATTACACAAACATACTTTAAGCATTTTATTTTACCTATGTCTGTATCTAAATCTGTATACTGCTCATCTTTTGGTGCAGGGCCAATGTCTTGGTGTGTGTCCCCTGTTTGGAGTTGTGTGTGGTCTTTCCTGCACATGCGTGATCCACAATGCATTATCTGAAATTTCCAGTCTAGGATTCTGCAAAAGGGAGCAATGACTTAGAGATCCTTGTGAAACCATCTGAATGCAGCATCCCTCTGGATGTTTAAGATTCCTACCCCCTTCAAATCCATTTGCTCGCCCACACCTAACTCCACATCCATAATTTTGCATGAGTGACTTGCTTTTTTTGAGTCTTTCCAAAGCCTTTAATTTAGTTTTCATTGAAACAGTAACTCTCTTATTTATCCTATTCTTATGTAATTGGTTTCTATAATGTGTATTTTAATTACATAATTTAAAAAAATGGCTCAAGAGGCCTTAGCAGGCTTAAGAACAAATACAACTCACTCCTGGTAAGCAGACAGCTCAGCTGGTGAAAGCCTCAGGACGCAGAGCACAGGGGAGCAGCCCCTGGTGTGGAGCGATAATGACCCAGTGGGTATCTGTCCACCTGCTTCACAGAAGGAATGGTGAGTTGGCTAAGTGGAGTGGTTTAGGAAAAATTCTGTGCCGGTTTAAATGAACCCTCTTCATATCTTATACAATAATAATGCATTAGCAAAGCTATGAATTTGACCAGGGCACAGTGTGCGTTTAGTTCTATGTCCTGTGTATTTGTGTAGCTATGACAACAATGAAGATATAGAACGATTTCATCACCATAAGCATCTCCTCTGTGCTACCCTTTATACTCACGCCCATCTCTTTCTCCCCTGGCAACAACTAATGTATTCTCTATTTCTATAATTTTGTCATTTGAGAGTGTTATTTGAATGAAATCATACAGCGTTTGCCCCTTTGAGATTGACTTTCAGAGTCAGCATAATACCCTTGAGATGTACCCAAGTTGGCGCACACGTCAATAATTCATTCCTTTTTACTGCTGAGTGGTTTTCTATGGTATGAATGCACCACTGTTTGTTTAGCCATTCACCTACCGAAGGACATGTTTGTTATTTCCAGTTTGGGCTATTACCAACAAGGTTGCTATGAGCAATCATGTACGGGCTTTTGTGTGGACATATGCTTTATTTCTCTGGGATAAATGCCCAGGAATGCAATTGCTGGGTTGAATGGTAAGTGTGTGTTCAGTTTCTAAAGAAACTGACAAACTATTTTGCAGCATGGCTGCACATTTTACATTGCCACCAGCGATACATGAGATCTCTAGTTTCTCTACACCTTCACCAGCACTTGGTATTGTCAATGTTTGTTATTTTAGCTGTTCCAATAGGTGTATAGTGATATCTCATCATGGTTTTAATTTGCATTTCCCTAAATGGCTAGTGATATAGAACATCTTTTCCTGTGTGTTTGTGTTGGGGTTTGAGGGATTTGGGGCTGATCAAGGAATATAATATGACCACAAGAAGCAGCAACACACAAGTGTTTGTTGGGTGGCACTTGGACAAGGTTGAGTAAAAGGGGAAGTTCCCTCATAGCAGGAGTCTGTCCAGAAGCCATGGTATGGTGCACAGGTCCCCTACACAGAAGGAGAGGAGGGCATGGGACCTCTCAGGGTAGAGAGATAACAGGCCGGGCTTACATGTCTAGGTGATATCATTCAGCAGCATAGCATGGAGTCTCTGTGTCACAGAACTCTAAAGGGTCATAGTAGTTTGGGGTCTTGTAACTGCAAGCCTCTACTTATCAATAGTCAGCTGATATGGGGTAAAATTTTGCCTGATATGTAAACCAGAGAAGCTTTAAATAGCTAAAATTCTGCCTGTTGGGCAGACTCACTTTCCTTCTTTCCTTCCTTCCTTCCTTCCTTCCTTCCTTTCTTCCTTCCTTCTTTCCTTCCTTCCTTCCTTCCTCTCTCCTTCCCTCCCCCTCTTCCTTTCCTTTCCCTTCCCTTCCCTTCCTCCTTCCTTCCTTCCTTCCTTCTTTCCTTTCTTCCTTTCTTCCTTTCCTTTCTTTCCTTCTTTCTTTCTTTTCACAAATGGATGTGTAAACATTTGACCTTGGTGCTAGAAGGCTTTTGAGTTAATGGATCTCAGCCTGCAGTGAAAAAATAAACAACCTGGGGACCAATACGCAGAGACCATCTCTGACTCATTCATATAACAGTTTGACATCTGTTTATTTTTTATGTAATGTCTCTTCATGTCTTTTGTCCATTTTATAATTGGATTGATTTTTAAAAAATGAGTTTTGGGAGTCCTTTCTATATTCCAGATATAGGTCCTTTGTCAGATAGGTGGTTTGCAAATATTTCCTCCCAGTCTGTAGCTTGTCTTTTCATTGTCTTACCAGGATCCATCTCCTTCTGAGATGCTGATGACATGAATGTTGGATATTTTATTATAGTTCAATATGTCCCTATATGAACAAATGGCTTTGTTCATTATTTTTTGGTTTATTTTTTCTCTGTTTTTTCAGACTAGGTAATTTCTGCTGTTTCATCTTCATGGCCACTGATTCTTTCCTCTGTCCTCTCCATTCTGCTGTTGAGCCCATCCAGTGAGTTTCATTATTTTGGTGGTTGTACTTTTTAGTTATACAATTTCTATTTGTTTTTTTTTCTTTATATCTCCTATCTCTGTGTTGATACTTTCTCTTTGTTCTACTTTCTATTTTTTTTGTTTCAAGTATGTTTGTAATTGCTTGTGGAAGCATGTTAATGATGACTGTTTTAAAATCTTAGTCAGAATTCTAAAGTTTGTGCCATGCTAGTATTGCAATCTGTCGATTGCTTTTTAAAATTCAGTTTGTGATATTCATGGTTCTTATAATGATGAGCGTGTTTTTTTCATTGAATCCTGGACATTTTAGGTACTATTTTATAAGACTCTTGTTCTTATTTCAATTTTCTGCTTCAGCAGATGTTCTCTGACACTGCTCTGGCTCTGGCAGGTGAAAGAGAGAGAGCACTGTTTCATTACTGGCTGTTGAGGGTAAAAGTCCAGGTTCTCCACTCAGCCTCTGTCTGCATTGAGAGTGAGGGAGAGACACTTTTTGTTAGTGCTGGATGGAGGTGGGAATTTAGTCTCCTCACTAAGACTTTTGCTGGGAGTAGAAAGGGCACCTCATTGCTGTTCCCTGTGTGGACTCCGCTGAGACTGCAGGGGTAATGATTTTTAACCACTGAGCAGTGATGAAAGTTATGACTCTTCATTTGGCCTCTTTTGATACTACCCCAGTGAGGAGAAGAAAGAACATTTCATTTCCACCAGGCGGAGCTTGTCACCATGGATACCATGGCGCTTAGGAAGTGGTGGACATGGCAGAGGGATTGAGATGTCTTGTTACATCATGATAAGTGTGAAAATCCAGGCTCTGCATTTGGCCTTTGTTGGCAGAGTGAGAGTGGGGCAGAAGTTGTTCCCCCCCACCCTTGTGTGTTTTACTGGAACAGAAGAGCTATTGTCTAAATGTTTTCTGTCTTGCTTGGCGTGGCTTTCCCAGCCCTTTGGCTAGAAAGAGCAGGTGTTTCTTCTATTTGTTTTGTTTCGTTTATCCATGGTCACTGGCATTTCCAGATTACTAACTTTTCTGGTATACAGCCTGGGATATCTGAGGCAAAAAGAAACCCAGGGAACTCACCATAGTGATGTTTCTTGGGTTCCAAAGTCTCTAGCTCTTCTGCCTTCTTCTCTCCCCTTTTCAGAGTCTTTTAAAGTTTGTGTTATAAATGCCATCCAGGATCCCTAGTTATACTTAGCAGGAAAAAGCATCTCTGTTCCACCTTCCTAGAAGTGGAATTCTCTCTCCAGTACTTTTTGTATGTCACTATCTTGATAGGTGAAAATTAGAACCACACTATTGTTTTAATTTGCATTTTTTACTTTAAGAGAGAGCAAAGCTCTTTGTTTACCATTTTAGTTCCCCTTTTTTGTGAATTAAGTGCCACACATTTTACCCTATTTATCCAAAGGCTTCTTATTTGTATTTTTAAGCAAATTCTGTCTTACCAATTAGTTTTAGCTCTATGTATAATAAGTACATTAATTCATTAATCTCCAGGGGATGGGGTTATGCATTATTTTAATTTTTCCGATTTATTCTGGTAATAAGGCAATTTTTTGAAAAGTTAATGAAGCAGACTAACACACTAAGAATTTAAGTAGGTCATGTTTTCTTGGAGATAGTCTTATCATGGAAGAGAAAAAATATATGTATTTTTTCTGCTTTTAGGTGGGACTTTGTGTCCTTGAAACCTGGGCTTCTTTTTACCTCCTGGAGAGAGTTAACAGATTTTTGTCCATGAAATCTTGGCCTGTGGAAGACATTAGGCTGCATTGCCCAAGAAGACAGGGTTGGAGTTACATGATTTAGTGGGTGCAGGTGAAGAGCAGTCCAGTTCTGAAAGAGCCTATTTACCTACTGAGGAGGGTGGCAGTTTTCCTGTCATGGTAGAGATCAGGACCTTCTTAGGAGTGTTCCTAGAAGTTGTAAGACCTTGTAGGCATCTCTGTGACTCACCTGCAGCAGTGCCCAACAGATGGTGGAAGAGGGTGAGTGTTCCCCAGGGGCCTCTTTATAGCAGAAAGAGCAGGTGGACAGGGAAAACCACCCTGACTTAAGAGCTGGGTTTGCCATGATTTTCTTGAGACCATAATCCCTGAGATGGTTGCACAGCTCAGTGGAGGTGGAGGGGCTCCTAATATGATTTCTTGTGGATTTCACACTCTCGTTGGCCAGTGACAACTTACAATCAGAGCTAATATGATTTAGAAAATCTAGGAAATGTGATATGTCATTCTCTTTTCTCTCTGTGGGGAAATTATAACATACTTTTCTGTATTTTTTCCCAAGTTTTCTACACTGGGCCTGCATCCATTTTAAAATTAGGAAATAAGAAATGTTGTAAGCAATACATTAATCCTTCTATGGCTAAATATGCTTAGATTTTTTTAAACCAATGTGATTTTTAAGTTTCAGTTTTAGTTAAGCATGTTTTTGATAAACAGAAAAATTGAAATGCTGTTTATTTCATCAAATTTGCCCACATTAAACTAAAAAATTTTAAGCTTAAGAAGCTAAAAGCTCTATCCACCACCCAAGTGGTCGAATAAATATTCAGTTTTATTTTCTCGTAACTTTTCCATGGATATACATTAGGACATTACCATGGGACTTTGCTCAATTTCAATTGAGCCATGAAGACAATAGATGTCTTATTCCAGATTAAGACTCCCATGCAGAAATTCAGAGTAAATGACCTAACAGTTTTAGATCATTTATTTTAGATCAGTTATAAAAAAAAAAGGAGAGATTAAAGTAGATTTGGGGAAAAGATTTTTCTGCTGGTAAAAATCTGAAGAATTTAGAGAGTAGCCTTTAGTGATAGTTTGAATGGCTGGTATAGAAAGAAGCTACCTTCTCAGAGTTTCCTTGGTCAGAGAAAGTGTGAGTGTTTCCTATGGATTGGATGTGGGCAGCAAATGGGGTGGGGGTGAGGCAGTCTCTGCAGAATTCAAGGACGGGCCATAAGATAAATTACCAGGTTTAATCGTTCCAGGCCCAGCAAGTATGATGTGAGCTATGACATCATCAGTCAGCTGTGAACTCTCCGATTCCATTTACCTCTTCTTCCTGCTTTTATTGAGCCCTAGAGGGATCAGAGACTGTGGTTAGCAAACTTGCAGAGAAAGTGGAAGGTGGGGAAATAAAAAAAGTGAATGCACCTCTTATCTGTAGACTTCCTGCCGCTCAAGTCCTGAGCTAAGGGAAGAGGGAGAAGTCTTATTTATAAATCCAGTGAAGAAATTTTTAAAATTACCATATTACGTCACAGGAATAGATGTTTAAATCGCTGAATGGAGAAAGTGTTTTGAGGCTTAAAGAAAATTGGGATTTGAAGGGCCCAAAGAGCTAACTTACATTACTGACCAGAAAAGTCATAGGACTTCCTAATTATAGGGAGAGAATCCCTCTGTGGCCTACACTGCTGACAAGGTGGGTGTCATTTTGAAAGCTGTTCCTGCTGGAGACATAATTTATGGGCTAAGAATTACATTTCATGGTTTTACAAACCTCCAGCAAGAGGAATAATTAATTATCTCTGATTCAAGCATTTAACCTTCTTAACTATTTCCAAATCCCACATTGGTTGTTTGGTGGTTTGTTTCTGTCCAGTCTTCTAAACAACAAATAATAATCCCTTCTTAATTTTCATAAGTTTTTGTGAAATTGGTTTTATTTCTCTTGTGAGTGATAGATTTACTAGTGAAGTCATTTGGTCTGATTTTTTTTTTTTTTTTTTGAGATGGAGTCTTACTCTGTCGCCCAGGCTGGAGTGCAGTGGTGAGATCTCGGCTCACTGCAAGCTCCGCCTCCCGGGTTCACGCCATTCTCCTGCCTCAGCCTCCCCAGCAGCTGGGACTACAGGCGCCTGCCACCACGCCCGGCTAATTTTTGTATTTTTAGTACAGACAGGGTTTCACTCTGTTAGCCAGGATGGTCTCTATCTCCTGACCTTGTGATCCGCCCATCTTGGCCTCCCAAAGTGCTGGGATTACAGGCGTGAGCCACCGCGCCCAGCCTGGTCTGAAGTTTTTTTGTGTGTGTGAAAAGATTTTAAATTTCAAATTCAATTTCTTGAATAGATGCAGGGCTATTCACATTTTCTTCTTGTGCCAGTTTTGGTAATTTGTGTCTTTTAAGAAATTTGTTCATTTATCAAATTTTTTGGCATAGGATTGTTTAAAATATTTCTTTATTATACTTTTAATATTTCTAGGATCTGTAGTGATGCCCCTTTATTGGAATACAGCTTGTTCATTTGTGTTTATTTTTTTTAATCTGATGTAGCTACAGGTCTTTTTTTTTCTGAAAAAAAAATTTTTTCAAATAATCAGCTTTGAGTTTATTATTCTTAAAATTTTTATTGTTTAACCATTTTCTATTTCATTAATTTCCACGCACATCTTTATTGTTTTCTATTTACTCTTTAACTTGAGTTTAATTTTCTCTTCTGTTTTAACATTTAAAGGTGAACTCTTAGATAGCTGGTTTCAGGTCGTTCTTTTTTAAAACATCCTGAAGTATTTACAACTATACGTTGCCCTCTAAGCACTGATTTAGCTGCATCCAATTGTTATGATTTGTTTTTACTTCATCGGTTTAAAATACTTTATACTTTTTTGTGATTTCTTCTTTGACCCATGGACTATTTAGGTGTATGTTGTTTAATTTATAAATATTTAGTGGTTTTTTGATGTCTTTTTATTATCTATTTATTATGTAGTTCTACTGTGGTTAGAGAATATATAGATGTTATTTCAGTCTTTTAAAATTTATTAAGATTTGTTATGGCTCAGCATATATTCTAATAGTGTTTGACCAGAATGGATATTCTACAGTTGGTGGGTATTGTCTTTGGTCTCAGTTTTTACTATGTTCTCTCCACTCCGGGTGGCAGGTACTCAAATGTTTCCCAGCTATGTGGGAGCAATGGGATTTGTTCAGCTGGTAGGTCCTCAGCAGTTGTTCTTTGCACAGTTCTGTAGAGTTTTATCCTATGTACATACAAATCAGCATCTATCCAAAGAAAGGTACGGAAGACCTTACACAGATTTTTGGAGAATTTTCTCTGCTTAGCTCCCTCTTTTCTGGTATTCTTCCCCACAAACTCCAGTCATCTCTGTCCTCTAGTGTTCAACTCAATAAGATTTTCAGTCTCTGTTTGGGCTTCTTCTCCCTATGTTGAAGTCCAGATATTAACTACAGACAGAAAACTAATTCATTAATAAAACTCATCTAATTTGCTTAACTACTCTGAGTAAAAATGTTTTCCTATCTATTGTCCAATGTCTGAAAAGCATTTTTTTACATTTTGTCCCCCCTTTTTAAGGTATTTATGATACAGACATGGGAAATTTCTTATAGGTGAGTTTGAGCATGACTAATGAAGTGAGCAAGCAAGCCGTGTGGATGTGCATGGGAAAGCAATCTAGCAGGGAGGACAAACAGTAGATCAAAGCCTTTGAGGTTGAAGAAGGTTTGGCTTAGGTACCATTTTCCTTACTTTATAGTGAGGAACCTGAAGATCATAGAGGTAAGCCACTTACTCAAGACCTCACAAGTAGAAAAACGAAGACTCAACCCACATCTATAAACAGAGCCTGAGCTCCTTCCCCCTAGTCTCATTGCCTCCCCTGAATGCTGTCGTGTTAGTGAAGAGGTGATTTATGGACTATGACTAACCAGTGGAACTTGTTATTCCAAGAGGTTTTATGAGCTGAAAACATAAATTGCTTCAACATGTGCTTAGACAAACTCAAGGGTGGTAGCTTTGTAATGGCTTATGGGCACCAAGGGAATTTCCTGAAAATGTTTGTTAGTCCTGGTAATGGCACTGTGTCAAAACGTTTTTTCTTTCCGGTGCTCAGCATGCTTTCCTGGGGCTGAGGAGAGTGCTCTCTTGTCCAACACAGCCAAGTCACTTTTATAACTTCATATAGATGGGAACTATGAATGAGGTGTGTGAGTTAATAATAGTTACCATTAATAAAATGCATAGTATACTCCAGGTGCTTTATATATATTGAATCTGCACAAACTTCTATGCAATAGCTATTATTGCACTATTTTATTGTGCAAGAAAGGAGAGTTCCACGAAATAACTTGACAGTACACCCAGCTTGTAAGCCAGGGTTATATGTTTGCCTACTCTGTTTCTGCTACATTTTGCTCTACTGTTGGCTAAACTTTGGGACAGAATGACATAGTATGCTTTTTTTTTTTTGTCACTTCATGACAGATGAGATGTTTTCCTCTCCTTCTTATTTCCTGTGCTTTCTGTGGGAAGATTAAGAGAACAGCAGATGGAGAAGTCAAGGAACGTTGCAGAGAGGTTACTTTCCTTTCTCTTCCAAGGCTGTGGTTTTTGGGTTTTGGGTTTTGATTAATTTGTTGAGGGAGGGGTTGTGAGTTACAAGTTTTAGGATTATGAATGGGGAAGAGCTTGGAGCTAAGGATGTGTTGGATGGGAGAAGAATTGAGTGGAGGTTCTTAGATGTGTGAAGTGGTGCACATGCCAAATCCCAGGAAAAGAGAGAGAGAAGGACAGACTCCAGCTAGCAATGTGGGCTTCCACTTCACAGAGGTTGGGAGGATAGGAGGAACTGGTTACCAGGAGGCAGGAGGAAGACTGTAGGGGGTGATGACTTAGTGTCCAATAGCTGATTTGATTACTGTGAAGTTTTCACTACTACTTCTGAAGCACAGTATTAGGACTGCTTGCAAAGTGTGGGTATAGATTTCTAGGCATGACTCCCAATACTGGAGCATGGAACTTCATGTAATTTTGTGGAAAAATTTATATGTCAAGATGTTCAATGCAGCTTGTCATCTTAATACTGGCATAAAATAAAAATACTAGTATTTCTGTATTTCATGTAATACCATATAATATAATTTTATTAATAAAAAATTAAAAGAAAATTAATTTAATATTTGGCATTCAATAAAATAAGTAAAAATGAATAAACACAATAAAAAGACATTTGGTACAATTCAACAAAAATTTATTCACATTTTAAAACACAAAGCAAAATCATCTATAAAAATAAATCCACGATTATTCTATTTTTTTTTTTTTTGAGACCCAGGCTGGAGTGCAGTGGTACAATCTTGGCTCACTGAAACCTCTGCCTCCTGGGTTCAAGCGATTCTCCCACCCCAGCCTCCCAAGTAGCTGGAATTACAGGCACGTGCCACCACACTTGGCTAATTTTTGTATTTTTAATAGAGACGGGGTTTCACCATGTTGGCCAGGCTGGTCTCGAACTCCTGACCTCAGGTGATCCACCCACCTCGGCCTCCCAAAGTGCTGGGATTACAGGCCTGAGCCACTGCACCTGGCCACTATCATTCTAATTTAAGTGAGCAGCTGACACTGGCTCTGTTGCCTTTTGGAATGTCAGTCCTCCTCACCGCAGACACTCAGGTAGCTCTCCCACTGGGCTTCTGTGCCTTCCTGCAGGGTTTCCTTTTCTGAGTTGAGCTTTCAGGAAAACCACTTCTGAGTGGGGGTTCTAGGTTGTTAGCAAGTTTGAATTCTCTCCCTCTTTACCTAGAGTAGTAGCCGTGCTCCAGGTTTCAAATCTCCCCTTCCACGACTTCAGAGACTTCCTCCAAAGCCTCCTCAGGCCTGGTCCACATCAGCACTTACGTTTTGGAGTATGTGGGGGTGGTGTGAAGGCAGTTGTAGATCCTGAGTGCTTAAGAGGGTCTGCAGCGAGGCTCAAGTGAGGTTATCAGACACAGGGGGAAGGTCAAAGGAGGGAAGGCTTATAGGCAGAGCCACAATGGTGGATAAATTTCATACACAGGGCCCAAAGATACTGCTATGTCTTAAAAATAGCAATCTTTAGAAGAGTAGAAGAATATCCAAATTAGCATTGCAATCATTAATTGCACCATTATCTCTGAAAGGAAACTATTTATAACCTTCTGAATGTTCAACTCAAAGGACTTGCCTAGATGAGTATGTGTCCCAGTGATGGAATATCAGAGGACCGTTGACTTGTAATGTCAAACAATGTTTAATAACATGAAGAATGTTCACAATACAGTGTTAGGTGAATGAGTCAGTGTAAAAATTCTATATTCAGCCTGATCTAACAAAAAAGACACTGGAAAATACATTTGGGAAAAGTATACCAAATGTTAGAATGGGGAAACGAGAGGGAAAAATGGAGATAAGCCCCAGTGTTGCCATTGGGGGCCAGGCTGGGCCCTAGCAAGAAAGACTCTGTTCAATTTCAGGACGTAGACATGTCTCTGAAGCATGGAGCCAGATGGGAGGTAGTATGGATTTCTGCTTCTCTGTTCCAAAGAAATAAAAAAGAGGGCAACATCACTTACTCCAGCCATTTCTTTGGATGTCAAGCACCACTTGTTCATGAACTCAAGGCGAATCTAACTTTTTTTTGACTTGCGTAGGTTGAGTCTGAAGGTGGAACTTATCTCATAATACATTTCTGTCCTTGACTCTTTTTGTTCTAAGAATGCAGCTTCCCAGACAAATGAAACCATCTTAACAAAAACATGTTACGTTAATTTCTGATCATTTAACACGACTATGTAGGCAGTTTTACATCCTTGACTCCTACTCAAATGTCACATGCACCTGGCCTCAGATATGCCCTAGAAATTTATTACATCAATCCAGTTCTGTCCAAGAATTTGTCTTTGATTTTGACTGCTATGGGACATATGGTCCTGTGGGACATAGATCATGAAGGCTTTAAAATTAGTTAATGAATTTTTGGATCATAAGTTCTTTAAGATCTAAATTTTATTGCTATCTCTTTGCAAAAGTGCCAAGCATGGTGCTTGGTACACATCAGATGTTCAGTGCAATCACATATTTCCATAGTTACCATGCAGGCTCAACATAGCTTACACTTTATTGGCTGCTCAATTGCTCTACTTAGCTTGTCCAAAACAGAACTCCAGACTTCCACCACTAATGAGTTCTTCTCCAGATTATCCTCACCTTCATTCATCCAGTAGCTCAAGCCCAGTCCTTAGAGTCCTCCTTGACTTTGACTCTCCTCTTTCATTCTCTCTTGCATCCGATCTATCAGCAAATCCTGGTGGCATTACTTTCAAAATATATCCTAATGTTGCCATTTCTCTTCAAGACATCAACTTCCCTCAGACAGACCATGGCGACAGTTTCTAAACTGGTTGTATTTGTGTTTGCTAAGACTGTTTTACAAAATACCACAGAGTGGGTGGCTTAAACAACATAAATTAATTTTCTCAAATTCTAGAAGCTGGAAATTCAAGATCAAGGTGTAGGCAGAGTTGGTTTCTCCTTAGTCCTCTCTTGTTGGCTTGTAGATAGCTGTCTTTTCCCTGTAACTTCACATGATCTTTCCCTTGTGTGTGCCTGAGTATAAGTTTTTTCTTCTTATAAGGACACCAGTCATATTGCATTAAGGTCCACCCTAATGACCACAGTTTAAATTAATTGTTTAATTCACAATTGCAAAGATACAAAATCAACCTAAGTGCCCACCAACTGATGAGTGGATAAAGAAAATGTGGTATAAATACACCATGGAATACTAGTCATCCATAAAAAAGAATAAAATAATGTGTTTTGCAGTGACTTAGATGGAACTGGAGGCCATTATCCTAAGTGGAGTAACTTGGGAATGAAAAACCAAATACCATATGTTCTCACTTAGAAGTGAGAACTAAGTGATATGTATGCAAAGGCATGCAAAGTGGTATGATGGACATTGGAGACTCAGAAGGAGGGAGGATGGGAGGGGGACTGAGGGACAAAAAACTACCTATTGGGTACACTGTACACTATTCAGGTAATGGGTGCACTAAAAACCCAGACTTCACCACTGTACAATTCATCCAAGTAACCAAAAACCCCCTGGATCCCTAAAGCTATTTAAATTAAAAAAAAAAATTGCCTGTTTAAAGGCCCTGTCTTCAAATACAGCCACATTCTGTGGTATTGGCAGTTAGAATTTCAACAGATGAATTTTGAGAGATCACAATTTGGCCCATAACACTGGTCTCGCTGCTTTCAATCTTGGCTTCTAAAGTTTAGTTTGCATATTTAGTCAGAGTAATCTTTACATGTGGTGCATCAGATTTCATCACGCCTGCCTTTTAAAAATCCTCCAATTGGTTCCCATTGCACCTATAGTTTACATTCAAGATTTCTACTTTGCCCTTTGGGGTCACCCCATACTTCTCTCTAACCTCATCTGTTATGGTTTTTCATGTTTGCTCAGCCTCCCTGACTGTCTTTTTAGTCCCCAGATGAGTCAAGTTTGTTCCCACCTCAGTGATTTTGCACTTGCTGTTCCCTTTGGGTGAAACATGTTTTCTCTGCGTCTTCCGCAGGACTGGTTTCTTCTTATCGCTCAGATTCATCAACAGTTACTTTTACCTTCCTCGGTGTTCCTTGCTCTTTCCTTCCCAGACGGCATCAGCTCTGGGACCCAGACATTTTCTACAACCTCATCCTTTTTGATTTCTTTCATAGCATAATCACTATCTGAATTTTTTTTTTTAATTTTTCAATTTGTTTTCAGTGTCTGTTTCTCCCACAATAATGAAAACTCTAATATAAATTCATAGCCCAGTAAATAATATTTATAAATTACTGAATGCAACCTTCTTAAAAATATGGACATAGCACACCTGAATGCAGCTTTTTATTTGCCAATAAATTAACATATCTGTACCTATGCTGTGTGCAAATGACATTGCTTTTTCATTCATTCAGCAAATATTGATCAGGTGCAGAATAGTAGAGCAGGAAGAAAATGGATTCTTCAGTAAACAGATGCGGAATTAAATACTGGCTGTACCGCTTATTTGCTGTATGGCCTTCTGCAAAAATGTTTAACCTTTCTGAAACTGTGAGTTACTTTAAAATATATCCCAGTGCTGGGATAACTAACTAGTGATAAGCAGAAGCTTGGAACTGGACCCCTTCCTTACACCATATAAAAAAAATAAACTGCAGATGGATTAAAGACTTGAATGTAAAACCCAAAACTATGAAAACCCCGGAAGACAACCTAGGTAATATTATTCGGGACATAGGAACTGGCAACGATTTCATGATAAAGATGCCAAAAGCAATCACAACAAAAGCAAAAACTGACAAATCGGGATCTAATTAAACTTAAGAGCTTCTGTGCAGAGAAAGAAACTATCAACAGAGTAAACAGACAGCCTACAGAATGGGAGAAAATATTTGCAAACTATGCATCTGACAAAGGTCTAATATCCAGCATCTATAAGGAACGTAAACAAATTTACAAGAACAAAGCAAAATAACTCCATTAAAAAGTGGGCAAAGGACATGAACAGACACTTTTAAAAGGAATACATACATGTAGCCACCAAGCATATAAAAAAAGCTCAACATCACTGATTATTAGAGAAATGCAAATCAAAACCACAATGAGATACCATCTCACACTAGTCAGAATGGCTATTACTAAAACGTCAAAAAATAACAGATGCTGATGAGGTTGCAGAGAAAAGGGCATTCTTATACACTGTTGGTAGGAGTGTAAATTACTTCAGACATATGGCAAACAAGGTGGTGATTCCTCAAAGAACTAAAAAGAAAACTACTGTTTGACCCAGCAATCCCATTACTTGGTATATACCCAAAGGAATAGAAATCGTTCTACCATGGAAACACGTGCATGTGTATGTTCATTGCAGCACTGTTCACAATAACAAAGACATAGAATCTACCTAAATGCCCATCAGTGGCAGATTGGACAAAGAAAATATGGCACATATTACACCAGGGAATACTATGCAGCCATTAAAAGAATGAGATCATGTCCTTTGCAGGAACATGGATGGAGCTGAAGGTAATTATCGTTAGCGAACTAACTCAGGAACAGAAAACCAAATACTGCATATTCTCACTTATAAGTGGGAGCTAAATGATGAAAACACATGGACACAAAGAAGGGAACAACAGACACTGGGACCTCCTTGAGGGTGAAGGGTGGGAGTGGGGAGACGATGAGAAAAAATAACTATTGGGGGCCGGGCGCGGTGGCTCAGCCTGTAATCCCGGCACTTTGGGAGGCCGAGGTGGGCGGATCATGAGGTCAGGAGATCGAGACCATCCTGGCTAACACGGTGAAACCCCATCTCTACTAAAAATACAAAAAAAAATAGCTGGGCGTGGTGGCAGGCGCCTGTAGTCCCAGCTGCTTGGGAGGCTGAGGCAGGAGAATGGCATGAACCCGGGAGGCGGAGCTTGCAGTGAGCTGAGATCGCGCCACTGCACTCCAGCCTGGGAGACACAGCGAGACTCCATCTCAAAAAACAAACAAACAAACAAACAAACAACAACAAAAAAACTATTCGGTACTCAGCTTAGTACTTGGGTGACAAAATAATCTGTACAAAAAACCCCTGTGATATATGTTTACCTACAGAACAAACCTTCACACATACCCCTAAACTTAAAAGTTTAAAAATAATTAAAAAATTAAAAACTTCTTGCATTAAAAAAACAAAATGCATCCCAAAATAAGGAAGATTGATAGATTTATAAGGGAAGAATAGATGGAAAGAGATGTAATAAAGCAAGTAAAAATGTTAATTGGGGAATCTAGGTAGGGGGTATATGAGTGTTTACTATACAATTCTTTCAACTTCTGTGTGTTTGAAAGTTTTAAAATAAAATATTGGGAGAAAAGCAGAAAACAATTCCTCTAACCCTTGTGGATTTGTTTTCAGGATTAAATGATACGAACATTTGTAATGGATATGGAATGATTTGATATGGAGTGTTTGTAATGTCCATAGCAAAGGTGCCTGGAGCACTGCAGGATACAGTAAATGCAAGCTGCTGTTGTCATTATTACTTATATATACCAAGTACTGGGGGAGTGTTCCAAAGGACTAAGACCCCATTTCCTCTTCTATGGGGGAAACAGATGCAAACACACCCAGCACAATGAGGAATGGCTCTAACTGAGCTTGTTTGGAGGAATGGTGTAGTCATCAGACACAAATTTTGAGGTGGGATTCAAAAGGTGAGGAGCTGTTCAAAGCGGATGAAAAAGGGCTTTGGGCTTTGTTTAGTGAGAGTTAAATGACAACCTTCTTCAGCCTGCAGTGATCAGGGCTGTCCTGCCCACAAACATTTCTTTCAGTTTTTGGCCTTTTTGGCCACATCTTCTCAACGTGGATGTCAGATATTTACACCATTTCATCTCCTTTTTTTTTTTTTTGAGACAGATTCTCCCTCTATTGCCAGTCTGGAGTGCAGTGGTGCGATCTCGCCTCACTGCAAGCTCCGCCTCCGGGGTTCAAGCGATTCTCCTGCCTCAGCCTCCAGAGTAGCTGGAACTACAGGCGCCCGCCACCACGCCCAGCTAATTTATTGTATTTTAGCAGAGACAGGGTTTCACCACGTTGGCCAGCATGGTCTTGATCTCCTGACTCTGTGATCCGCCCGCCTTGGCCTCCCAGAGTGCTGGGATTACAAGCGTGAGCCACTGCGCCCTGCCTTCATCTCCTCTTATAGTTGAACTTGAAGCCCTGTCTTGGGATGCAATGAACTTCTTTAATCTTGCACTCAGGGTGGAAAATTGAGCGATTAGAGAATTTATCTTTATTCCTGGAGTCAGTCTTTTAAAAAAATTATTTGTTTTTAAGCTTTATTGAGGTACAATTGATATACAACAATTACACATATTTAATGTATACGTTTTGCTAGATTTGGATATATGTACACATCCATGTAATATAGTTTGGATGTTTGTCCCCTCCAAATCTCACGTTGAAATGTGACCTCCAGTGTTGGAAGTGGGGTATAGTGGGAGGTCTTAGATCATGGGAGTGGATCCCTCATAAATGGTTTAGGACCATCCTCATGGTAATGACTGAGTCCTTGCTCAGTCATCACATCAGATCTGGTTCAAAGAGCCTGGGACCTCTCCTCTCTCTCTTGCTCCCTCTCATACCACGCAATGTGCTTGCTCCTGCTTCTTTGCCTTCTGCCATAAGTGGAAACTTCCTGAGGCTTCACGAGAAGCAGATACTGGCACGATGCTTCCCATACAGTCTGCAGAACCATGTGCCAGTTACACCTCTTTTCTTTATAAATTATCTGGCCCCAGGAATTTCCTTACAGCAACATAAGAATGGCCTAATGCACCATGTTATACTATCAGCACAGTCAACGCACTAAGCATATCCATGACCTCCAACATTTCTTTGTTTTTTTGTGTGTGTGTGTGAATTTTTTTGTGGTAAGAACGCTTAACATGAAATCTATTTATTCTCTTAATATATTTTCAAGTGCACAAAATCATATTAACTATCAGTACTATGCTGTACAGCAAATCTCTAGAACTTACTTATCTTGCAAAACTGAAAATTTACGCCCATTGAGTAACTGTTTCCCCCTCCCTCCTTCCCCCAGCTCCTGGCAACCACCATTTTATTTTCTCCTTCTGAGAGTGTGGCTACTTCAGACACTGCATATAAGTAGAATCACGCAGCATTTGTCTTCTGTGCTTGGCTTATATCACTTAGCACAATGTCCTTTAGGTTCATCCATGTTGTCGCAAATGGCGGGATTTCCTTCCTTTTGAGGGCCAGATAGTATCCCATTGCATATACACGCCACATGTTCTTTATTCATTCATCTGTTGATGGACATTTGGGTTGTTTCCATAGCTCAGCTACTATGAATAGTGCTGCAGTAAACACAGAGGTGGAGATATTTCTTCAAGATCCTGATTTCAATTTTTTAAGATATATACTTAGAAGTGGGGTTACTGGATCATATGATAGTTCTACTTTTAACTTCTCAGGAACTTCCCTAGTGGTTTTCATAGCAGCTGCACCATTTTACATTCCCACCAACAATGCGCAAGTGTTCCAATTTTCCACATCCTTGCCAATACTTATTTTTAAATATTTTGGATATTAGCCATCCTAACAGATATGAGGTGATATTTCATTGTAGTTTTGATCTTCATTTTACTGACTATTAGTGACGTTGAGCACTCTTTCATATAACTGTGGACATTTGTCTTCTTTGGCGAGATGTCTATTCAAGTTCTTTGCCCATTTTTAAATTGTGTTATTTCTTTTTGTGTTACTGAGTTGTAGGAGATTCTTATTTATTTTGGATATTAGCCTCTTATCAGATAGGTGGTTCACAAATATTTTCTCCAGAGTTCAGTCTTGGAGCAAAACTTGTTTCATATTAGGATTACATTACATGGTAATGTACATTACTGGTTTCGTGGTAATGTAATATAATCCTAATAAGGATTAATGCCTAGCATATAATCACCTGGGAAGAAGTCATGATGGTTCAGACCTTCTCCAGGACCAGACTGGCAATCAGTGGGGTAGATTTTCTCAACATTTTGCCCTCTAAACAGGAATATATGATCTGATCAAATCAACAGAATTTTCTGTTGTGGATGAATGGTTTTCTCCAAGGGACATGCAAGTAAATTGAATATATGAATTTCTTGCAACTGATTTTTTTTTTCTTTAGGGGAAGGATAAGGAACTTCTGAATGAAGCTTAAAACTCAAGCAGCCAACTGTCAACCTATGACACAGAGAAGACATGAATCAAAATCTCTCCGGGTCAGAGCATAGCGGTGGCATTTCAGGGAACTAAGTTTCAGTAGTTCCCTCACCCCCCCAACAAATTTGCATGATTTTTGTTGTGTGCCAGGCCTTGTACCATGAATTGGGGATGTAAAGATAACCCAGACAAGCCCCTGTTCCCCAAGCTACTAAGGGAGACCAATGCACACACACAAATATTAGCTATTGTGCTCAGGGCCATTAAAGAAGGATGATAGGGGCCTGGGATGCCCAGAAGAAGGAGGGATAGAATGAAATGATCTTGGACACACGCAAAAGCTATAAACTCACTTCATGTGAGTACAAAATGGGATGCCCAGCCAGGTGTGGTGGCTCACACCTGTAATCCCAGCACTTTGAGAGGCCGAGGGTGGGTGGTTCACCTGAGGTCAGGAGTTTGAGACCAGCCTGGCCAACATGCTGAAACCCCATCTCTACTAAAAATACAAAAAATTAGCCAGGCTTGGTGGCAGGCACCTGTAATCCCAACTACTTGAGAGGCTGAGACAGGAGAATTGCTTGAACCTGGGAGACGGAGGTTGCAGTGAGCCAAGATTGCACCATTTCACTCCAGCATGGGCAACAGAGCAAGACTCTGTCTCAAAAAAAAAAAAAAAGAAAGAAAGAAAAAAAAAAGGGGGGGATGCCTTTATTTTTTTTCCCCCTTAGAAAATTGTGAACAGAAATGCTTTGTGTTTACTTTTTTCTTTAAATGTTTTATTTATTATTATTATACTTTAAGTTTTAGGGTACATGTGCACATTGTGCAGGTTAGTTACATATGTATACATGTGCCATGCTGGTGTGCTGCACCCACTAACTCGTAAGCAAATAAAGTAAAAAATGCCAAATGCAGCTTTAAATCCTAAGGGATTTTTTTCTGAGGAATTTTAAAAGGGATTCTTCTGAGGTTGTGCTGATAAAGACAGGGAAGGGAGGACCAATGGCTGGGAGCATTTACCAGGTGTTGGCACTTACAGGAAGCATTTTCTTTAATCCTCACAACAGCCTGGGATGCGTCGCTGGGGAGGAAAATGCAGCTAAGGGAGTTTGGGTAATTTTCTCAAGCTACGTATAACAAAGCTGGGATGCAAACCCCAATTCTGCAGTCTTCAAAGCTCACACTTCTTCTACCAGCCCCTTATCTCCCATTTCCAACAGAACCATTTTCTTTTTTTAGGGGAAAAATTCCAGGGCCTTCTGCAAAGAAGGACACTGTTTTCTTTCTCAAATCTATGTCTTATGTGGGTGCTTAGGAGGCCAGACAGAGGCCTTTGACCTTGACCATGAGCTATGTGATCTCTAGAGGGAAGATATGGAGGGATAGCCAACTCCTCCTCTAAGGGAGATTGGAATTTAGAGCTCCATTGCACCTACTTATCAATTCTTTGATGTGTCTCTGAAGAGGCCAGGCAAGTAGTAATTAAAGATCCACTGGGGTAGTTGGGATGTCGTCTTAGCTGCCTCTTGGGAGTGGTTAGGCATTAGGTGGGGCATTGCTGGTACGTGATGATATTATGGGCAAGGACCCAGGAGTGCTCCAGTCCTGCTCTGCCTATCACCCTCACCCTTCAGAGAGTGTCTAGAGCACCTTTACACCTAGTTCAGGAGCAGAATTGGAATTAAAGCACCATGTTGTTCATACCTTGGCAAGTATCTTTGTAGCTTTTTAGTAAAAGTTTCCCCAGACCACCTTCTTCTCCCCAAATCTAAATGAGGGACTGGAATGCCCTCATGGGTTTGGTAGAAAAGAGAGATACCCCCATCCCTATAAGAAGTTCAATCTCCCCACAAAGCCACGGAGTAGAGGAGAAAAGAGGCTGGCTGATCTGCCCTAGGGAACCAGGGATGTCAGGAGACACATGAGAGTGAAGAGAAAACCCTTAAGGCAGCAGTCCCCAACCTTTTTGGCACCAGGGACTGGTTTCATGGAAGACAGATTTTCCATGGACTGGGGTGGGGGGTGGGTAGCTTTGGGGTGATTCAAGTGCATTACATGTATGGTGCACTTTATTTCTATTATTATTACACTGTAATATATAATGAAATAATTATACAACTCCCCATAGTGTAGAATCCGTGAGAGCCCTGAGCTTGTTTTCCTGCAGCTAGACGCTCCCCTCTGGGGGTGATGGAGACACTGACACCCGAATTACGTTGCTAATGTCTAGTCTACTCCATGATCTTGTTTAACTCACTGTTGCTGCAGAAAACCCTGCTTCGCAAAGATAGGATGTTGGAAATGGAAGCAGGCTTTTCATCTGAGGATATTCTGCCTTGACTTTAATCAAGAACGTATGGAGATTTGAAGTTGCCTCAAACATACTTTGAAGGCCACCAGGGACAGCTGTACAATTGAAGTACATCAACTCACTTGCCACTGTAAACCCTGCCAACAGATGCAGCTTAATTGTCACTTGCCACTCACTGAGGTTTTGATATTCGTTTGCAAGCAACTGATTTATTATGGTCTCTGTGTAGTCAAACCTCCCTGCTAATGTTAATCTGTATTTGCAGCCACTCTCCAGCACTAGCATCACTGCCTCAGCTCTCCCTCAGATCATCAGGCTTTAGAGTCTCATAAGGAGTGTGCAGCCTAGATCCCTCACATGTGTAGTTCACATTAGGGTTCATGCTTCTGTGAGAATCCTGCTGCTGATCCAACAGGGGGCAGATCTTGGGTGGTAATGTGAACCATGGGGAGCAGCTGTAAATAGAGATGAAGCTTTGCTTGCTCATGCTCACCTGCCATTCACTTTCTGCTGTGCAGCCTTGTTCCTAGCAGGCCACAGGCTAGCACCGGTCCATGGCCTGGGGGATGGGGACCCCTGCTTTAAGGTACAGTAACCTATCTAGGAGCAAAATCAGACCAGACCTCATCTCACACTCTGGCCCAGGACTGGCTGATCCTCTGTCCTGTTGAGGGGCTATGAAGGGGTGGGCAGAGGCTTCTCTGGCCAGGGATGAGGGTGATGCAGAGCAGGCCTCCTCCACGCAAGTGTCTCTTCTCTGGGAAGTGCACCCCAATTCACAGAGTTGTGGTGGGAGGGGCTGTCACTGGCAGCAGTGCTGGGTTACAAGGAATGGAAGTTCTTACTGATTGGGCCTGAATGTGCTGCCCGCCAGATTTCTTGCCCTACCAACATGGAATTTGCATTGACCGAGAGTCAGTCTGGCTGCATGGCTAGGCTTCTAATATGTGAACTTTGAAACTCTAGGTGGCATTTTCTAAATATCCTGAGGACCAAGGAGGAGAGAATACATTTTCCAGCAAAGAAGAATAAAGTAGATGCCCAGAGAGAAGCAGATACAAGGGATGCAGGGAGATTCCTGGCAGCTTCCTGGCCCTGTTCTCCATCTGCCGGTGGTTCCTGCTTCATCCCTGTCCTGGGGCTCCATGAGACACATCCCTTTCCTGTTACTGCATTTCTCTTCACTGAAGCTAAGGACTTCTGTTCCTTATAACTCCAGCAATTATGTCTAATACAGATAGTAAATATGCTTAAAAAAGATTATTCCATGCCCTGCAAATGGTACAGTGTTTTTTTCCTCCAATACTATTTTATATAATCTTGAAAACACTTGTATTCTTTAAAAGTGGGCCCTAACCTATAACAGGGCTGCATCCCTCAGTAATCTCTCTCCAGGCTATTTAAGCTACGGGGAAAAAAAAAAACTCGTGTTTACACAAAAAACTGTACGTGAATGCATATGGTAGCAGTCTTCAAAATTTCCAAACACTGGAAGCAAATCAAAATCTTTCAGCAGGTGTTGGATAAACTGCGGTGCCTCTATGCAATAAGATACTACTCAGCAACAAAAAGGAACCAAGGACTGACACACAGCACCTTGGATGTATCTCCAAGACATTATGTGGCAGAAAGAATCCATCCTTGAAAGCTTGCACTTAGTCTGATTCCATTTAGGTGACCTTCTCTAAGACAAAATGATGGTGGCATAAAAATAGCTCAGTGGTTGCCAGGGAGGGAAGAGGGTGTGGCTGGGACAGTTAGTGAGTGTCAGGTTCTAACCTGAGCTGGGGTCCAAGGGGAGTTGGTGGATGGCTGGTGGGTAGTTGAAAGAACACTTCGGGGGCAGTAGGTAGGTGGGACATGGCTTTATTACGTGCCACCTGTCACAGTGTTGGTGATACATTTATACACTTCACAGATAATAGTGGCTCAGAGCCAGGTGATGAGCCCACTCATAACATCGTTACATACCTGTGATTATATAATGCACGGGATTGTGCACCTGCAGTCCAATCCCACTATGTCATGCTTCACTGGATGTTTACTTCAGCCTACTCTTGACTGTTGTGCAGCCATTGTCTTTACACTCCACCCCCTAGGCTGAGGAGGTCCTCTTAGTGGGGAGATGTTCCCACAAGGTGACACCCTGGACCCTTGGGTCACAGCAACAATATGGGGAGCAGCAACCTACTACTAATATTCCTGCTATGCTGCCCACGATTACTTGGGCCTGAAGTAGGCCAGTGCCCAGGGACGCCCACCATCTCTGTAGGGGGTCGTCAGTAAGGCTTTCAACTGGTTTAATCTCCTGTGACATCCCTTGCAAGGCTGCTTCTATGTTTTGTTGATTGTCAGGAATAAATGTACAACATTGTGTCCCTATAAGGGCACAGGTGCCACCTTGGGCAGCCGTTACTATATCTAAGGCCATCGGTTTTGCATCACCACCTTTTCGGTTTGATCAGCCTCACTGGTTAACAGGAGGAGGGTAAACAGTCAAAAACGCCCATCCAACTCTACTGGCAAAGGCACACCCCTTCTTGATGCTTGCACTTCCAGGTGCTTCAGCACCTTCTCCATGCTCTCAGGGGCCCTGTCACCTGCTGCCCATGTTTCCACCAGGGCCCATCTGAGCAGCACACCTGCCACCGGGTGCCATAACCCATGCTGGGGCCACAGAGCCAACCTGGGATCATCGGGGGCTGAGGACTCACTCACCTCAGAATCCTGCCGACTATGCCAATTGTCAGGTCCCAACCTGGGCTGGGGTCCGAGGGGAGTTGGTAGATGGGTGGCAGGTAGTTGAAAGAACATTCTGGGGGCTGTAGGTAGGTGGGACATGGCTTTATGATGCCCTGCCTCTCACAGTGTCAGTGATACATTTATACACCTCACAGACAATAGTGGCTCAGAGCCAGGTGATGAGCCCACCCATAACATCGTTACATAACTGTGATTATATAATGCACGGGACTGTGCACCTGTGCTCCAATCCCGCTGTGTCATGCTGCACGAGTAGGCGGGAATTTTTCTAGGATGGTGGAACTCTTCTGTGTCCTGATAGTACCAGCAGTTACACAAATGGGTGCATTAAAATTCATAGAGCCTTACACTAAAAGAAAAAAACTAAGTTTACTGTATGATAATTTAAGTAATAAAGTTAAAAAATGTAACAGGGCTGTAGTTAGCTGTGTTGGTGTACTTTCCGTTTTGTGTTCAGCTGTGACTACTGAGTGGCATAAGTCATTAAGATGCTGGGAAAAAGTAAGTATAAAATAACGAGCCTTTTGCCGTATCCTGATATCATTCCTTTTTTTTTTTTTTTTTAACCAATGGCAGAGGTGCTCAATGGGGAACATGTCTTATGGTAGAACAGGCATAGCTGGTGAGAGGGGCTTCCAAGAGGTCCCTTGCAGGAATGCAGTCCCTTCCCAGCCATCCACTCTGCAGTGCCCAAAGAGCTCTCCACACCTCCATCTGATCACGTCACTTCCACCTCTACCTCTAAACACCTCCCTTCCTTTCCACCTGAGAAAGATTTGATATCATCCTGCCTCAAATAAGTAATTTTTAAAAATCTCAACTGCCTTAGAATCACCTGGGAAGCTTTTTAAAATCCCAATACCCAGGCTGGCTCCAAACCAATGAATTCCCTGCTCTGTGAAGGACTCAGGCATCGGTACTTAAACTCCACAGGTGGTTCCAATGTTCACCTAAGCCTGAGAAACACTTCATGGGTCTTTAGAAACATGGTGCCTCTTTCCTCTCCCTGGGCTGGGCTAGCTTGGAGAGGTTCTGGCTCCTGCCTTACTCTCTCGGATTCCCTTATTTTGGGGACTTCATGCTCTTACTTGCTTTCTTCATCTCCATTCAGTAAACTTCATGTGTCCACCATCCTCCCATTCCACTCAGCCCCTGGGGATGGATAACTCCTGTGATTTTTATCCACCGCAACTTTTCCATGCAGCCCTTCCTCAGGATGCTGCCTCTCAGAAGAAGCACAGCCCAGAGCCCTGGGTGGGAGGGGCAAGGCTTGTAGGAGTTGGCTGCTTTCTCAGCTTCCCCATGGGTTAGGAGCGCTGATCTGCACCTTTGCACAGTGGGTGAGTTCTGCCTCTGAGCTCCTGCAATGCGTTGTCCACTCCACCTTCACAACACTGACCGTGCCCCACTGTCATTGCCGTTTTTACATGCCTGGTCAGTTTTGGAGGAATCGCTTCAACTTTGAGGAAGACCATGTCTGATTCCTTCTGTTTCTTCCAGCACAAAGCCAGGAACGCAGTGATGTTCACTAAAGTTTTCAGTAACAGCCTAGATGCTTGGCCTAATCCTCATCAGCCTCATTATTCTGGGTCCTGGATGCTGCTTCCTATGCCCCTGGTTCCCAGCTCATGTGACCAAAAGAGCCACATGCTGGTCCCCGGAGCCCCAGCTGCTTCAGCTCCTCCTAGTCTTGCCTCCTCATGACTTTGGATGCTGCTTTCTGTAACCTAAAAAGGCTACACTCGTGAATTCCTTCCATGATGGTCCTGCTTTCCATCTCATTCTCACCCTCTTCCTTCTCTTTTTCCTCTTCCCCATGCCCCAAGCCCTTGGGGACCCAGCAAGACTGACAGATAAATTTGTTTCTTTAATACTATTTAACTGACTATAAGAACTGTGTCCTTCCCTCACTTTCTCTCACTTCTTCTACCTTGCAGGAAATCATTGTCTGCTGTATGTAAATGAATAGATTCCAAAGTAGCATGCAAAGTGTGGTAAGAGAGGTCTGTATAAGAAGCTTCAGGAAGTAACAGAAAGCGGCACCTGCCTCAGTGGATGTGTGTGTGGGTGAAGTTCACAAAGGGATGGCACTCCAGCAGGGTTTTGAAGGATGAAGAGGAGTTCATCAGTAGCTAAAGGAGGAAGTGCTTGCTAGCAGGAGGGCACAGGTTAGGCAACAGCATACCTACTTAGAGGGGCTGCAGGCAATTACATCCTTGTTTGATTTCGTTCTGGGTTCCCTTTCATTCAAAAATCATCTCTGCCCTTGAATTTTATAGAAAAAAACTACTAAGATGGAGGATTTATAATGAAAATCTTATTATCTCTTTCCCCAGGAGCCAGTGGCCAAGCAATTATAGTTTAGGCAGAAGGCTTTACTTAAACTATCATCTGATGAACTTTCAGAAGGGAACATTTTAGGAAAATATAACACAGATTTTTCAAGTTAACTTCTACTTAGTTTTTACCTTAATCTTGGTATAGAAGAAGGGATTCTTTGTTCTAAGAAAAAAACATTCATAGGCCTTGGAGTTGGCTTTTACCGGTGCTCAGCCTTTGGGGTGTGCAGCAACTGCAACAACCACTTATTCTTCTATGATACAGCAGCCACCACAGGAATGGCAGAGCCAAAAACTGAATCCACATGTCCCCCAGAGACCAAGGATCAATCTGAGATCCAGGTACAGGGATGGATGGACAGAACTCTGGGAATGACCACATGTGACGGATAATGGAGGAGGGCCCAGGATGACTTCCAGTCTTGCATGATGGAGGGTCGGAGAGGGTGTGGGGCTGTTCACCGGAGTGGGTCCCCAGAGCACAGTGATGACAGGCTGGAGAGGAAGGCTTGGAAGCAGGCAGAACGTAAGGATTTCTGAAAACGAAGAAGCAGGAGGCACGATGACTTCTCACAAAAGAATCTTCTGGGCTGGGAGCTGCTGCTGGGAGATAAGGATAGTATAATAGTATTCTTTGGTTACAAACGGTAGCAAAAACTATATACCTACCCTGGAAAGATAACAGATTTCAGTGTGAGAGACCAACAATTGGCCCACTACACTCCAAACCTTAGGCCAAAGGGAATGTATTGGGAGGTTCTTGGGGAAGTTCCCCCAACACTGGCCGTTGCTATTTCAGGGAGGGTTGGAACCCAGCCTGAGGTCTCCTCCCTTCTCTTCCCACCTATGGCCCCATCTAGTCTCCCAAAGGGCCTTGCACACTTCCATGTGGATACACCAGCCAATATGTCTATGCTCTGTTTTGACGTTCCATCAATGGCCACTTCTTGGATGTCCCTTGTGCTAGGGGTGTGCATACCACAGGTATAGATCCCCCTTGGAAGCATGGAAATAGGGAAGAGGTCCCGGAAGCCCTGGAAGTGGACTTGAGCTGTTTGGGCAGGACTTCCAGATTATGGCTTTAGATACCCAGGGCATGGTGTAGAAGTATGGAAGAGGTGCAGTCAGTTAGGCATGTGGCCTCCTTACTCTGTATGGAGAACCATGGCAACAGTAAAGCCACGTAGTCTTCCAAAGTGCAGGGCCCAGGGTATGGGCCCCTCTTGCCAGAGTCTAAGAGAATACTACTTGCAGCTGCACTCACCAATGTGGTAACCATTAACTACATGGAGCTATACACCTTGAAATTAATTAAAATTAAGTAACATTTAAGATTCACTTCCTCAGTTGCATTAGCCACATTCCAAGAGCTCCATAGCATGTGTGGCTCATGGCTTTTGCACAGGACAGCACAGAGGTAGGACATTTCCATTATCACTGAAAGTTCTGCTGGACAGCACTGGTCTGGAGGCTGGAGAAGTTGAGTGATGTGCCCAGCGTCACATAGCTAGATAGGTCTGGAGCTGAAACTTGAACTTAAGTCTCTCTGATTCTAAATCCTATATTCATTTTTCTTCCCTGACCTTGAAAAAAATCAAATTTATCCCTCCCAGTGCTTCTTAATCTGTAAAACAAAAATAAAATCCTCAAAGGGCTGCAATGAGGATTAAATGAGATCATGTCTATAAAATGCTCACAACAGAGTAGACTGCAGGTTCTCAGTAAACTTTATTTCCTTCTCCAGCCTCAGCAGGGACTGGAAAAAGCAGCAAAAGGATTAAGAAGCTCTTTCTACTTCAGATACTCAGAATAAGAGAAAAGTGGCTTGAAAACTGGATGAAAGACACTCCCTGGTAAACATTTCAGTGATGTTACATCTACATTGGAAAGACAACTAGTTATGATGTAAGATACCAAGGATTAGCTAATTAAACTCCAAAGCCAGCCTTTTTGTTTGAAAGATAAGAATAATTTCATGCAACGGGGACTTAAAAAAAAAAAGGTGTGGGGAGTATATTCATTCTCTGATTATTTATAACTGAGAGACAGGAAGAATCCATTAGACATTAAAGCTCCACACTTAATAGCTAGATCCGTTTTCTTATAAATGCTGCTTTCAGGATTAAAAAAGGCATGTTTCTGAAGATGTGTCATCTTGGAGTGCAAAGCTTCGGCCCTGGACTAACTGTGAGGATGCTGGTCAAAGCCCTCATGTTCCTGCTCTGTGTGCTTGAGGAGTCCCCTGTCCTCTTTGGGCTCACTGTCCTCTCTGGGAATAGAGGGTTGAGTAAGAAGGGTCTAGTGGTCTTTCATCTTTAATGACACAGATTCTATAAAGAACTAGAATAATCTTTAAGAACAATCATTTAAAAAATTAAAAGTAGCCTGCTTTATGTTTGATACGTGACCAGGGCTTAAGCATGTATAAGAAAGCTCCCTTCTGGAGGGGGAGGTTTTTGCAGCATTTGTTGGTAAAGCTGTGAGGGGTAGATTTTCATTTTCCTCCACTATTCGTCACATCATTGATGAAGAAAAATTAGACTGCCATACAATAGAATTCACTCTTCTAGAGTAAAAGAAAATGCAAGAGTCCTTCATTGACAGGAGTTTTCTAATACGCCTCTTGTTAAAGCTATTTATTTATTTGTTCATTCACTGATTCAACAAATATTTCTTGAGACCTAATGATATGTACCAGGCAGTTTTCTGGGGATGCAAGGGTGAGCAAAGTAGACACAGCCCTGGGAAGACAGGGCATCAAGAAAACGGGTAAATATGTGATATGTCAGGTGGTCATGAGTGTACTAGCAAAAAGTAAATTCAAGGTGAGTAGATAAAGTCTGATGCGGTGGAGGAGGCTGATATCTAGATCGAAAGATCAAGGAAGACTTCTTCGAGGAGGTGACATTTGAGCAGATTCCTGCATGAAATGGGTAAGTGGGTCTGGGGACAATCTGGTGCAAGGATGTTCCAGGTAGTGGGGGACAGTGAAAACAAAAGCCCAAGGTGGGAAAAGGCTTCACAGGTTTAATAACAGAAGGGCAGAAGTGCCTAGAACGAAGTGTGGAGAGGTGAGCAGGTCAGAGCATGGAGAAGGGGAAGGAGGTAAGGCCAGAGAGATGGCCAGGGACTAACTCCATCAGGGGTCAGCACACTGACCTTTGAGCCAAATCCAGCCTGATGACTCTGTTTTTAAATAAAGTTTTATTGGAACACAGCCACACCCATTCATTTACTATTGTCTATAGCTGCTCTTTGTACTATGGCAGGAAGTGAATAGCTACAACAAAGACTTACAGCTTGCAAAGCCTAAAATATTTATGATCAGGCCCTTAACAGAGAAAATTTTGTCTCTAGCTTAGATGATTATTTGACTGGTGTATCTTGCACCCTATCCCTATGTTTTCAACCTGGCTGTGCCATTTTAATATCTTATAAAACAGAATATTGCTAGCCTTTGTCTTATCCAACATGACCATCTCTGTGTTATTAACAACAATTTTAATCTTTTGACATACAGTGTGTTTGTATTTTTGAATCTATTTCTACCATGCTGTATCTTACTTTCCATTCTCTATCCTCTTTCTCACTGCTTGTCTTTCTTTCTTAATTCACTCCATTCGTTTCTATTGAACACATTTTTATGATTCACTTTTCCCTTTCAAATCAAATGTAAATAAAATCTATATATTGTAATAGGTTGACTTTGCAAATATTTTTCCTGACTGAGTCATGTGATAAGTCCCTCAGTGGTAATTGTTGGTGTTTGCTTGATTTGTTTTTCTACATAGTTATCACCATTTCAAGCTTAAACTGTTTGCCGGTTCACTAAATCTCCTCTCAAGATGTTTTCTCGAATCACATTGTCTATGGGTTTCATCTTCTTGAGTGGGTCTATTATTCTGCCTCTTCCACTGGCTCACAGTGCCCTCCTGCCATCTCCGTCTGCCATCCTCTAGGGGTTCTCCACTTCTCTTCTGTTTCCTGCACCGTGTCTTCCTCTTTCTGGGCTTGCTGTCTCCTTTGGAAACAGCACACTGTCAAGCAGCTCCCTGAGAAAGGGTGCACAGGAGTGCTGTGTCCTTGCATTTCTGAAAATATCCTTAATCTGTATTCATACCTGATTAGCAACTTGTCTGACTCTAGAATTCTACACCAGAATTTATTTTTCTTTAGAATTTTGAAGGCATTCACCATCATGTCCTAGCTTGCAGCTGGAAAGTCCAAAGCCATTCTTAAACCTGATCTTTTGGATGTGACAATTTCCTGACTGAAAACCTGAGAGATGTATTTTTCCCCAGTGTTCTGAAATTTCACCATTATGTGCTTTAGTGCTAGGTTTGACCATAAGGTGGGTTCTCTCAGTCCGGACTCTTCTGTTTGTCTGGAAAATATTCTTGAATTATTTTCATAAAGATTTGCTCCCTTTTATTCTCTCTCTCTCTCTCTTTTCCTTTCTTTTCTGGGGTTCTTATGATTTGAACATTGGATTTCTGGATGCCTCTTTTTAAAAAAGAAAATTCTTTTTGGTCTCATTTGGGGGGTCTTGAGGGGGTTCCTCAACTCTGTCTGCCAACCCTTCTATTGAGTTTCTAATTTCTGCTTTTCCCAAGATCTTTTTATTCTGTTTCTTTTTATAGCATCTAATTTCCATATCTTTTCGTGTGTTTTTGAGGATACTGGTGATGGCGATTGGCACGGAGATCTTCCACAGCAAGGGCGCCTGGCGCTTAGGGAACAAAACACCTGATGTGGGGGTGTGGAGGAGGGGAGCTGGGGAGGCGGAGACTTTGGGAGGGAGGTGTGAGAAAGAAAGGGAGAAGACGCAGGGGCTAGGAGGCACGGATTTTGGTGAGTAAAAAAAAAATTTAAAGGAAACTTGCTTGCTTTTGTGCCAACAGTTTCCCCTTTGTGCGCTCCTTAAGAGACGTTGGCAGACAGATCTGTCTCCTCTGCAAGACCTTTGTAAGGGTACTTGTATTTCTTTCAGGTGGGACCCAACGCTGAGGCGCCTTTAGGGCAGCCTGTCTTATAAATTCAGATTGTGGCCAGGCGTGGTGGCTCACCTTTGTAATCCTAGCATTTTGGGAGGCCAAGGCCGGTGGATCAACTGAGGTCAGGAGTTCGAGACCAGCCTGGCCAACACGGTGAAATCCCGTCTTTACTAAAAATAACAAAAATTAGCCGGGTGTGGTGGTGGGTGCCTGTGATCCCAGCTACTCCGGAGGCTGAGGCAGGAGAATCACTTGAACCTGGGAGGTGGAGGTTGCAGTGAGCCAAGATCATGTCACTGCACTCCAGCCTGGGCAACAAGAGCAAAACTCCATCTCAAAAAAGAAAAAAAAAATTCAGATTGCACCCAGTTCCTTCGGGAATCTGATTTCACTTGGGACCTCCAATAGGAAGTTACTCTTCCCTGTGAAGGGGGTGGAGCACGACCCTCCTTGTTAGGCCCAAGTAGAGTTTTGCACGTTGGACGGTAAATAACATATAGGTCCAGATAGCAGAGTAGCCATTTCTAGGCCATCACTAAATAGCACAAGACATTTCTCAGAAGGCCTTGGAGTTAGCAAAGCTCCCTAGGGAGGGAGAGGAGATAGTTGTTCTTGAAGGAATTCTGGGCATGGGCAATAGCAGAGAGGACTGAGTGCTAAGGGACATGGCAGGAGAAAGCCGCAGGTCTCAGAGTGGATGGGTTATAGGCAGGCAGAGCACGGGGGCACACCTGAGCATTCAAGAAGCAAACAAGGCTGGGCGCGGTGGCTCACGCCTGTAATCCCAGCACTTTGGGAGGCCAAGGTGGGTGGATCACAAGGTCAGGAGATCGGGACCATTTTGGCTAACACGGTGAAATTCTGTCTCTACTAAAAACACAAAAAATTAGCTGGGTGTGGCGGCACGCACCTGTAGTCCCAGCTACTCCGGAGACTGAGTCAGGAGAATCCCTTGAACCTGGGAGACGGAGATTGCAGTGAGCTGAGATCATACCACTGCACTCCAGCCTGGCAACAGAGCAAGACTCCATCTCAAAAAAAAAAAAAAAAAAAAAAAGCAGCAGACACCCCTGGGGCCTGAGCGGATCTGAACAGAAACAATCCCCAGCCTCATCTGTCTGTAAGATTCCACCAATCACTTACTAAGAAGAAAAAGGAAATTCTACTACGTGGAATTGTGCTGTGAAGGGTTAGTAGTTACTATTTACGGTTAGTCCCAGGCATATCCTCTTTCTTAGAGCCGTCGCACAGATGGCTGGCTGCTGCCCGAGAAAGAAATCAGAAACTCTAGATACTGTTTGCTTGTGTACATGGCCCACCCTCTTCACACTCAGTTCACAGTGTGGATGCAATGCTTGTGCTAGTTCACTGCCTTCATAAAACCTTGCGCTAAAGAGCTCACCTGCAAAACAGTATGTACGGTATGGTCTTTTAGAAACTTTTCTCTACATATACTCAGAAATATTTGCATAGTAAAAAATGGTAGAAGGCACAGTGTAAAAATGTGCACAGTATTATTTTGATCAGTGAAGTTATATATACATGGTTTAAAAATTTTCTTTTAGCATATCTGCATTTTCTGAATGTTCTGATATGCAGATGGTTATTTCAGCAATAGTAATGGCTGTAGTCACACCTGCTGACGTTTGGTGTAGATACTGTGTGGGGTACCCCACGGCCTTTCTCCCCTTTCTTTCTCACAGCATTCATCATAGCGGAGACTTCCATCATGCCCTCCCGCAGATGAGGAAACCCATTCACATGCCTCAGCTCATGCAGAATTGGGGTCTTCCTAACTTCGAAGCTCATATTTTGTTAAGTTTTGTTTTTCTTTTTATCTTCCTGAAATATTTCCTAAGGAAATGCTATACAGTGGAAGATGTTCACTGCCGGCTTTTTACCACCCTCTAATGATGCTGTGTGTTCTAAAATGACAATTTTATAAGAAATATGTCTGCACATAGCACAGCATGGAAGGAATTTGCAAAACAAATGATCCTTTCAGGTTGGGCACAATATAAAGCATATATATATATATATTTTTTTTTTTCTTTTGACTTTTCCTATGCCCTTTGATGTGATGGATGTTTTAGTCCTAGAATAAGAAATGTGATTTTACAAAATGATCTCTCTCAAAAGCCAGTGTCTCCTTGGCATGTCAGCAAAATGCAAAATCCCTAGCATTTTAAAACAAAAATATGACAGGCTGTTCTGGCAGTACTTGGAGCCCAGAGCTACAATCTCAGGTTTTGAACAGTGAGTAAGGAAAATGCTATTCAGACTTGGGAGCTCTGATGAGATTATCTTCCCCATATCACCAGGACTCTGACACATGCCTGCTATCCCAGCTCTCCAGGACCTAAAAGGTCAGTCTTGCTCGTGTCCGCAGCAGGCTTTGCTGTGGAATTGTCAGTGTTTTCATTTGTCTTTCTAGTATAACTTCATAACTTACAAGACTTTAGAAAAATGAGACTGGCTTTTTTTTTTTTTTTTTTTTTTTAAAGGCTGTTGCCCAGGCTGGAGTGCGGTGGGGTGATCATAGCTCACTACAGCCTGTAACTCCTGGGCTCAAGGGATCCTCCCACCTCAGCCTCCTAGGTAGCTGGGACTACCGTTCCACACCACCACTCCTGGCTAATTTTTAATTTTAATTTTTTTTTTTTTTTGTAGAGATGGAGGTCTCCCTGTGTTGCCAGGGTCTCACATTCCTGGCCTCAAGTGATCCTCCCTTCTCGGCCTCCCAAAGAGCAGGGATTACAGGCATCTCGAGGATGGCCTTCTTAAGAATCATTCTCTTAGACCATTTAAATTCTTTCTCTGGAAAGATTTTTGGGCCTTTTTGACCAGGTTATATTTCATACCAGAAAGAGATGCACATGACCTTAAGAAGAATATTTCTGTTCCACTGTTAAGAGGTGCAACAAGTTGGGTGGCATATCCCAGACCCTTGCTGCCTTCATAGCTTACCAGCTGTTCCCTTCATCAATGCATTCTCTACTACATGTTCCAGAGTGAGTTTTCTAGGGAAGTAACAACCCTCATCAGATGGATCCCATGTCCTACGTCACCCACTGGCTTCCCAGTCCTCCCAGGGCAAAATCCAGCCCCATCAGCATGGCCTCCAAGACCCTCTGCTCCAGCTTCTATGCCAACCTCATTGCAGCAAACACCCCTTCCCAATCACCTACATTCCAGCCATTCAAAGCTGCTTGTTTCCCCATGAGTCTGCCGTGCACTCTGAAGCTCTCTGCCTTTGCCTATGTTCCCAGTGCTTAGGATGCCAGCGTGACCCCTTATCCACCGCAAAAACTCACTGAAATTCTAAGTTAAGTTCAAATGCAGCCACCTCTAGGAAGCTTTTCTTCCCCTCTATTCTCTCCCTCCACTGGCCCACTTCACTCTCCCATTGAATTATGTCCTCCCGCCCTCCAGGCTGTGATGTACTCTGCAAATCCCTCCAGAGTGGTTCTTGGCATGCTGTGTTGTGATTGTGACAGTGTAGTGTTCATAGCATGAAGTTTGAAGTCAGATAGACCTGGGTTGGGATTCTAGATTCCCCACCTGTCACCTGTGTGACTTTGGGCAGGTTATTGTACTCTTGCAGAGTTAGTTTCCTGTCTTTGAACTGAGAAATAATGGAAACTCCTCTCAAGGTTGTGAAGATCCAATAAGGTCATGCATGACAGTACAGATGTGGTACCTGGAATATGGAAGCTGTCAACACACGGGAGCTGCTGTCCTTATTTCTGTCATTGGTTGCCTCTGTGCCTGCCTCCCTTCTGGACCAGGAGACCCTGAAAAGTGATTCATTTCTGTAATGTAAATGCCCATGACAGGGCGTGGCCCAGAGAGTTGGTGCTTAGAAAACATTCCAGATTGCTCAAGGCAAAGCCCCAGTGGAGTGTTACCATACTTGCTGAATAATGTAAAATCAATATTCTAATCACAGCGTAAATTGGTACAGGTCCACAGCGCCATCCCTAACACCAGAGCTTGGCTGCAGATCCCAGTAGGAGCCCACATTTACAATGCTAAATCCATTTCCCCCACTACGCCTGGTAGGCTCCTTTGCAAATTATATGCCTCAAAGATTAGAAATAGTACTTGCATTTCAGCCCAAATTCACATTTTACTTTCAAATGCTCCTTGATTCATCTAGTTCCCAAAAGTGGTCATTGTTCTCTCAGAATTCCCTCATATTCAGGAAATTGAGCAGAAATGAAAACATAGGCAGGAATAGCAGAGGTAATTTTCTGGTTTAGTGGAAGACTTCTGTCAATGGCATGGTGCTTGGGCCTTTGGAGAGACTCTCTTCATGGAGTCCTGGAGCCTGGGTGGGAAGGCTTCATTCTCAGCATCCCAGCTCTGCCCTCACTGGCTGCGAGGTTTTGGTTCAGCCACCCTGAACCTCCTGAGCCCCTGTCTCTGCCTGTGTGTGGAACTGTGCCTCCCCTCGCTGAGCAAACTGTCGGGCACAGAGTAGGTGCTCAATTAGTGAAATATTATTAATGGTAATTTCTAATAGGATGATCTCAGTGGGAACTTGGAGCCAGTTTGCCCCCGGCTATGGCTGCTTAAGTGACCTGGTAAGATCTGTCTCATTGCCAGACATTTGTCAAAGAACTGACCCTTGCAGAGAACTGACCCCCCAGAGGGTGGGCAAAGTTATTGCCTAGCCTGAAGTAATTAGAGGGCAGTGAGGCTTTTAAGTAGATGGGACAGCCAGATATCTACTACTTCATCTGCCCCAGACCAGCTGCCTGGTAGTTAAGTCTGGATTCTAGCAAGAGAATGCAGGTGCTCTAGTGAAAAAAAGGAGATGGAGCTATCACAGCCAATGATGGACCTTGGGGCCCAGGCAGCTCTAGGTAGGCTCCCCTTCCCATGCAAAGAGGAGACAGAGCCATTCTTCTACTCCACTTTGCCATGCGTTCCTGCACCTCTTGACCCAGAGCATGTTTGGGATGCCTTTAGAGAGCCAGCAGCCTGACCTGGCCAGTGAGGAAGGCGCTGCTCCAGAGCAGAGGGATCCCAGAGAGCTGCAGTGACAGAGCCAGCAGCTGGCCTGGGCCCAACGCCATGTTTAGAAGAGCAGCAGTGATGCCAGTGTTCCTGCTGCAGTTACCCGGAAGTGGCGTGGGAGCGGGGAAAGGTCACCCAACAAGCAAGCAGAGCAATGGGACAGCCCCAGTGGGAACCTCTGGGTCCCGCCAATTGCCTTTATGGCTGCTATGTGCTGGCAAGCCAAGGAGGACTATGGGGCAGGCGGTAGGGGAATTCCTGGGTTCAGCAGAGCATATGGAGACTGGCAGCCTGTTATATGGAGCATATGGAGGAGCAGAGTGCTGCTTAGTGGAGAAATGGACCTAAGGCTTCAGAGGATGATTTTTCAAGATGGAACTGGGGAGTTTAGTGGAATAATGGAGAGGCTACCGAGTTGGCAGGAATAGAGCTAGAACATGAACACAAGGGGGAGTCCTCTGGGGCCTTCTGGAAATACCTGGGGTAGGGACTTAGCTGGGGCTGGTTGTCACCAGTCAGGCATGGGGGGTGGGGGGCGGTGAGACGGTGCAGCTGGAATGAGTACTGTTCTCAGTGGCCTCATTTATACTCCCAGGCACGCGGGGCTTAAGGAAATTTGGTTGTATGATATTACACTGCACTTGCAAATGTAAGAAATTGTTGACAATAATAAAAACAAGAAGGGGATTTACTCTACTCAATGCCCAGAGTTCCCTCTTGCATTTAGATGTGATGAATCTGAGAAGAATTTTCCTTTGAATATTGGTAGAACTTCGCATTCAAAAACGTGTTCAATTTCCCTCACGATTAATTATGATAATTGTTCTCTCCTTGTTGTCATGCTCTGCTAACTATGAAATGATGAGATTAGATTACAATTTGCATATATTAGCCTTGAAATAAAGTTTTTTTCCCCTTGTTCTGGCCCTCTTTTTAGGCTTAGCAATAGGAGAATCCCTCCCCGTATGCCCTGTCTCCTGACCCAGGTGCAGGTGGTGAGAAGGGAGTGATGGAGAGATTCACAGACAAGGTGACTTCAGCTGGGTTTTGGAGGCTTGGCGCTCAAGAGAGATGGCGTCAGGTGGAAGAGACAAATGACTCTGCATGGGGAAGCCATGGAAGCTGGCAGAATGGCCCAGACTGTGTGTGTTGGGGTCCCCAGCAGAGAGAGCTGCTGAGGGAGGGATGTGAGCATTGAGAGTTGAGGGCAGAGAGGTGGGCTGAGACTCGATTGTGGAAATGCTGAGCCAACCCGTACCCATTTTCAGAGTGCCTCTGCCCCTTGCCCACTCCAGTGCACTATTGGAAGCTTTGGCTTCCTTGAATCTCTTCTTTGTGCTGCTGCAAGCCCAGGACACCCTCGTGCCCCTGCCTCCAACATCACCTCTGCACTTTTTATGACCTCTTTTGGCTCAACCTTCAAGCTGCTTAGCTGGGGGGTAAGAAAATAATTTTGATTACCTGATGAAGTCAGTGCTGCGGGCTGGGGCTGTTGGAGAGGCAGTGCCATCCTCGGATCCATCACAGATTGGGAGCCAGGGCCCGATGCATGTACTGACGTGTGGCTTCAGGTAAGTCATTCATCCTCTCAGAGCTTCCTTTGCTCATCTGCAAAGTGGGCCTAGTAATAGCTACTTGCCTGGCTGCCTGAGGATGATGAGCATCCCTCGTGCTCTGTCTCTTGGCAGAAAACAGGGTATATGGGAGAGACCTTGCAATGCAGTGTCTCAGCAGACACTGAGCTCATCAGACAGAAAATCACCATGTGGTGGACAAATCTGACAAAAGCGTTGCTGTTTTACCAGCTGCTGTGTTCTGCATCAACTACTGGAGGGATCGGGGAATAATCCATCTGAAGCAGAGCTGCCCTTTTGGTGGAAAGACACCTGCATAGGCTTTTGGGGAGTGCGGGTGAGACTAGACTGCTCTGGGGATGAAGAAGCAGCAGCGCTGAACCTTAACTGGCTTTGGGCTTTCTCAGGGAGCAGGTGAGGGCCAAGGGCAGACAGCTGTAGCCAAGTGGCTGTGTAATTAACAGCACGAGGAAGAGGCTTGGCTCTGAGTAGAAGACCCTGGAAAAGTGGCAGCAGGCCAGGCTGTGGAGAGAGATGGCTGTGGGGCTTGCACTTTGGCTTTAGAGTCTTGGTTCCTAATATTGAAGTTCAAATGTTGATTTTCTGGAGAAAAACATATGCTTATAAATCCATAGACTAACTCTGGGAAGATGCATAAGGAACTTAAAAGCAGTCATTCCTTTTGGGGTAGGAAATTGGAGTGTAAGGAGGCTTCACTCTTTAACCATATATACTGTTTTGTATGCTAATCAAATAAATAATCTAAGATATAAATTCTATGGTTTTGCTTTGGAATTTGCCTGTGACATCCTCAAGTCTTGAGTAGAGACTGAAAGTGCAGCAGCCTTGTCTTGGTGCATTGTCCCACATAAGAAGGAGGGGCTGGGTTCTCCACACCTGGGAGAAGGGGCCACCATGCGTCTGGCGCAGAGGGGAGAAGTGGGGAGATGTGCTTCTGGGTGAGAATAAGTGGTGATCATTCCCTGCGAACCCTGAGAAGTGGTTGAGAGGAGCCTGGCTTTCCTGTGGTCCAATAGGATGGGGACTTGGGTTACTTTGCTTGGTAGTTATGGAAAAGGTAATCCCAGACAGCTTTGAGGACTTGGCAGCTCTCAAGCTGAAGCAGATTCCAGTGTGTGAAATGAAGAAAAGATTGAGGACACTGGCTCAAAGACAGGCATCTTCTCTTTAAAATCTTGCGTCACCCTCACTTCCACTTTATGAGATGAGTATTCTTATTCCCGTTTTAGGGATGAGTAAACTGCATCTTAGAAGTGAAACGATTTGCTCAAGGTTAACAGACCTGACTGCAGATTCAAAATGCTTTCCAGCACCTCACAGCAGCTTCTCAGTAGGAGGGGAAGGAGAGGAAGAGGGAAGAGGAGATGGAGATTCAGAGAAGAAAATAGAGGGGACTTAGACCATTGAGACACTGGCTCATTATGCTGGTGGGCTTGAACCCTTAATGGACACCTCCAAAGTCCCTGATCTAGCTTCCAAATTCAGAGTGTAGTACCTTTGAAAAGAAGCCTGCTTTGAAAGGTGGTGGGGAGTCTCTTTAGAAGTGCATATTTGCAGAAGGCTGAGGGAGTAGGGCAGATAAGGAAGGGCTGTGGGCTGAATTATTTAGGGACTGTCTCAGAACCGTCTCTCTAATATGCTCACAGTGGCTGCAGTTGCTTTCTCTAACAACACCAGTGGAGTCACTCTCTGCTGTCCTGGTTTGAACTTTTTATGTGGTAAGGAGAACAACATCTAAGCAAATCTGGCTTAGAAAACAAATCTGGATTAGCCAGGCATGGTGGCTCATGCCTATAATCCCAGCACTTTGGGAGGCTGAGGCAGGAGGATTGCTTGAGCCCAGGAGTTCAAGACCAGCCTGGGCAATAGTGCAAAACCCATTTCTACAAAAAGCAAACAAACAAACAAACAAACAAACAAACAAACAAACAAACTAGCCAGCTGTGATGGCGCATGCCTGTAGTCCCAGCTACTCTACTCGGGAGGCTGAGGTGGCAGGATCGATTGAGCCTGGGAGGTCAAGGCTGCAGTAATCCATGATCACGCTACTGCAATCCAGCCTGGGCAACAGAAAAAGTTCCTGTCTGAAAAATAAATAAAATAAAATAAAATAAAATAAAATAAAATGCACTGGGTCATTTGGCTAAACAGTCCAGGGGCAACTAGTTTCCCAGATGGTGAGATCTGAGGCTCACCTGAAGCACGCGTCTGAGGATGCTCTGCTTGTCAGTACTATTCCTGGAGAGAGTAGAGTTAGGCAGACTTTTTCCCAGTCGTGGATGCCAGAATGGTGGTCAAAAGTTCCTGGATCAGCATCCTTCTTCATTAATATCCAGCAGGAAAAAGAGAGAGTTTCTCCTTAGTTCCCTTGGATGAAGCATAAACTTTTCCTTTTTCTTTAAAAGCTTCAGCTTCTCATTGACTCATCGGATCGAATTAGTAACCTGCTCAGCAGGGTCCACTTGGGAAGCTTATTTACGTTTCATTTAATTTATACCTAATGACTCAGAGGGGAGGGGAAGTGAATTCTCTAGTGGTTTATTTAAATTCTTTGTGATGCCCAAAGAGTGGCTGAAAAGCAGAGAAGGGCGGGCAAGAAGAGAAGATAGATGTGCTTTCCTGGGGGTCAGTCTACCCATGGGTGGCCTGCCACTGTCCTCTGTCAGCAAGGCATGGGAACAAAGACAAGCTCTGAATGGGAGTCCCTCCTGATGCAGCAGCCGAGCCAGAGACATGATTCCTTAGGAAGGGCTCTGATGGATGTTTGGAGGGTGTCCTGGTATTGGTGGATGAGGCATGCTGTCTATCTGAATGCTTTATCCCCCACCATCAGTTTTTGATTATGAAAAATTTAAAACATATAGAAATTTGCATATTGCAGTGATCACCTTATACAGTGATCACCTTATACACCTAAAATTTTAAAAATTTTAATTTTTAAAAATTAAGATTTAAAAAAATGTATATGAACTACTTGGAAGCCAGTTGCAAATACCAGGACACTTTTTCCATCAAGGCTTCCTCATGGATCTCCTAAAAATGACATCCCCTCCATAATCATGACATAGTTATCACACCTGGACAATTAACACTCATTCTCTAATAGCATCTAATATCCAGAGTCAATTATTCCCCCAAAGTCTTTTTCGCTGTGTTTTATTTGAACCAGGATGCAGTCCGTGTTGATGCCTTTATTCTGTAGTCTCTTTTATTTTAGACCATTACCCGCACTTTAAAAAAATGACACTGACGGTTTTGAAGAGACCATCTGTTTCCTCATTCCAATCTATTCCTCATTTTTCTCATAAATTTGAGATTAAATATAAAGGCTTAATAATTAGATAGATTCAAATTAAACCTTTTTGCAAGATGATTTCACTGGCAATGCTATGATCTTCATATCATGCCACTGCCCCAGCTATCAGGTCATTAATGTGGTGCAGGCAGTGCTAGTCAGAGCTCTTCCTGGTAAAGGTGCTTCTTCTTCTTTGAATTTGTTAAGTGCCTCTGGAGTGACTCTTGGAAACAGAAGCGTTGGCCTGTCCCCAAGCAACCTTCACCTAATAGTTTTAATATTTAATGACGAAACTTCCCTGAAGCAATGATTTCATTAGAAATTGTTGGATGATGGTTTTTCTTCCTTTTTTTTTTAAATTATACTTTAAGTTCTGGGATACGTGTGCAGAATGTGCAGGTTTGTGACATAGGTATACACGTGCCATGGTGGTTTGCTGCACCCATCAATCCGTCATCTACATTAGGTATTTGTCCTAATGCTGTCCCTCCTTTAGCCCCCCACCCCCGACAGGCCCCGGTGTGTGATGTTCCCCTTCCTGTGTCCATGTGTTCTCATTGTTCAACTCCTGCTTATGAGTTAGAACATGAGTTGTTTGGCTTTCTGTTCTTGTGATAGTTTGCTGGGAATGATGGTTTCCAGCTTCATCCATGTCCCTGCAAAGGGCATGAACTCATCCTTTTTTATGGCTGCATAGTATTCCCTGGTGTATATGCCATTTCTTTATCCAGTCTAAAGATGATGGTTTTTCTTTTTTTCTTTCTTCTTTTTTTTTTTTTTTTTTTTTTTTTGAGATGGAGTCTTGCTGTGTTGCCCAGCCTGGAGTGCAGTGGCGCAGTCTTGGCTCTCTGCAAGCTCCACCTCCTGGGTTCACGCCATTCTCCTGCCTTAGCCTCCCGAGTAGCTGGGGCTACAGGCGCCCACCATCACACCCAGCTAATTTTTTTGTATTTTTATTAGAGACAGGGTTAGCCAGGATGGTCTCGATCTCCTGATCTCATGAGCTGCCCGCCTCGGCCTCCCAAAGGGTTTTTCTGATTCTATCATCTTGGGTTATTTTAGAGTGGGGATGTCTCTGCTTCCAGAGCTGGAACCAGGGAGGCATAGGAAACTTAGAATGAATGCTGTCCACCCACCACCCTGAATCTTCTTTGACCCCAGTCACCCTGCGGGTGTTGGTTTGGACACCACTTTGTCTAACAGGCCTTCTCTGACCACCATAGTCTACATTAGGTATCCCTATTAGTCTCTGCTATTGTACTTATCACAGTTTATAAGGATATTCTATTTGAAGTTTAGCTGCTTAATCTCACTGGACTGCACAGGCTGTATCTATTTTATTTACCATTGTTTATCCAGCATCAAGCTCAGAGCCTGGCATAGTAGGTGCTCAATAAACATATTTTGCTGGTTGTAGCTAGTCAAACACAGACTATGAGGTCATATAGGACTTAGCTCAAGTCCTGGCTTGACCAGTTTTGGGCAATCATTTGACATCTCTGAATTTCAGAGAGCTTAACAGCTTATTTGAGAATCAAAGGAAATAATATATGGAAAATATTTGTCTGCAGAGGAGAGTTCCCTTTCCTTCCTTCTCCAGCTACTGAAGCCTACATTTTTGCAAGACCCTTTGCAGTCTCAATCCAACTTGTCTTATTAGCCTCCTCCCTTCCCACCTCCTTCCCCCCACTCCTGCCTGTATTCCAAAAATGCAAGATTATTTACTGGGCAGTAAAGGAAGTTTGCCCAAAGAGATGCATCTGGCCTTTGGTCTCCTGGGAGGTGATTAAGTGTTTGGAATTTCCTGCCTGATAAGACTATCTTTGTTTGCCTGAGGGTTTTGAACCATACCAGATAGACCACACTAATAATGTAATTTACAGTAGGGGCTTTGGATCATGCAATATCAGCTCTACCTCTGGAGGAGTTGGAGACTAAGCTCAGGCATGTCGGTGACCAAAAATGTCTTTATGACTAAGTTCCAAACTCCGAACATCAAGACTTGGCTGAGCTTCCCCGGCTGGCAATTCCCCATGTGTATTGTGGCACATCATTTCTGGGAGAAGTAGGCACTGTCCACGTGACCCCACTGGGAGAGGAAAGTGGGAGGTAGTTCTTGGAACTCTCTTGGACCCTGCCCAATGCACCTCTTCCCTTGGCTTATTTTAATCTCTATCCTTTTACTGAAACAAACCACAACCATAAGCACAATAGCTTTTAATGAATTCTCTGAGGCCATCTAGCAAATTACTGAACCTGGGTTTGGAGCTAGGGACCCCTCAGAATTGTAGTTGGTGTCAGAAGTGGGAATGCTCTTGGGGACTCCTGCACTTTACATCACTTTCCATGTTATTTTCCACCCCCATGTGGCTGTGTACACTGTTTCCCCTTCCTGGAACGCCCTCACCCTCTTCATCCATCCTAATGCCTTTATCCATCCATCAGAACTACTCAGCCATCCTTCTCCATCCCTCTCAAGCCTTCATGGACTTTCCACACCCAGGGTAGAGTGGCTCTTTGCTGCCCAGGTGAATGTGATTGCATTTACCAAGTAGAAATAGAGAAATTATTAATGAATTTGCCCTTCTCCCCTCCTAGTCTAGATACTCTTCCCAAGTAGGGCCCAGGCTTGCTTTCCTTCCCTCTGTTCCTTTCCTTCAAGTGTGAGTCTATCCAGAGCCTCTGCTAACCCTTAGGAGGCCATCGCATACCAGGAAATGTGTCCTTTTTGAGCATCCCATAGCATGGCTTAGTCGCTGAAGTGTAGGCTACATTTCAGTCCTCACTTGCTCACTCAGCTGGACGTTCTCCTGCAATGTGCACTCTGCATGGCATACACAGCTATCCTGCATGCATTCTTGCATTAATTTATATTCACATATGCATTTGCACATTCCTACACTCAATACTCCCTGCAACAATGCCTACTTTAAGAACACAATGATGCCTATGACGTATCCCTCATCTATGCATCCCAGAGCCTGGCACTATGCCTTGTGCTGAGTAAGGGCTTTAATGAATATATGAATAAATGAATAATTAAATGAATGACTCAAATTAGTGCAACTATTGCAGATACTGTGGATCCACCAAGAATGTACATTTAGACTTCCTCCAAGAACAGTGATTCTGAAGCTTATCTTTGTCAGGGCCTCTTTGGAACTCTGATGAAACCTCTAACCAGTCTCCTTCTGGCAAAATGTACATTGACATACTCTGTATAAGTCAGGATATCATAGGATCTTCTGAGGTAATAAACAGCTCTGAAATCTTATTGGCTTAACACTGCAGAATTCTGCTTTTTCCTGAAGTTGATGCTCCATGCAGGATGGCAGGGACTTTCTGCTCCATATAGACATTCAGGGCCCCAGGTTGTTGGAGTTTTCACCACCTTAAAACACTGGGTCTACTCAGTTACTGTGAAGGGCTACAAAAATGTTGGAGGATTGTTAAATAGCTCTTCAAAGATTTGGTGCAGAAGTGGCACACATTACTTCCATTCTTAGCCCATTGAACAGACCTAATCCCATGGTCCTAACTAATTTCAAGGTCACTGGGGCAGATGTATTGTTTGATGAGTTCCATTGCCTCTTACACACACACATACACACAATTTCAAGGTGATCCATGGATCTTTTAGGGGACCCCATGTTTAAAAGCGGTCAAGGGTCAAGCTATGAAGTGTCTTGAATGCCATGCTAATATTTATATTTATATAAGTCAGGATTTTATATTAGAAGCCAGGATTCACCAGTTAAAGTCCTGCAGTGCTGGACAGTGGCACAGCAGACTAAGCACAGATTGTGCCTTCAGGGTATAAGCAACAAGGTCTGGATGGTGCAAGGGCCATCTATGAGTGGGGGAAGCATCTCCTCTCTGCTCAAATCAATTTTTTGCCCTGTGAGAAGTGGATTCAGTATTTTCACATCTTCTAATTATTCAAGAGGAATCAGAAATCCAGATTTTAATTTAAATCTCCCAATATATAAAATATTGGCTCATTTAAAACAAAAACACCCTGCTGGCCCATGGAAGCCTATTGATGAGCTAGATATGGCATGTGGGCTTCTGGAAGTTTCTGACTTCTGTTAGGAGGGAAACTTTTCCTCCCTCCAGCCCAAGCACTTGACCCACATGCACTCCCTCAGCCTGACCTGTATCTGGGGAGGCAGACCCATACTGTTCAGCTGGTGTTTAAAAAATTCATGCTCATTATTTCTCTCCAGAGCACTGGAAATTATACTTTGCTTCCTTAGAGTTTTTGGTGAAGTCTCTTTAGCCCTGAGCTTACCAGGTTTGCACTGGAAGCCAGTGGGCCATAAGTAAAGCTTGACTTTATTAGCTCATGAGAAGAACCAATCCTCTCTCTTGCCATTTTCATGTCTCCCTTGGGCCTATTGACCAACCAAGGTTGATTAATATGTAGGCAACAGAGAGTGGAACGTACAAATAAAATGGAAGATCAAGCTATTTACAGTTCTTCTGGAGAGAGCAAGTTGCCGAGATTGTCTGCCTGCACCAGCTTCTAATTTGGACACGTTTTATGGGGATGGAGATGGTCATGGTGGGGAGGGGGCTTCCTGCCTGCCAGGCACAAGGCATGAGCTATGCTCATTACCTTCTTTATGTGTTTGCGACTTCATACAGCTTTCAAGGTGCTTTGACATAAATCTTCTCATTTACTTCTCATAGCCAGCAAATGAAGCAGCTGTTATCACCCTTTCCCCAGATGAAGTAATGAAAGTTTAGAAAGGCAATGGTGCCCTCTGCTCCAGTTTCTAGGATGTGACACAGCCAAGTGAAGTGACTTCTCATGAGTGTTTCCTAAAACTATAGGATTTGACATGACATTTCCACAATACAGGCTATTTCCATGAGCCATGTGTATTACTGTGCACGAAATAATTTTTTTCTGAGACAGGGTCTTGCTCTGTCACCCAGGCTGGAGTGCAGTGGAGCGATCACAGCTTACTGCAGCCTCGACTTCCTGGGCTCAAGTTATCCTTCTGCCTCAGCCTCCTGAGTAGCTGGGACTAGAGGCACATGTCACCACGCCTGCCTCTTTTGTTTATTTTTATTTTTTAGAGACAGGATAATGTAGTTTAGATGCTGCCTCCTCTAAATATCATGTTGAATTGTAATCCCAAATGTTGGAGGTGGGGCTTGGTGGGAGGTATTGGATCATGGAGATGGATCCCTCATGAATGGTTTTACACCATCCCCTTGGTGCTATTCTCACAAGAGTGAGTGAGTTCTTCTGAGATCTGGTTGTTTACAAGTGGATGGCACCTCTCCCACCTAGCCCCTACATCCATGTGACACGCTGGCACTCCGCCCAACTTCCACCATGATTATAAGCTCCGTGAGGCCTCACCAGAAGCAGTTCTTGGTGCCATGCTTCCTGTACAGCCTGTAGAACTGTAAGCCAATTAAACCTCTTTTCTTTATAAATTACCCAGCCTCAGGTATTTATAGAGATGTAAGAGTGGCCTAATACATCGGGTCTTGCTACGTTGCCCAGGCGGGTCTCAGACTCCTGGGCTCAAGTAATCCTCCTGCCTTGGCCCCTCAAAGTGCTAGAATTAGGTGCAAGCCTAATCCAGGTGCAAGTCACCACACCTGGACTTAAATAACTTAAAAAAGTAGACTTCATATCACTCCCATTTATATTTAGCTTTGCTTTATGCAGTAATATCTGCAAAATCCCCCATTTTATGTACTTTTGAAACTTTTTCTAATTTGTGTTAAGATAAATAGAATAGAAGCTCTTTGCCCACTGGCTCTGGGTCTCCATTTGTTTTTATTATTGATTTATTTTAACTTTTAAGTTCAGGGGTACATGTGCAGGTTTGTTGCACAGGTAAATTTGTGGCATAGGGGTTTGGTGTACAGATTATTTCACCAGCCAGGTAATAAACATAGTACCTGAGAGGTAGTTTTTTGATCCTCATCCTCCTCCCTTCCTCAACCCTCAAGTAGGCCCTGGCATCTGTTGTTCCTTTCTTTGTGTCTATATGTAATCAGTGTTTAGCTCTCATGTGTAAGTGAGAACATGCAGTATTTGGATTTCTGTTCCTGTGTTAGTTTGCTTAGGATAACGCCCTCTAGTTCCATCCAGTTTGCTGCAAAGGACATGATCTCATTCTTTTTTATGGCCGCACCACATTCCATGGTGTGTATATACCACATTTTCTTTAACCAGTCTACCATTGATAGGTGTTTAGGTTGATTGTCTTTGCTACTATGAATAGTTCTTCAGTGAACACCTGTGTGCATGTGTCTTTATGGTAGAATGATTTATATTCCTTTGGGTATATACCCAATAATGAGATTGTTGGGTTGAATAGTAATTCTGATTTGAGTTCTTTGAGAAATTGCTAAATGCTTTCCACAATAGCTGAACTAATTTACATTCCCACCAGCAGTGTATAAGCATTCCCTTTTTCCCACAACCTCATCAGCATCTGTTATTTTTTGACTTTTTAATAGTAGCCATTCTGACTAGTGTGAGATGGTATCTCATTGTGGTTTCGATTTGCATTTCTCTAATGACCAGTGATGTTGTGCATTTTTTTCATATACTTATTGGCTATGTATATGTCTTCTTTTTAAAAGTGTCTGTTCATGTTCTTTGCCCACTTTTTTTTATGGAGTTGTTTGTGTCTTGCTTGTTGATTTGCTTAAGTTCCTTATAGATTTTAAATATTAGACCTTTGACACAGATTCCCATTAGGAGTAGCATGCTCAGGAGAATTCTCATGGTGGAGGCAGGTGACTTGGACCATCTTGGCTTTGAGGTCACAGCTGTCAGATGGCTCACCCTGTGAGTGCCACTTTTCCTTGGCATGGATGCTCCATCCCTTTCTGAGCTAGGTGGCCTCTCATCAGCCTGTAGAAGTGCAGCCCTGGAGATAGGTCTTGGTCCAGCCCATTTTTCATGTCCTCTCAAAGGTAAGCCTACCAAGAGCCCATGCCCCACATGGAAGAGCTGGCCTCTGGTACAACTCTGCCTGGGATTCTCACCACCCCTGGTCAGTATGGATGTGATCACTAAAGGGAGAGTACCTATCATGTGTGGGTTTCACAGGAATCTTATGAAGTTAGTACAATTAGTATTCCCATTTTACAGATGAGGAAACTAAGTTGCAGTGGTGAAGTCACTTGCCACACAAGTGGCAGGTGATAGAGCTGGGATATGCTCCTGTGTCTGCCTGTCCTTTAAGACAGTACTTGGTTTCCTATATGACATTCTCTCCTAACACTTCAAACTGTAATTGTCAAATGTGTTGACTGAATGAGAAAAGTCAGAATTAAGATGAGAACTCTGCCTCTTCACAGGGCACATGCTACAGCTTTAACTGCATTAAAACTTTCCCCAAATCTCAGCAAGCTAAGAGATTGTGGTGCAGAGGGAAGATGTTTTGTGAGCATCCTGTATGAGATCAGTTTATGTGGGAACCCAGAGAAGGAAGTTGCTCATTCATTCATTTATTCAACAATTATGCTTATTTATTTGTTTTTATATTTTTCCCTTTCTCACTACCTGAACATTTAACAGTTATTTACTAAGCATCTACTATGTGCCAGACACTGTTCGAGGGGCTGGGGGAGAGAACAGTAAACAAGACAAACAAACACCTCGTCTCATGGAAATAGCATCTTGGTGGGAATGAAGCAAACGAGAAGGCAAACAAATAAAATGTATGTAGTGATAATGGCAATGGAGAAAAATAAAGCAGCTTAAGGAGAATAATCATTTACTTTTTGAACCCTATGTGGGGTGCTGGCATAGAGTGGTCAATGTAAGTAACCTGGTGTCTGCCCACAGGGCTCACAGTCTTGGAGGGAGGACAGACTTTAGAGGATTAAATAAGTGCACAAATCAATAAGTTACTCCAAATTGTTGAAAGTTCAAAGGAAGAAAACGATGCATCAGTTTTAGAGAGAAGAAAGGGAGAGCCCTAATTTAACAGGTGTCTCAGTCAGTTTTTACTGCTCTAACAGAATACCAGAGACTGGGCGGCTTAAACAACAAACCTATTTCTCACAGTTCTGGAGACTCAGAGTTGAAGATCTGGGTGACAGCATAGTCAGGTTCTGGTGAAGGCATGCTTCCTGGTTTGTAGGTGGATGCCTTCTTGGTGTATCTGAGGAGAGAGGGAGAGAGAGATAGAGAAAGAGAGGGAGAGAGAGAGAGGAGAAAGAGAGAGAGGAAGAAGAAGAAGAAGAAGGAGACAGGAAGAAGAATAATAAGAAGGAGGAGGAGAGAGGGAGAGAGGAAGGAGGAAGCAAGCTTTCATGTCTTTTATTAGAGCACTGTCTTAGTTCATTTGTGTTGCTATATATGAAGGAATATCTGATACCGGATAATTTACCAAAAAAACAGGTTTATTTGGCTCATGGTTCTGCAGCCTGTACAGGAAGCATGGCACCAGCATCTGCTTCTGGTGAGGGCTTCAGGAAGCTTTCACTCATAGTGGAAGATAAAGGGGAGCAGGTGTCACATGGTGAGAGAGGAAGGATGAGAGAGGGGAGGGAGGTACCAGGCTCTTTTCAACCATTAGCCCTCTAGAAAACTAAAACTAATAGAGCAAGAACCACTCGTTACCTCCAGGAGGCACCAAGCCCTACATGAAAGATCCGCTTCCATGACCAAAACACCTCCCGCCAGGCCTCACCTCCAATACTGAGAATCAAATTTTAACATGAGATTTAGAGGGGACAAACATCCAAACTATATCAGGCACTAATTTTGAAATTACCTGATAGGTTCTTCCTGCCTGCTGCACAGACAAAATCAATTCACTGAGACCACGATATTGCAATAAAGAGAGAGAGTTTAATTGACATGAGGCCAGCCACGTGGAAGATGGAGTTATTACCAAATCAGTCTCCTCAAAGTCTCAAGGGTTAGAGTTTTTCAAGGATAGTTTGGTGGGTAGAGGGCTAGGGAATGGGGATGTTGTATAGAATCATAGGGGAAAGTCTGTGAGTGCTGAGTCCGCCTCTGGGTGGGCACTGCAGGGCCTGTTGAGTCACGGGTCCAGATGGAGTGAGATGGTCATCAGAAATGCAAAAGTCTGAAAGAAAAGTCTCAAAAGGCTGATCTTAGGTTCTACAAATGTGATGTAATCCACAAGAGTGATTGGGGAGCTTACACATCTTATGACTTCCAGAACAATGGCTGACCATTGTTTAACTACACTGCCTCACGATCTAGGCACTTGCCCTTCCTTGGCCGGGGAACTCTTCATCAGTACCTCTTTTCTGTTCAGTTTCTGTTTACTCTGCAAGTCTGAGCTGCTGCTTCCCTAGTGTGGCTGCCCAGCACCCTGTCTAAATCAGCTCCACCCACTGCCATACTCACTTTCTCTCTTTATCTTAGTGTTTTAAACCTCATTCCACTTCTGACAATTTGGGGTGACGTTTTTATTTGTGTGTGTGTTTCATGCCTCCTCCTCCAGTGCACTGTAAGCTTCATAAAATCGGGGGCCTTTTCTGTCCTATTCATCTGCAAATCCCCAGGTGGTCTGAGCAGCTGTCCTGCAGCAGGTGCTGAATGTATATTTGTTGAAATGAAATAAAATGAATGAGGGACTTATGATAAGAGCTTCCACACTTCCACAGCTATTGGTCATATAAGCCCACAGCAACTTGATGAGAAGCAGTATTTCCCTGTTACACAGATGTGGAAACTGAGGTCCAAGGTCACACAGTTTGTAGGGGTAGGGCTGAGTTCAAGTTCATGTTTGTCTGACTAACAGGACTCTTCCCTTGAATAACAGCCTCTGCAGACAGCACTCTGCACCTCTGACAGGTCAAAAACGTGCATGCACATATGGACATATGGCTTATTTTTTTTCAAAGAAGCAGCTCCTTTGTTCCTAGGGCTGAATTCAGTCCTGTTTCCTCTCCTGTTTTAAATGCTCGTTTCCACCTGGATGTAGTGTGGTGTAGTGTAGTATTGTAGGATGTAATGTTCATCGTCTGTGAATCTTATGGAGCTTTACAAGTATCAGTCCTCAATCTTCTCTGGCAATAAAATAGCTACATGAACACAAGATATTGACAATTACACTGTGCATATCTCAGAATATATTACAAATGCATTGCAAATGATGTTTTTCTGGGGTAGCAGGACACTGCTGGTATATCAATTGATTTTGCCTAAAATATAAATCACTAGCACAGTAGCTGAGACCCCTAGAACCTTTGGGAGGCTGCCACAAAAGTCCGTGGCAGTTTTTCATATTTTTGAAGATGTGATGGAAATTGTACATTTCCTTGCGATCTGGCCATCAGTCCCCACATTTCTCAGCTCTGTGAGGGCATGGGAACTCCCTGCGCCCCCATTAATAATGCCTTCTCTTTTCGAAACCATGTTTTTGGAAAAGATTTTGCTTTACCAAACAAACCATGGGTAGTGCTGAAAAATACATTTGTCTTCTGGGTTCCTGCTAATCATAGATCATGAGGGTAGCTATCAGAGCTTTTGATTGCAGGAAATGACGAGATACAAATGAGAATACAGGCCCACAGTTGTTTGCATGGAATTCCCAGATCCTCAAAGCTCTGGACATGGAAAGTGGTTGTGTAACAGGATAAGCCACGGGTCAACAACCATGACCACATGAGAGAGACTGTATGGCTGCAAGCCTAAAATATTTCCTATCTGGCCCTTTCCAGAAAGGCCTACTGACCCCTTCCTTTAGTGGCAAAACCTGAACGTCAGTGAGGCAAGGTGCTTATTCGTGGGTTTTGCTGTATATGCTTTGTCGTGTTTTATTACAGGGCATGGTCCAGAACTCTCCGATACTATTCCTTATTATATGCCAGGTACAATTTATTACATACTTAATATCTAAACATCCTGTAACACATCTGTTGTCAGGGTTTTTTTTTTTTTTTTTTTTTTTTTTGAGACGGAGTCTCGCTCTGTCACCCAGGCTGGAGTGCAACGGCCCTATCTCGGCTCACTGCAAGCTCCACCTCCCAGGTTCACGCCATTCTCCTGCCTCAGCTTCCCGAGCAGCTGGGACTACAGGCGCCCACCACCACGCTCGGCTAATTTTGTATGTATTTTCAGTAGAGACGGGGTTTCACCGTGTTAGCCAGGATGGTCTCGATCTCCTGACCTTGTGATCCGCCCGCCTCGGCCTCCCAAAGTGCCGGGATTACAGGCGTGAGCCACCGAGCCCGGCCCTGTTGTCAGGGTTTCAAATAAAATGAGGACCTGTGATGGCTAACGCGGACTGTTTTCTCTGTGCCAAAACGGTTTTAAGTAACATCCATGTATCAACTCTTTCCCTTGCAACTCTTCCAGACAAATCATATTATAATCCCCTTTTTACAAATGATGACATTGTGGCAAGAGAAGTCAGCAGACCGAAAGTAAGTCACTAGTAAGTGACAGAATCACATCCTAACCCCACATTTAGCCTCGAGACCCTGTGCTTTTATCCCTTCTCCGGACAGCTTCTCAGAAACAGCTATTTCCGATGCAATGATGTAGATGCTGGGCCTAAGGAGGGAAAACGTGGGCTTTCAAGGTCAGGCACGCCTTGCCCTGCCTCTTGCCAGGTGTGTGACTTTAGGCAAAACATCACCTCTCCAGCCTCCTTATCTGCAGCATGGGAATAATCAAAATCATTGGGGTTATTTTAGAGATTATTATTTAGTTAATTATGGTAGCTCACACTTACACAGAACTTACTGTATGCCCAGAACTATTCAGAGCCATTTATATACATTAACTCAGCGCTCATCACAATTCTATGAGGTAGGCCCTACTATTATGCCCATCATACAGATGACAAAACTGAGGCACGGAGAGCTTACGTGACCTGTCCGTGGTCACTTGCTGGTAAGTAGTGAAACCAGGATGTGAACCCAACTGACCGGTCCAGGCTCTGTGCTCATAACAGCCATGCACAGCTGACTATCTATTATGTACCCAAGCCTCGATTTCCACATTCCTAAAATGGGGGCCATTGCTTATGCCTTCCAGGATTGCATGAGATACTGTAGATAGATAGATACCTAACAAATATCTAATAGATACTAAAAGATAGTAGGTATTCAGAACAAGTTAATACAAAAAGTGACAAATATCATGGGGAGATAATCTTACCCTTTCTAAAAACATTTGGAAAAATTGCAATGAACCTATTTTCCCCAACATTCATTTTCAAAGCAGAGTTTGGGCTTCTTACTTGGGGTAAAAACTGAACTGTTGTTTCCTTTGCTCCACCTACAGCTGGTCCACTGTATGATCTACGTAGAGGATTCCCAGGACTCTCAGAGTTCTTTTCCTTTCCCCAAATGTACCACATCTCCTTCTGCCCCTGGCAGATGGCAGACACTCTCTCATCACTCTGCCTGGTTGGTGCCTATCCCTGTTCAGGCTCCGCTTAAGATCACTTCCTCTTGGAGGTCCTTCCTGGCTCTGGCCTGGGCTGGCCCTGGGGATAGGTTCTCATTGCTGTCCTGTCATGGCCATATCCATGGGCATGGTCCTTGCTCCCTTGTCTGCTACCAGTGCTGGACCATGAGCTCTGGAGGGCGGGGTTGTGTGTAATAATCTGTTCATAAAATGCATTTGAGGAGCTTTTTTAGTGATGCAGATACTGGACCCACCTCAAGAGATTCTGGTTCAGAAGTACCAGATTTGGACTCAGAAATTGGCATTTTTAACAAGTTCACTCCCCTTTCCCCCCATTTTATTTATTTATCTATTTATTTATTTATTCATTTTGAGACGGAGTCTCACTTTTTCTGCCAGTCTGGAGTGAAGTGGCTCCACCTCAGCTCATTGCAACCTCTGCCCGCTGGGTTCAAGCAGTTCTCCTGCCTCAGCCTCCCAAGTAGCTGGGACTACAGGCGCATGCCCCCACACCTGGCTAATTTTTATATTTTTAGTAGAGACGGGGTTTTGCCATGTTGACCAGGCAGGTCTCGAAATCCTCACCTCAGGTGATTCACCCGCCTTGGCCTCCCAAAGTGCTGGGATTACAGGCGTGAACCACCATGCCTGGCCCCTTTCCCCCCATCTTAGACGAGCTGAATCTGAAAATCCCTGGGAGCAAGACTGGATCACCCGAACCTGGTGTGGCAGAAGCAGCCACGTGTCTCGAGACTTCCTAGTTGGAAGCTACGAGGATTTCGGGTCAGATGTCCAGCGATAGGCACAAGGGCTCTTATTGCAAAAACTATAGGAAACAAAAAGAACCAGGAAAGTGTTTAAGGCAGGGGAGCAAGCCCCTAGAGACGCAGACCACCGCATGGGTGAGGAGTCCTATCCTAGCTAGACACGGCTGATCAGTGGAGGAATGTCTTTACCACCAGCTCCAGCTGAATCGTTGCTGCTCAGATTCAAGTAGCCTTTAAAGGTAACGGGGAAAAATGCTAACCATTGAGAATCAGGGGTAACAGGGATAAGGAAGCAAACCACAAGAAGGAGACTGTGGTGGGTAAAGAAGTCAGAAGCAAAACAAGGCAGGTACTGTTTTCATGCCTAGTAAATAAGAAAAATAAATGGGAAAATTGTAACTCCCAGTGCTGGTCAGGACATGGTAAAACGGACAACCCTGAGTCCTGAGGCTAATGGTGTGAATGGACACAGCACATTTTGAAAAGCAGTGGCGGGAGGCATGAAGGGCCAAAAAGTGTTGCTGCCCTTGACCTAATAATTGTACTCACCAGGGAATTAATGGGAGGAAAAACTGTATGCACAAAGAAGTTCATTGCAACAGTATCTAACAGGCCAAAAAAAGAGAAGAAAAGGCCATAAATGCATGCCCAGCGCCTGTGTATGTGGACAGGAACAGAGGGCAGCAAGAAGGCCCTTGTGTGCATGGTAGCTGGCAGAGGGAAAGGCTGGCACCTGACAGCCAGAGGGGCAGCAGCTATAGTGATGGACAGCAGTGAGAGCAGGCTGAACGTCGGAGCCTGGGAACAGCAGTGATAGGTAAGGATTACTGCATTCTTACCATGTGTCTGCACCATTGAGACAGCCCTAGGGAGTGGACTCTTTAATTGCCTACATGAGGAGGAAGTGGAGGCCCAGAGAAGTTAAGGCACCATTATTCTGCACATGGTTAGTAAGACCATGTGTTGGGTTATTACCCACGTGGTTAGTAAGGCCACACGTTTAGGTGACTCTCCAAGTGGTTAACAAGGTCACATGGTTGGGTTACTCTCCACACGGTTAGTAAGGCCAAGTGGTTGGGCTACTACTCATGTGGTTAGTAAGGCCTGTGGTTAGTAAGGCCAATGTGTTTGGGTTACTATCCATGTGGTTAGTAAGGGCATGTGGTTGGGTTACTATCCATGTGGTTAGTAAGGCCAAGTGGTTGGGCTACTACCCGTGTGGTTAGTAAGGTCCTGTGGTTAGTAAGACCAATGTGTTTGGGTTACTATCCATGTGGTTAGTAAGGGCATGTGGTTGGGCTACTACCCATGTGGTTAGTAAGGCCCTGTAGTCAGTAAGACCAAGTGGTTGGGTTACTATCCATGTGGTTAGTAAGGCCAAGTGGTTGGGTTACTATCCATGTGGTTAATAAGGCCATGTGGTTGTGTTACTCTCCACAGGGTTAGTAAGGCCAGTGTGTTTGGGTTACTATCCATGTGGTTAGGAAGGCCAAGTGGTTGGGTTACTACCCATGTGGTTAGTAAGGGCATGTGGTTGGGTTTCTACCCATGTGGTTAGTAAGGGCATGTGGTTGGGTTACTCTCCATGTGGTTAGTAGGGCCCTGTGGTTGGGTTACTATCCATGTGGTTAGTAAGGGCATGTGGTTGGGTTACTCTCCACAGGGTTAGTGAGATCACACGGTTGGGTTACTCTCCACAGGGTTAGTGAGATCACACGGTTGGGTTACTCTCCACAGGGTTAGTGAGATCACACGGTTGGGTTACTCTCTACAGGGTTAGTGAGATCACACGGTTTGTTTACTCTCTACAGGGTTAGTGAGATCACACGGTTTGTTTACTCTCTACAGGGTTAGTGAGATCACACGGTTGGTTTAGTCTCCACAGGGTTAGTGAGATCACACGGTTCGCTTACTCTCCACAGGGTTAGTGAGATCACACGGTTGGGTTACTCTCCACAGGTTTAGTGAGATCACACGGTTGTGTTAGTCTCTCCGCAGGGTTAGTGAGATCACACGGTTGGGTTACTCTCTCCACGCTTAGAAAGTTGACATGGTTGGGTTTTTACTCATGTGGTTAGTAAGGCCATATGGTTAGGTCACTCTCCACGTGGTTAGTAAGGCCACATAGTCAGTGTATTACCTATGTAGTTAGTAAGGCCACATCCCTTCGGAGCGGGGACTGCTAGTGATGCTGCCTCTCAATGCTGCTGCCCTCATCCGGCATCCCTATGATGTGCTGGCTGCTCTAGGTGCTTCCTGTGCCTTTATTAATTCATTTCCTCTTCACAAGAGCCTCATGTGGTAGGGCGATCCCCTCCTCATAGGCTGTTGGATAGCAGATTTGGAAGGAACATTAGGTATTTCATGGCTAAGAAGACGGGCTCTTGGAGGTACTCTCAGAGTGTGACCTAATAATTAGTGACCTAATAATTAATGATTTTTCATGATATTGTTAATTAGAATAGTATCTGCAGCGTATTCATTATAATTGATTTGTGTGGTCTTTGCCAAACATCACCTCACCTCATAATCCCCCACATTACCCCATTTCGTTAGGCATTATTATTATCATCTTCATTTTATAGATGGGGAAACTGATATCAGGAGAGTTGAAGCAGCTTTCCCAGGACCACACAGCTAGTTAAAAACTGAGCTGAGATGCCTAATGGGTCTGTCCATCCAGAAGCTACACAGTCTGATCACTTTCCCATTTGGGATTGCAGGAGAAGACATTGAGTTCCCTGCTGGGTCAGCAAAGAGGCCCCAGGACATCCCCAGAAGGTGGCCTTTGGGAGTCTCTGAGCCAAGCCCAGGTGTGAGAACTGGTACGGAGCCACTGCCTAGAGGCTACGGTCCTGGGGGTTGGTCGATTTGGCACTGCTGGGGGCTCAGACAGGTGAGCGGGGCCAAGATGACCCTGAAGCTCATTTCTCCCTTGTCTGCTTCCCACCTAGGACCTGTGCAGGTGGCGTCAATTCATTATGGAAGAGGCTTCTGTTGAGCTTGCAAAATACAAATGAAAAGCAAATGCCTGGGGTTGGCAGTGCTGGATTTTAAGCAGAGAAACAGAACTTTCTGGAGTTTGAGGCTCACTTACCTACGCCCACACCCGTCTAGCAAGTTGAGCTAGTGAGTGTGAGTGAGTGAGTGAGCAGAGCAGCAGCAGCTAGCTATATTTCTGCTGCTGGCAGGCACAAGGGCTCGGGCTGATGCTGAAAGGCAGCCCTGCTCGCATCTGCATGGTCCTACCAGCTGGTTCTGGCTCTACATCCTTGCCATTTCTCAGTGTGAGGGTAGACCAGATGACTGGCACTGGTTTGGAGGCTTTCATTGTGTGCACGGCAGAGGAGGTGAGAGCACGAGGTTGGAAGCAAGTCATTCCTCCATCTGATGGCTTGTTGGGTAGCCTAGGGCCAGCCGCTTCACCTGTCTGTGCTTTACTTTCCTCATCTGTAAAATGGGGATAATAATAATTCCTACTTGTTAGGGTTATTGCAGAAGTTAAATTAGAAAGTGCATCAATCCTGAGTACAAGGTGCTTTTTAGCTATTATAAGCTCTTGTTACCAAAATTAATTAGTTTGCCTGGGTCCTTCTCTGCGGCTCTTGATGTCTTTGGTGCATAAATAGTCCCAGAAGAAGAAGAAAAACTAACCAGTATTGACTGGCCAATTTTACTTCAGGGCTTTATTTCAGCCATGGGTTCAGTTTCCAGGAGACTGGAGGAAACGCTATTTTTTTTAGTGAGAGGAGACCCCAAACACTACAGTTTCCTCTGCATAGAGGAGCCGTGGGCTGCATGAAGGAGTTGACCATTGGAGTTTCTGGCTCTGACCCCACTGGGTTCTCCACTGCCTGAGGGCTGCTGTCCACCTTTAATGCTGTGATCTCTACACAGCACAGACCTTGGCCCTGGGGCCTCTGAGTTTTCAGAGATGGTCCAGCCCCTCCAAACACATTGATAAAGATCCAGAGAAGTAAACCTGGGGGCAGCATAGTCACAGCCAGATCATCGGTGATAATTTGACAAAGAAGGGGTTGAAAGAGAGAAGGGTGCCGAGGTAGAGGGAGTGGCTGACTACAACGCAGCCTTGAGGAGGAGAGGGGGTTGCAGTCGGCAATTCTCGGGCCTCAGGCTCTGTTGTTCCTGTGTCTGAGAAAGGAAGGAGCAAAGTGTGCTTGATGGGCCAGGTCCCAGTAGTGCCCTGCTAAAGCCGTATAGCAGTGTGTGTTGGTGTTGAGGTCAGGTGAGTTTGGGAAAATCCCCACCACCAGGAGCAGGTGGAGTTTCGTTATGCAGCCAGCAGAGCTGAGTATAGTAGTAAATAAAGCAGAATATCACACACACACATCTCTGGTGTTTTTATTTTGGTTCCCAGTGTTGGCTTCTGCTACAACTCCTTTCTTTCTCTTCCTTTCCTTTCCTTTCCTTTCCTTTCCTTTCCTTTCCTTTCCTTTCCTTTCCTTTCCTTTCCTTTCCATCTTGTCTTGTCTTTCTTGAGATAGGATTTCACTCTGGTTTCAAGCAGGCTGGAGTGCAGTGGTATGATCATGGCTCACTGCAGCCTCGACCTCCCCAGTTCAAGCGATCCTCTCACTTCAGCCTCCTGAATAACTGGGACTACAGGCATGTACCACCATGCCCAGCTAATTAAAAATTTTTTCATAGAGACGGGTTCTCACTATGTTGCCCAGGCTACTCTTGAACTCCTGACTTCAAGCGATCCTCCCTTTTTGGCCTCCCAAGATGCTGGGATTACAGGCATGAGCACTGCACCTGGCGTCTTTCCACTTCTGATATGTGGACGTGAATGACATGGAAGAAAGTCAGAGAATAAAAGAAAAATTGATTTTCACCTTTTGAGTTTCCTGTCCTTCTCTAGGGAGTGCAAAGGGCTTCTGAGCCCAGACAAGCAGTAAATGAGATGCGTAGGGAAGAGCCATGACATTCCCAGACCAGCAGGACACTTCCCAGACTGTGGGGAGAGGCTGGAGCTGTCAAGGAAGCAAACAAAAGAATGCATCGATATTTTGGGGCCCCAAGGAAGAATCCTGGACCCTGTTTCATTACCAAACCAAGGTTTAGGGGACTTCTAGATGTGATTTTTAGACTCAAGGGCAGAGCAGACTCAGGCCTCATCCTAGTGAGGTGGCAATACTGGAGAGAAGAAATAAATTTATGGTTACAGCTGAGCATTCAGGTAGATCCCTGGAACTCCATGACAAGGAGGTGACTCCTGCACCCCAGAGAGGAGCCCACAGGTCAGAGAGAGACCTCCAGAACAAGAGGGGCCTTGGTCCTGGCAGCAGTCCCCTGAAGGGACCGATGTCAGTGAGAACCAATGTGTCTTTAATCCTTGGGTCCTTGGAATTACATAAACCTCCTGGAGCTTCAGTCCCACCCTGGAGATAGGAAAGGGCTTCAATTTGCTGAGATCAAGCTTCTGCCACCCCCGTGGAATGGGTGCTGGAATAGAATGAAAACATATACAAAAAATGGGGCTACATTTCTTGTACATCTGAGTTTGAGAACTGAGGTTTATTTCTGCTACCGAAAGTAAACAATTTATAATGAGAGAACCAATCAGGTATTTTACTTCCCAGAGCCATGGCTGCCCACACAGGGGTGGGGTCCATGAGGTGCTCCTTTCTAGGCCCTAAGTCTGTCTCTTCCAGGGGCTTCCTGGGACATCCATCTATGGACCCCACAGGGTTCTCTGGACTCTGCCTGGGCTCTGGTGTCCCAGGCTGCCACATGTTTCCCACAGCTGGGTCCTGTTGCCACGGCAACCTCTCCCCACTGCCTCACTCCCATTAACCAGGAGCCCTTCCCGAACTTCTTGATGCCTCTTGATTATGGCATAGATTCTACTTCTGCTGCCAATGCAGGGATAGCCCTCTCAGTTCTCATTCTGGAGGCCTTTTTTACTCCCTAGGTAACTGATGGTAGGAAGGAGAAATGTTCTCTCCTTTCAGATGACAGGTTGCACTTGCCCAGAGAACAGCTGTATTTTCAATCTGGCTGACTCTACATGATCAAAACTTTAAACAGGCTGGGCATCGTGTCTCACGCCTGTAACACTAGCACTTTGGGAGACCGAGGCAGGCGGATCAATTGAGGTCAGAAGTTTGAGACCAGCCTGGCTAACATGGCGAAACCCCGTCTCTACTAAAAATACAAAAATTAGCTGGGCGTGATGGCGCATGCCTGTAATCCCAGCTACTCAGGAGCAAGTGCCTGCAATCCCAGCTATGCAGGAGAATCGCTTGAACCCAGGAGGCAGAGGTTGCAGTGAGCCAAGATCGTGCCACTGCACTCCAGCCTGGACGACAGAGCGAGACTCTGTCTCCAAACAAACAAACAAACACCTTAAACACAAGAGCATTCATCGAATGAACAAGTACAGATGGTGATAAAGGGGCTCTTAATTCCCAGAGGATGGGGCTGGAGGCTGGGCTTCCATTGAGCCTCACAGTCCTCTCTCCTCTCACAGTCCCATGATGGTGCAGAGGAGTTTAGAGGAAAGTAAGAGCCCCACCATGAGGGTTCTGGGGGCCCCTCCAGCTTGGGGCAGAGAGAGGTAAATGCCTACAACCCCATGGACTTTCCACTGCTCCATGACCTCAGTATTTTAGCACTGGTTTCCTTTATGTATTATTCTGGAACTTCTGGGTGCCTAAGAGGGAAAAAATACTTGTTCTCAGTTGATTTCATTCTCGGATTTTCTAGAATGATATGATATTTTTCTGCTTCCCAAGCAGTTGATAGCCTTTGTGGACAAGTGAAAATTAAACAGGAAATAGCTCACTCTAAGGCCATGGAAACTGTGGCCTGCTATACTTGGCAGCTCTTGGTATGGCCCCAAGCCCTAATACCATGGACCTACTAATGAGGCTCCAGACCATGGCCACACACCTGTGGCCAGGAAGAGAGCTAATGACAGGTTTGATTAAATGAATTAAATTGTGTTTCTAGTCCTGGGGGCTGGGGAAGGGGGAGCAGTGTTAAAATTTTGCCAAGCATTTTCTGAAAAAGATAAAGGATATAATCTAATATATTTTCAGCTCCTTGTCTGTGCTGAGAACTGTAAATGAATTGCAGTTCCCCCTGCAAGATTAGCCAACAGAGGCTCAGAGAGGTTAAATGAGTTGCCCAAGGTCCCATGAGCAATTCTGGGATGAAACAGATCTTAGGGTTCCCTTTATTCTCTGTACCTCAATTTTCCCATTTGTAAAATGTGGACAGTAATAGTACCAGCCTCATAAAGATGTAAAGATTAAATGAATGAAGACCACAAAGTACCTCTCACATAGTAAGTGTTAGTGAATGTGAGCATCCCTGGCTGTTCCCACTAGTGCCTGCAAGTGATTCCCATTGCATGAAGTACACTCCTTAGGGATTGCCAAAGCTCCTCTGCCTTTCTCCAGGCACACCAAGCAAGGATGGACTTGCACTTCCACAAGATGACCTAGTTTCAAAGGAATTTGATGCCTCAATTCAAATAAGCTTACAAGAGTCATTCTATTTGCAGCTACTGTGAACTGAACCTTGCTGTTTAGGTAAATTGTCTTTGTCTGGAGGATACTAATCTAATTTTGCTTAATGCCAACTCACATTAAGGCAGAGGGCAAAGTTAAGCCCATGTACACATATATGGGCCTGAAGTGATACAGTGGGCCTTCTGGAACGTGTGGGCTTTCTTCTCTTATGGTGAAAGCCTCTGATAGTGGCATGATCTCATGTTTTTGAATCAGGTGTCTGCATATTCATGCATAGAAAAAATGTTTGAAAGGACCTGTTTAGAAGCCTAACAGTGATTATCTTAGGATGGTGGGCTTGTGGTTGGCTTTTCTTATTTTTATTGAATTATCTACATTATCTAATTTTTCTTCAATAAATACACACTATTTAATAAGTTGAAATTAAATAAAATGACTGTTCTTTGTGTATTAGTCTGTTCTCATGCTGCTATGAAGAAATATCCAAAACTGGGTCATTTATAAAGAAGAGAGGTTTAACTGACTCACAGTTCTGCAAGGCTGGGGAGGCCTCAGAAAACTTACAATCATGGCAGAGGATGAAGGGGAAGCAATGCACCTTCTTCACAAGGTGGTGGGAGAGAGAAGTGCCGAGCAAAGGGGAAACAGCCCCTTATAAAACCATTAGATCTCGTGAGAACTCACTATCATGACAACAGCATAAGGGTAACTGCTCCCACGATTCAATTACCTCCCACCAGGCCCCTCCCATGACACATGGGGATTTTGGGAACTATAATTCAAGATGAGATTTGGGTGGGGACAAGGCCAAACCATACCATTTGCCAACTCCCTTTTTGATGCTGGACATTATATGTTTTTAATATATGTTTGCTCATGAAACCTCACAGCTGTTTCTTTAAGGAAATAATTATTATTTTCCTGCATTTAAGGAGGAAGCTGAGACTTGGAAAAGCTAGAGAATAAAAGTTATTTTTTATCTTTCCACAAAGATCTTTTCCAAAATTCAGGGTCCTTTAATGACTCCTTTCAGGTTTTTCATTAGAGACCCAAATAATAAACTCTCCAGCCCTCTCCCTTTTTTGTAAGCAGCCAGTACCCTGGAAAGCTTCTGTTTTTTTCCTTAGGCCCTGGGAAGAGGATTTTGTGATGTCATGGGCTCAGCAAATTTGCGCCCAGGTCTAAGTGACATCATTAAGGCCTGCTGGGCCAAGAGACCATAGTGGCTTAGCTGAAGCTGTCTCAGCAAGACAGAATCCTGGCTTTCCAAGGAGCCTGCCTGGGGCTGGGCAGGCAGTGGTGCTGAGCAGGGAGAACCCAGAGCTGGCCTTCCCTTGCCCCATGACACTCTGGATCCACAAACCAAAGTTGCCTGGGGATGGTGGTTGACACCTTTACTTGGGTTTCCAGGGCAGGTGTCAAGCAACTTTTAAGAGGCTGTATGGAGTGGGGATTGCATCTTGACTTGGTTTAGTGCAGAAGGGATATGTTTGGGGTTGTTTAGTTTGTTTTCTAAACTGAGCCCTGCTGACTGCCGTTGTAAACCAAGAACACCAGAACATGTTTCCCTGGGCTGACATGTGGGTTAAAGGGGAGAGTGAATATAAAGGGTATGATTTTGTGTATGGGAAAATTACAGCGGCCTATGAACATGTGTAGAGTTGGCTTCATACTCACTGCTGAGCAGGGGTGGACAGGCTCATAAATAGATGCTTGCAGTGCAAAATGTGGCATACAAAGGTCTGCACAGGGCACAGCTCAGAGACGGCAGTCTGGGGTGAGAGGATAGTTGTGAGGGGGCATAGACGTTTCAGAAAAACACAAAATTAAAGCTAGGCCACACGTGGGAATATAATCATCTGTTGAGTGTTTATGGGTTGTAGACAATGTCCTGCCACATTATAATCAGCTCATTTCCCTTGTCACGAACCCAGGAGGCAATACTATTATTCTCTGAAACTCAGAGAAGTTAAGTTACTTGCCCAGTCACATGATTAGTGGTAGAGCTGAGATCTAAACTCAAATTTGTCTGACTCTAAAGCTTGAGTGCTTTCTTTAAAGCTAGATGATGAGAAAGCTAAGTCTACAGTTGGAGCAAAAGGATTGAGGTGGCCAACAGAGAGAGTTTGAGCAGTCCTGAGTTGTCTTCTCTTGCCTATGAACACTCCTCCTTAGGGGAAGTAGCACATGTCTAAGCTCTAAACCGGGGTTTCTCAACTTCGGCACCATTATCATTTTGGGTGGAATTATTATTTGTTGTGGGTGCTGTTCTGTGCATTACAGGGCACTTAGCAGCACTGTTGGCCTCTACCTAAGGGATGCTAGGTGCATCCCTTTTCCTCTCAGTTGTGATAAACAAAAATATCTCCAGACATTGGTAAATGTCTTTTGGGAGACAAAATGCTCCCCTTTCCAATAAGAACCCCTATGCTAAGCACAATGATGCCTGAGTGAATGTCCAACCCAAGGTGAGCTCCCAGTTTATACAACCAGCCAGACCTTTATACAATCAGACCTTTGCCTGGATGCTGTTCTGTTCAAGCCTAACATGCTCCAAATGGAACTCCTGGTCTTCTATCAATTTATTCTCTCTGCATCAACTTTGCCCAGGTCATTTCAAGGTATCTCCATTTTCTCACTTGCTCAAATGAGAAGACCCAAACTCATCTTTAATCTTTTCTTTTTCTCTCACCCTCATATCAAATATACTAACAAGATTTATTTGTTCAATCTCCAAAGTACTTCCGGAATCCGCATACTTCTGTCTGCCTCAACTCCCTACCCCATCCATACCAGGCTCACCTCTCACCAAGATAACCCCACTTACCACTTAAACTATTTCTACTGGTTGCCTCCTCTCAGCACATTCTCCAGGCAACAGCAATAGTGATTTTTTTAAAGCATAAATGTGATTCTATCACATCTCTGCTTAAGTTATTTCAACCTCTTCTCATCGCTTGTTGAAAAAAATCCCCTGTAAACCATGGCACTTAAGACTTTACTTGTTCTGGTCCTGGCCAACCTTTCTGACCTTATTGCATGACTTCTTCATCTTGCTGGAAGCCATGAGGCTACATTTCTCTCATTCTGTTAATCAAACAGGCAACCTCTTTCTGGTTTCAGAGCTTTTGCACTTTCTATTCCTTCTTATGGAAATGCTTTCTCCCCAGAGGCCAGTTGTTTCCTCCCTCAGGCCTCTGCACACAGTTTCTCTGCATGGCTGTGCTTGCTTAATCTTTGCATGGCCAGAAACTTTTAATCCAAATTCAATATCAGCTCCTCAGAGAGCCTTTTTCTGGCCCACCAATCCTAAATCACTGCTCTAACTCTGCTATCCTCTGTCTCAGGGCTGTTTCTTGTATTTAACTTGAAAAATATGTATTTATACATTTAGATGTTTACCTTTTAAATATTTTTTCTCTGGTAAAATGTTTCCTGACACATAAACTGGTTTGAGAAACTTAAAAATGAACTCTCCAGTATGGTTGGGTTTCAAGGCTTCACGGTTTTTCCAAAGAAACTGTGGAGAAATGGATTCCAGTTACCAGTGGTTTCACTAAGAAGACTCTATTGCTGAACCTAGCAGAGAATTACAGAGGTTGGTTGCAGCTGACTCAATTTGATTTACTGACCAAACACCCCTCAAAACATTTGGGAGCCTTCAGCAGTTTTGGTAGCAGAGGTTAGCTGTACCTTGGAACTGTCCTTGGTGCTGAAACAGACACAACAGCAAGGCGGGGATGGGAAATGCCACAGTGGGACCTGTCCCCTTCTCTGCACACAGAGAAGGTGTATGCTGACCGCCTGTCATTCTGTGAGTTTCTGAAGAGGTTTCCTGGTCAAGGGTAGAGGAGAGGTGATTGGCAGCAAGAGGCATCTCTAAGGAGTCTGTGCCTCCTGTTTGAAGCCCCCCTTCCTTACACTGTGATCCTTCTTCTGAAGGAGTTATGCTTTATTTTCACAATACAGGCTTAAATATTGGGAATGATCTTTGGAAATGAAGAGAATAGTTAGGGGTCTTGATGCTTTTTTTTCTACTTTCAACAGTCAAGTATTTACTAATCAGACAGTTATGATGCTTTTACTTCTTTTACTTTAACAACATTAAGGTGCTAAACAAGTAAGCACCCCCAGAAACATTTTAAAGCATCTTACATGGTTTCTAATATTTGTTAATTTATTCAACATACATTTCCTGAGCGCTTGATCTCTGCTAGATCCTGCACGGGACACTCACTTAGTAGATGTAATCTCTTATAATTTCCACAAAATCCTAAAGAACAACTCTAATTCCCATTTCATGGATGAGGAAACTGAGGCTCAAAAGGTAACTTGCCTAGGATCTCACTGACAGTAACAGAGACAGGATCTTTTTAACTCCAAATCCCATGCTCTTTACTTTCATCTTAAAATTTATTTAAACATGTTTAACATACACGCAAAAGTATAGTCATATAACACCCAGATTTAAGAAATAGAATATTACATATAAAAATAAAGCTTTCTGGGTAGACAAGTCTCTCTCTCTCCACAGCCACTCTGATTGTATATCTCATGTCTCTTTGCCAGGAAACCTATAAATTTTGTTTATTTTTCCAATGCTTATCTTTTTATTTTTGCCACATATGTATATTTCTAAAACATATACAACATTCTTGCATGTTTAAAAATTTGAATATAAATATTATTCATTCTGTGTATATTCTTCTGTAACATACCTTTTGACTCACGATTATTATTTGGAGATTCTCCCAAGTAGCTTAGGTTTATTTTCTCCTTGATCTTGCTACAAGACCCCACCATCCAAGGTGCTCAGTCTAGTGGGACATGGATGGACAGATAACTTATAGAACTGTGAAATAATGGTAGCATGACATAAAGAGTCAGGGAACCCCATGAGCTCCAAGAGCAACAAATTTAGCCCAGGGGATCATGGAGAGCTTCGTGGAGGAGATGCCCTTGAAAAAAGTTGAAGAGAGAAGAAGACAATCCAGAGAGCAGGAACAGAATTTGGAAAAGGACAGTATATTACCATGAAGAGAGAGAGTGAGAGCGAGAGAGGGAGAGAGAGAGGGGAGTGAAGTGTTGCCAAATAATAGACTATGAGGAGAGTCATGGCAGGATGTGAGACTGGGAAAATCCCTGACAGCTTAATAATGAGTGACTAAAGGGCTTCTGGTGCCCTTTCCTTGCATGTGTTTACCAATTCTAAAGGGTATTTACAGTCATTCTGAAAGATAAAGAAATTAAAACTTAAAAAATTAGGTCACTGTCCCTAAGTCACACAACTGGAAGGTGGAAGAGCTGAAAGTCAAACTCAAGTCCTGGTGATCAAGTCCAGGAAGCTTCCTTCTATGTCATTTATATGACTGACACTGGAAGATAGAAAAAAATAGGAAGATGGTTTTAGCAAAGCGGGTGAGGGGTGTGTGGTGAAAGCTGCACCCTTTTTATATATAAAGAAAAGAAAAATCAGAATATCTGATCTCTACTTATAAAACACAGGTAAATCTATATCTTTGGTGATATTTTGTGGTTGACAATTAAAACATTTCAGGAGCATGATGGGCCAATTCAAACATGTTTGTGGCTCACATGTGGTCACTGTACTGTGACCACTGTCTGTGACTTTTGCAGACATAATTTGCAGCAATGCCCTTAAGATGAGTCTGTTACAAACAGATAGAAAGATACATAGGGGGATATAAATAGGTAGCAATCATAACGACAGCAGTCACCCATTTTGTGGATAACAAGGTGAGGCCCAGCTGTGAGAAAGTTCACACAATTAGGATGAAAAGAGCAGGAATTGAATCCAAGTCTGGGTCCTTTTAACTGCACCTTATTTGCTCTCCATGTGAGAGATGTGGCCTTAGAGTAGCTGTCTGTCATTCTTGTTGACCCGATATCTGAACCCCTTTCCTCTTTGTGAAGACTCCTCCATCTTTGAGACAGAATCTACTTTTCAGTATAAAAAATAAAAATGAACGAACTTTTTCTAGGATCCCTTGTGTATGGCACTGAGTTTGACCTTCATGTGTACCCACCCCAAACTATGAGCGATAAGCTAGTGACACCAGAAACACAGGCCATGCCAAATCTTTTGTGGGGATGAGTTAGTTGTGGTAATGGTGCTTACCTTTTAAATATTTTTTCTCTGGTAAAAGGTTGCCTGGAACATAATCTGGTTTGAGAAACTTTTAAAATGAACTCTACATATGGTTGGGCTTCAAGGCTTCATGATTTTTCCAAACAGAAACTGTGGAGAAATGAATTCCAGTTACCAGTGGTTTCACAAAGAAGACCCTATTGCTGAAACTAGCAGAGAATTGCAACTGCCTCAATTTGCTTTTCTGACCAAACACCCCTCAAAAACGTTTGGGAGCCATCAGCAGTTTTGGTAGTAGCAGAGGTTAGTGGCACCTTGGAGCTGTCCTTGGTGTGGAACACGCCAGCAAGGAGGGGATGGAAAATGCTGCATTGGCTTCATCTAAATTCCAGTTTCAATGTCATCACCTGTCTCAGTTCATTTTGTGTTGCTTATAATAGAATACCTAAAGCTGGGTAATTTATAAAGAAAAGGAATTTATTTCTTGCAGTTATGAGGGCTGAGCAGTCCAAGGTCAAGGGGTCACAACTGGTGGGCTGGTGAAGAATCTTCTTGTGGTGGAGATTCTCTGAGGAATCCCAAAATGGCACAAAACATCACGTGGTGAGGGGGCTGAGTGTGCTACTCCGCTCTCTCTCTTCTTATAAAGCCACAGGTGCCACTCTTGTCATAAACCATTAATCCATTAACATATTAACCCATGAACCCTCATTACTCAATCGCCTCTTAAAGGCCTCACTTCTCAATACTGCCACATTGGGGACTACATTTCAGTATGAGTTTTGGAGGGGGCAAACATTCCAAACCATAGCACCTCCCATAATATTGGCGGTATAAGCTGCTGGGCCTGTCCTCATCCGTGGCAACTATAAACTGGTATCTAAACTGGGCCAATATGTACAGTGATTTTAAGATATTATCCTTGGCTGCATAGCTTCTCAATTCAGATCTCCACTCTCTGTGAGATACAAGACCTATCCAATATCACCATAACAAATCATTTTTCTATTTAAATTAGCCAGAGCCAGTGCTTGATACAGGTTCCCTGATCCCAAAACCCTAAAAAACATACAAAAGAGTACTGGGAGTTTTGCATGCTGAGTTTTATTTTTTCAACATTTCACTGCCAAAGTTTCATTTAAAATTACTGACAGCAATTTTCTGATTGCCTGTGATAATATATTCTGGCTATTTATGACTCCATCTGTGGGGAGAACAAAAATCCTCCTGAATTCCTTGAGTGATAGCCTTTGCATAATTTTGCTCTGCCCTCTTGTTCTTATGATGACTGTGCCTCTAAATAGCCACACTGATTGCTTTTCTTTCCAAATCACAGGAGCCAAAGTCTCCTCTTTGCCGTATCCTCATTTTCAGAGAATATGGCGGCATAGCTTCAGTTTTACTCTTTTCTTAGGTATTTGTGTCTTCCTTGTATCCCCAAAGTTCTTGTTTGGGAACACTGTATCAGTCAAGACAGGCTAGGTTGTGACACACTAACAAATAATACTAAAATCTTATTGTCTTACAATTCCAGAAGTTTGGGTCTATCCTGAGTCAGCCAGATTCTACTTTTAAGTCTTCAATCTGGGATCCAGCTGATGGAAAAACCTCTTTCTGGAACATTGTCATATGTATAGCAGAAAGGAAAGAAATGTAGCAAATTGTGTGCTGACTCTTGAAGCTTTTCTCAGGAAATGAATCATCACTTCTTCCCTGCTGTCATGGACCAAAGAAGTTATGTAGTTTGCTCCTAAATTCATTAGAGTGGGGATGTATTATTCTCCCACAGGGAAGGGAAACACAAAGAGGGAAAGCCCATTTTTGAAGTAACCAGACATTAAGTTCTTTTCCCCCTTTTCAGGCAGAAACACTCAAGTTCTTCTTCTCTTTAAGAGAGACCTCAAAGACTGCCCCTGCTGCCTTCTGTGAATCTCTGCTTCAAGATCAAAGTTCAGAATCTCCTCAGGAGGTGTGATCATTTCTGCATGGTCCTTACCAGATACGATGCACCTAGATTCAGAAAACAATTGTCATAGTTTGGTTTCTCTAGAAAGATACCTTGAGATAGGGACTCAACATGCAAATGATTTATCTGGGAAATGAAAAAAAACTATTAGAGGATTGGGTAAGTGAGACAAAACATAAGGTAGCCAAGGTAGCCAATAAAAGGCATGGGCAATTGGAGCTAACTCCCACTGGAGAAATGATGAGAGCCAGTGAAGACAGATAACTCAACGTTATCCCACTTGAGAGACAGGGAACCTTGGGTACTTATACATTGATTCCCATCAGTCATTGGTTGAGGGATGTTCCCAAGTGGGTTAATTCCTCAGCACTTCTAGATTTCCATGTTGGTGGAAGGAAACCTCAGGCCAAGGGACTCTAGTGATGTAGTTGGATATTGGTAAGTATGTATGGAAGAGTCAAGGTAGGGTTATAGGAATGAGACACCAACATCATCACTGCACCCATGAGCTGAAAATATAATATATCTATTTATTTCTCCCCCAAATACAGTGTCAGAACAGAGATAGGATAATCTTAATAAATTCTATATTTTAGAAAAGGAAAGAATGAAAGGCACACAGCAGTCACTGGCCCATAGCAATTCTGTAATCCTGTATGGCAGACATGAGATTTCTAGGTAGGGTTGGGATATTCCTTGTCTATTGTTCTCCTTCACCCTCTGGGATGATGTCCTTCCCTTTCCATGATCTTTCTTAGATGCAATTGAAGAGGGATTTGGAGAATAACCCCTCATGGAGGGCTAAATACCTCTCTCACTCACTATCTTCCATAGAAGGTTGACAACCTACAAGTTTTGAACTGTTACGATCTTTATTTTTTGTCTAGAAGGGTGGTTATTTTGACATAAAACTCTTAAAAACTTAGCTGGTGTCTTGTAGTCAACAACATATGCCAGTAGCAACACCCACAATTCTTCCTGAGACATGACTTTCTCTCAAAATTTAGTTGTTTTTATCTTTTTACCCATTTTCTGAGTGAACCCTTGAGATCTTTTTTTCCTAAGCAATTTGGTCTAACTAAAAAGATTTATTAGAGCTGTGTTAGTTTTCTATTGCTGCCTAATAAATTACCACAATCTTATTGGCTTAAAACACCACACATTCATCACCTCTAGTTCTGTCAGTCAGAAGTCTGGGCAGTGTGACACTGTTCATTGCTCAGGGTCTCATAAGGCTGAAATCCAGACTTCAGCTGGTCTGAATGCCTTTCTGAAGCTCAGCATCCTCTTTCAACTCATGTGGTTGTAGGACGGAGGTCTCTGGTTTCCTGTTGACTTTTCTCCAGGGATCACATTTAACCCCTAGAGGCTGTCCTCTGGTTCTTACATCTCCAAAGCCAGCCACAAAATTTCACATTCCTCAGATCTCTCTAACCTCGTTTAAGGGTTCACCTGGTTATCAAGACCATCCAGGAAAATTTTTATAAACTTTTTGATAAAATTTTGATAAGCTTTTTGATAAAACAAAATCTCCTGATTAGGGGCCTTAATTACATTTGCAAAATCCCTTTTGCCATGTAACTTAAGATAACCAAGGGAGTGATACCCCACTATATTAACACTTTTCTGCTTACATTCAAGGGGAGGTTATATAAAGTGTGTGCACACATACCAACCTAGTCAGAAGACACATATACCATCTTAATTCAGAGGGCTTAACAGAAGTTGTGATGGCTGTAATCTTGAGTTGGCCCTTCCCAGGAGGCCAGCTTTTAATCAACCTTTGCCACTTCTTGGTTTTATTTTCCTCTGTTTGGGTTTCAGAAGGAGTAGCTCTTCAAAATATACAAGGTCTTGAGTTTCTGGATTTTCTAGTGTGCTTTAGTCTTGGCTAAAATTTGACCAATTCTTTCTGATCTCATCTCTTTCTTGTCTAAAGTTGTAAGCTCATCAGGGCTCTTACAGCAGGTGAAAGTTTTACCAAATGTTTTACCTCTGCATTACAGGGACTTCCATCCCTCCAGTCTCCAAAGACCCATGTTTTATTTTTTTATAGAAGAAGCTCCATTTTTTGAACAGATACATTTATTTAGAATAGGCTGGACATGCTGCGGTATAACAAGTGGCTTTAAAACCTCAGTGGCTTTCAGCAATAACATTTTATGACCTGCCCCTGCAACACATCATCCCGGGGCTGCTGCATCTCCACTCTGATACCCAAGCTGATGAACAACTTCTGTATGGGACAGTGCCAGCTTTCATGGCAGAGGGGAAAAGAGATGTGGCTAGCTCTAAAACTTCTGCCTGAAGTGACAAATATCATGCCAACTCACATTTCAGGTCAAAAGCAAGTGACTATCCCTGTGTTCAACGGGATGGAGATGTGTAATTCTATTGCAGATATTGGTAGCACAGACAGGGAAATCAGAACATTTGGTAGGCAGTAATACAATGGAATACTTCCATTTCTCTATGAAAAGGCATTTAATCAATTTTAGGATGAGACTAGGATGCTAGCTCCCTATCTGGTTTCCTTCCTTCCAGTATCTCTGTTGAGCAATACACTTTTGCAACTTAGGAAGCAAGGCTGAGATCCTTCTTAAAGGAGGGAGCAGAATCATCTTTTTTGGTTAGGAATTCTGAATCTTCTGTGCCACCCAGATTCAGGCACTGTTAAACCTTCTAACTTATGTGTCTGCTTAACAGGGCACTCTCAGTAATAGCCTGCATTCTTTGCCTTACAATATTTATCTTTGTCTATCTTTGGTTTACACATATGACTTACATAATTTATGTATTCATTATACCGACTGTTTTTTGAATGACAGAGAGGATCTGGGTATCAAAATGTGAAAGATCTTAGCTATTTTTGCAGCATCTATAGCCTAATTGGCATTTCTGCAGATCAACTTTCCAAGAGCCTATAGGGATATGTCAGGGCTTTAATTGCTTTCTAGATTTTCATGATGATTGACTGCATATTAGTCAGTGTACAGTCAGGAAAAGAGAAAAACAAGAGTGTGATAGATGCTCTTACTATGGGAAGCACAGCTGAAGGTGCAAGAATGAAGGACAAGTTCTTGATGGTAGGAAGGCAAAACAGTACTGACACTGTGATGTTTGAACTGAGATTTAAAGGGTGAGGATGTACTTCCCAGGTGAAAGTGTAAGAATTATGGAGGTGAGATTGGAAATTACCAGCACAGAACAACAGGTATGAAGACTTGGGAAGCAGTTTAGTGTGGTGGTTAAGAGTTTAGGCTTCGGAGTTGGGCTGGTTTGGGTCTGAATGTCAGATCTAAGGATTACAAGCGGAGAAATCCTGGACAAATCATTTAGTACGTGGGGCCCTAATCTCCTCTTTTGTAGGATGATTGTAATGATGTTCCAACCTTAAAGGGGAGTTGTGAAAATTAAAAGAGAAAATGTGCATTAGTTATTATTAGGGATCTCAAAATAAATGATCACAATCACTTTTAATAAGAGCATGAAAATATAACTGAGTAAGGTGTTACCAGGCAAACGGAGTAGATTCGTGTGTGGGTAGAATGAATGTACAGCATGGTGACCCAGAGTTGGGGGAGGCAGGAGATAGAAGCTGAAGCTAAATATGGAAGTTGTAAAGTTTCCAGTGTCTTTTGAAATGTGGGTTTTAGACTTTATATAAAAGCAAAAAAGAATGATAGAAATAACTAACAAGAGAAATAACATGGTCAAATTTGTGCATAGAAAGTGCATTCTATAACAGTGTGGAGGATGAACTGGCAGGGGTAGACCGTGGGAAGGGTTGTGGCCACGGGGAGGCTGTCTTAAAGCAGGGACGCTAGTGTATTAATCCATTTTCACACTGCTATAAATAACTACCTGAGACTGAGTAATTTATAAAGAAAAGAGGTTTAATTGACTCACAATTCAGCATGGCTGGGGAGGCCTCAGGAAACTTAATGTGGCAGAAAGTGAAGGGGAAGCAGGGCGTGTCTTACAGGGTGGCAGGAGAGAGAGAGAGAGAGAGAGAGAGAGAGAGAGAGAGAGAGAGAGAGGAAGTACCACACTTTCATCCATCAGATCTTGTGAGAGCTCAGTGTCATGAGAACAGCATGGGGGGAATCTGAATCCAGGCCTCCACTCTCTCTGAGATGCAAGAACAATCCAATATCACCCTTGTACAACAGAACCTGTGACTTACTTCTAGCCAATAAGACATAGCAATGGTAACAGGAGGTCACTCCCTTGACCATATAAGACTTCATCTTAGCATACTGGACTGGAAGAGACTCTCCCTTGCTGACTTTGAAAAAGAAAGCTGCCGTGTTTCAAAACAGGGTTGAATGGCAGCAACCTGAGTACAGCCTCAGTTGTATGCAACCTGAGGACAACTCCAATGGTTTCCAGATGCTGGAAGCAGCCTCTAGCAGCCTTCTTGTTTCCTTCAGTCAACAAGAAAACAAGAAAACAGGGACTTCAGTCCTATAGCCATAAGGACACTGATTCTGCCAACAACCTGAGGGATTTTCGAAGCAGATTTTTCCTATTCAAGCTTCCAGAGAAGAATGCAGCCTGGCCAACATCTTGATACAGCCTTGTGATATTCTAAGCAGAGGACCCAGCTAAGCCATGCTTAGATTCCCGACCAGTGGAAACTCTGAAATAGTGAATGTGTGTCTCCCAAAGCCACTAAGTTTTTGATAATTTGTTACGCACCATAGAAAACCAGTACACAGAACTAGGGATACTCCTTGCTTCTCTAATACTCTTTGCCTTTGGATCTAGTTTCCCCATATTCAATCCAATATCACCATAACAAACCATTCTTCTATTTAAATTAGCCAGAGCCAGTGCCTGATACAGCTTCCCTGATCCTGAAACCCTAAAAAACATACAAAAGAGTACTGGGAGTTTTGCGTGGTGAGTTTTCTTTTTTCAACATTTCCCCTGACTTGTGGGGCTTACAATTTGATGTGAGATTTGGGTGACACAGAGTGAAACCATATCAGCTAGTTAGGAGAGTGGCCTATGGCCCAGGTGAGAGATGAAGTGGCTTGACCTGGGAGTATTTACGGCCATGGGGAGGCTGATATGCTAGAGATTCAGACTGATGAGGAGAAAACCTACTAGTGTCCTGTAAAGGAGTCCTAGAAGTATTTGGGGGCCGCTAATCTTTACTAATTAGGGATATAGACAGCCCAGAAATGAGCTATTACTGTCTCCACTCTCAGGAGTAAAAATCAACTCTTTGAAGAATGATAGCTTGCTTTCATTAGTCAGGGTGGACTCTTCTCTCAGTGTTGTAATAAACACACCCCAATCATCAGCAGCTTAACACAGTCGTGTTTACTAATTGCCATCACCATATGATGGCCAGTTTTTTGTGTCATCTTGTCTAGGTTATTCAATTAAACAGTGCCCAGTTATTCAATTAAACACTAACTCAGATGTTGCTGCACGGGTACTTTGTAGATGTAATTAAAATCCATAATCAGTTGGCTTTAACTGGGGGAGACTATCCTAGATAACCTTAACCTGATTCTTTCAGTTGAAAGGCCTTAAGAATAGAGTTGACAATTTCCTCTAGAAGAATAAATCCCACTTATCTAATAGTAGTTTTGCTAGTATTCAATAGCACAGTAGTGTGACTACAGTTAACAATATTGTATATTTCAGAATACCTAGAAAATAAGATTTGAGATGTTCCCAACATTTCAAATAAAAGTTGGAATGATAAACATTTGAGGTGATGGATATTCTAATTATCCTAATTTGATCACTACACATTGTATGCATGTATCAAAATATCACATGTACTCCATAAATATGTCTAATTATTATGTATCGATTAAAAAAGAAAAAAAAGAAAAATCCCACCTGAGGACTGAAGCTTCAGCTTGTGCTCGAAACTTCCATCCTGTCCTTCCTGATGGCCTGCCCTAAGGATTTCAGATGCTTCTAGGCAGGCCCCACAATGGTATAAGCCAATTCCTTGCAATGCATGTTTTAATATATATCTCCTACTAATTCTATTTCTCTGGTTGAATGCTGACTGATAGAACCGTCCAATTAGCTGGGCGTGGTGGCTCACACTTGTAATCCCAGCACTTTGGGAGGCCGAGGCGGGTGGATCATGAGGTCAAGAGATTGAGACCATCCTGGTCAATATGGTGAAACCCCATCTCTATTAAAAATACAAAAGTTAGCTGGGCTTGGTGGCTCACACTTCCAGTCCCAGCTACTCAGGAGGCTGAGGCAGAAGAATTGCTTAAACCCGGGAGGCAGAGTTTGCAGTGAGCTGAGATCGTGTCCCTGCACTCCAGCCTGGCAACAGAGAGAGAGAGACTCTCTCAAAAAAACTAAACAAAACAAAAACAAAAAACTGTCCAGCGAGGATAGTGAGGGAGTTGAAACTTGGCTCCATGGAGTCTTTCAGGGACCCAAGCTCCTTCTGTCCCATGTTTCTGTTATTTTCTAGGGTCTCAGAATTTTCCATTGGATTTTTTTTGGTTGGTGAGTTGAAGAAGAGAATAAAGCATAGAGAAGGTACACCACTCTAAACTCTTGTCCTAGAGGTGATAATAGCACTTCTGGAAGTTGATACTCCATTGGCAAAAACCAGTGTTATCACCATCAAGGGGCCTGGGAAATGTAGTCTAACACTGTGCTCAGGAAGAAGGTGATGACTCAGATGCTAGTGGGCACTAGCAATGTTGACCCATCTCTCAAGACAGTGCAAGTGCACTGGCCCTTTCCCCTTCCCTTTGTGTAGTTCAGCTTCAAGCCAGCTTGGTCTTTCCAGGCCATGGGTTGGATTCCTTTTGCCGGTTGTCTGTTAGATACCCAAATTCTTCAGAGCAAGAGGCTGAGGGATGCATCCAACTTGAGATGTCAAGCAAAATGATTGAGATTGAATATGGGGAAACTAGATCCAAAGGCAAAGAGTATTAGAGAAGCAAGGAGTATCCCTAGTTCTGTGTATTGGTTTTCTATGGTGCGTAACAAATTATCAAAAACTTAGTGGCTTTGGGAGACACACATTCACTATTTCAGAGTTTCCACTGGTCGGGAATCTAAGCATGGCTTAGCTGGGTCCTCTGCTTAGAATATCACGAGGCTGTATCAAGATGTTGGCCAGGCTGCATTCTTCTCTGGAAGCTTGAATAGGGAAAATCTGCTTCAAAAATCCCTCAGGTTGTAGGCAGCATCAGTGTCCTTATGGCTATAGGACTGAAGTCCCTGTTTTCTTGTTTTCTTGTTGACTGAAGGAAACAAGAAGGCTGCTAGAGGCTGCTTCCAGCATCTGGAAACCACTGGAGTTGTCCTCAGGTTGCTGCCATTCAACCCTGTTTTGAAACACGGCAGCTTTCTTTTTCAAAGTCAGCAAGGGAGAGTCTCTTCCAGTCCAGTATGCTAAGATGAAGTCTTATATGGTCAAGGGAGTGACCTCCTGTTACCATTGCTATGTCTTATTGGCTAGAAGTAAGTCACAGGTTCTGTTGTACAAGGGTGTAACTCATTGTTGGTGATCACCTCGGGATGTATCCACCACACTGTGTCACAGAGATGGAACATAGTAGGTGCATAAATGAATGTTTGTTGAAGAAGTGAATGAGAAGAGTGAATCTGCTGAAACCAGATCTGGGAAAACACTGGAGACAGGGTTTCTGTTTTCATGCCTTCCCAGCACTCATTCACATAGGCATGAGATGTTGTAAAAATGGGAGATATTAATAACAGAATGGACCCTTATAATTTTGGATCCTAATTCTTATCCTGCACCTGTCCCCAGATATAGGAAGATCATGCACAGAATTGGGCAACAAGGTCTTGGGGTGGGGGTGGGGGTGTTAATGCAAACTGCCTTGCAAAATGATGAGAACATCAGGTAATTGCCAAGGTAAATGGGATAAGACTCCTGATATCATGGTACTTGCTGTGTAAGGTCAGCACTATCACTGTAATGAAGATGATAATTAGACTGGATTTCCACAATCACATCAGCTCTGCCTATAGACATATGAAAGCCAAATCCCAAGGGCAACTCAATTCCCTCTGTGGTTGAATTTTCTCCTTCTCTACGCATAAGAGTTTTTCTCTTTTTAGGCTTTTCTTGGGAAAGTCAGTTACAATCGGAGGTGCCATCTGTCTTTCTGGCTTCAAGCAGAATAACTTCATTTAAAATTGTGGCAAACTTTCTTCTGCACTGTTTTCAGCTTGTGCCATAGATGAAAGGAGCTGGCAAGGAGGGTTGTCTTGGAAGCAGAACTGGAGACCAGGATGTGAGTACTCACAGTTTTGGGGAAATGACCCCAGGAAGCACCAGTATTGTGTAGGGAAGTGGGACAGGAAAGGAAAGAAAGCACATACAGATGTGTTCAGGAACTGGTTAGCACAGTCTGTACTGAGGCACAATCTCACTGGCCAGCCTGAGAGACTGTAAAACATGCCCCAGAGTCATCTCAGTGAAAGGGCAAGGTATCTGGGACATTTATCACCAATTCTTGTCCATGAATCCTTGAAGAAAGCCCCCCATGAGCATTATTTTCCTGGGTCCTATATGATGGGACATCAATGGTATCTGGGAAACGGTCTCTCAGGTGGTAACTACTTAGAGTCTGACTGGTTTCTAGGCAAGAAAGAAGCACCAATCTACAGAACTTACCTTTTTGTTTGTTGCTAGATTCAGTTTGTTAATATTTTAATATTTTTCGTGTCTGTGTTCATGAGAGATATTGATCTGTAGTTTTCCTTTCTTACGATGTCTATCTTGCTTTGGGACCAAGGTAATGCCAGCCTCATACAATGAATTGGGAAGTTTTCCATGCTTGTCTATTTTTAGAAAGAGTTTGTGTCGTATTTTCTTCCTTAAAAGTTTGATAGAATTTGCCAGTGAAGCCATCTGGGCCTGGGCTTTTTCATGTGGGAAGATTTTAAATTACTAATTAAGTTTCTTTACTTGATATATGTCTATTCAGATTTTCTACTCTTTCTCGAGTTAGTTTGGGTAATTTGTGTCTGTCTAGGAATTTGTTCGCTTTACCTAAGTTGTATAATTTTTTGGCATAAATTTGTTTATAATGTTCCCTTAATTGTTTTAGTTTCTGTAGGTTTGTAGTGATGTTCCTTTCTTCATTCTTGACTTGGGTAGTTTGTGTCTTTGTTTGTTTGTTTGTTTGTTTGTTTGTTTTCTCAGTCATTCTAGCTAAATGTACATACATTTTGTTGATCTTTTCAAAAGAATTGACTTTTAGTCTTATTGGTTTCCTCTATTTGCTTTCCTGCTTTTGTAATTTATTGATTTCCTGTTCTTATCATTACTATTATTGTAGTCTACTTCTTTTGTGTTTGATTTATTCTTCCTCTTCCAGATTCTTAAAATAGAACATTAGATTATTTATTTTTGATATGTTTTTTCTTTTTTAGGATGCATTCAAAACTACTAATTATCATCCAAACACTGTTTTAGCTGTATGCTGTGCATTTTTATATGTTGTGGTTTTATTTGTTTTATTTCTCTTGTAATTTCTTCTTTGCCCTGTGGGTTACTTAGAAGTGCATTGTTTAATGTCCAAATATTTGAGAATTTTCTTGATTGCTTTCTGCTGTTGATTTCTAATTTAATTTCATTATGGTCAGAAAACATACTTTGTATAATTTCCAATTTTAAAATTTATGGAAACATGTTTTATGGCTTAGTATATAATTTATCTTGGAGGATATTCCATGTGTGTGTGTGATTGAAAATAATACATTTTCTTATTGTTAGTTGGAGTGTTCTATTATGTCGGTTAGGTCAAGTTGGTCTTGTTATTCTATCAGTTACAGAGAGAGAAGCATTGAAATTTCCAACTACAATTATTAAATTATTTGTCTTTTCAGTTCTATTAGTCTATTTTTCCCTATATTAATGTAACCACTACAGGTCTCTTAAGATTACTTTTTAACATATAAAGCTAAAACACTGTTGTACAGCAGAAGGAATCCTCAACTGAGATGTTAGACAAACCTGGATTTGAACCTGGGTTCTATTATTCACTATGTAAATGGCTGTGAGGAAATGTTTCCTTTTCCTTAGGCTCAAGTTTATTTTGTGTGTGTGTGTCATAATAAAAAGCACATAGTATAAGATTTACCATCTTAACCATTTCTAAGTGTACAGTTATTAGTGTTAAGTGTATTCACATTGTTGTGTTACAGATTTCCAGAATGTTTTCATCTTGCAAAACTGAAACTCTGTACCCACTGAACAATGACTTCTCATTTCCCTATCCCCAGCCTCTGGCAACCAGCATTTTACTTCCTGTTTCATTAAGTTTGACTACTTTAGATATCTCATATAAATGAAATCATAAAGTATTTGTCTTTCTGTTACTGGATTATTTTACTTAGCGTAATGTCCTCGAGGTTCATCCACATGGTAGATGAACCTTGGATCCTTTTTATTTTAAGGCTGAATAATCTTCTATTGTCTGTGTGTACTACGTTTTGTTTATCAGTTCATCCACTGATAGACAGTTGGGTTGCTTCCACTCTCAGCTATCGTGAATAGTTCTGCTATAAACATGGTATGCAAATATCTCTTCATGAGCCTGTTTTCAATTATTTTGCATATAAATCCAGAAGTGGAATTACTGAATCATTTGGTAATTCTGCTTTTAATTTTTTGAGGAACCCCCATACTATTTAGCCTAGTGACTGCACCATTTTACATTCCCACCAACAATGTACAAGTATTCCAAGGCAAAGATCTCCACATCCTTGCCAACACTTGTTATTCTCTCTTTCTCTCTCTTTCTCTTTCTCTCTGTGTGTTTCAATAGAAGTTATACTAATAAGTGTGAGGTAGAATGTCATCGTTTGACGGTTTTGATTTTGATTTGTATTTTCTGGATGATAAGTGATGCATCTTTAAATATGCTTGTTGGCCATTATATATTATCTTTGGAGAAACGTCCATTCAAGTTCTTTGCCCATTTTAAAATTAGGTTATTTTTGTTGTTGTTGACTTACAAAAGTTAATTATATACAGTCACGCACCACATAACAATGTTTGGTGAATGATGGACCACATATACAACAGTGGTCCCATGAGATTATAACGGAGCTGAAAAAGTCCTCTTGTCTAGTGGCATGCAGCCACTTTAAAACCATAGCACAGTGCATTACTCATGTGTTTATGGTGTTTAAACAAATCTACTGTGCAAACAAACCTATGCAACTGCTGGTAGTATGAAAGTATAACATAATTTTGTACAGTACATGATATTTGATTATGATAATAAATAACTATGTTGCTAGTTTATGTATTTACCACACTATACTTTTTATTGTTATTTTAGAATGTACTTCTTCTACTTATATAAAAAATGTTATATAAAGTTTGGTGACATGTGCCTATAGTCCTAGCTACTTAGGATGGAAGGAACTCCTTTAAGCCTAAGAGTCAAGACCAGCCTGGGCAACATAGCAAGAGTTTCTCTCATTTTTTTTTAACAGTTAACTATAAAAGAGCTTCAGGCAGGTCCTTCAGGAGATTGTCCAGAAGAAGGTATTGTTAGCACAGGAGGTGACAGCTTTATACAGGTTAGTGCCCTTTCCAGTGGGACAAGATGTGGAGGCAAAATAAAGTGATATTGATTATCCTGACCCTATGTAGTACTAGGCTAATGTGTGTATTTATGTCTTAGTTTTTAAGAAAATGTTTAGAAAGTAAAAAACTATTAAGTACAAAAAAGCTTATAGAATGAAGATGTAAAGAAAGAAAATATTTTTATTTAGCTGTACAATGTGATTGTGTTTTAAGCTGAGTGTTATTACAAAAGAGTAAAAGTTAAAAGTGGAAAAGTTTATAAACTAAAAAGTTACAGTAAGATAAAGTTGTTACTATTTAAGAAAGAAATTTTCTTTGTAAATTTAGTGTAGCGTAAGTGCACAGCGTTTATGAAGTCCACAGTAGTGTACAGTAATGTCCTAGGTCTTCATATTAACTCACCACTCATTCACTCACTTACTCAGAGCAACTTTCAGTCCGGCAAGCTCCACTCAAGGTAAATGCCCTATACAGATGTAACATGTTTTTGTCTTTTGTACCGTAATTTTACTGTACCTTTTCTGGTTAACTATATTTAGATACACAAATACTTACCATTGTGTTACAATTTCCGCCAGTATTCAGGACAGTCACATGCTGTTTATAGATTTGTAGCCTAGGAGCACTAGGCTACCCCAGAGAGCCTAGGTGTGTAGTAGGCTATACCATCTAGGTTTACATAAGTGCGTTCTATTATACTTGCTGACAGAATTGACTAATGATACATTTCTCAGAACGTATCCCTGTTGTTAAGCAACACTTGACTGTACTATGGAGTTTAACCCATTATCATTTTCACCATCTGACTGACACAGCTCTAGTGGTAACGAACTCCCTCAGCTTTTGTTTATTTGGGAAAGTCTTAATTTCTCCTTTGTTTTTGAAGGGCAGTTTTGTCAAATATAGCATTCTCGATTGACATTTTTTTCTTTCAGTACTTTGAGTATATTATCTCACTGCCTTCTGGCCTTTGAGGTTTATGGTGAGAAATTTGCTAATAACCTTATAGAGGCTTGTGTATAATACGTTGCTTTTCTCTCTACTTCCACGATTCTTTTTTGTTTGACTTTCAGCAGTTTGACTATATTGTGTTTGATGTGGGTCTCTTATTGAGCTTGTATTAGTACACTCATTTCTATCCTCAAATGTGGGAAGTTTTTGGCCATTATTCAAATAAGCTCTCTGTCCCTTTCTTTCTCTCTTCTTTTTCCAGGGCTTCCATAATGTATACAATGATGTCTTATAACTTCCTTATTTCCTTCATTTTTTTTTTTTCTTCTCTGACTTGGTAATTTGAAGTGACCCACCTTCAAGTTCATTCTGCTTCATCTAGCCTGCTGTTGAACTCTTTTAGTATATTTTTAAATTCAGTTATTGCATTGTTCAGCTCCAGAATTTTTGTTTGGTACTTAAAAAAGTAGTTTCTATCTTTTTATTGATGGTATTATTTTGCTTGTGTATTATTTTCCTGATTTCATTTAGTTGTCTATTGTGTTCTCATTTAGCTTTTGTGAGTATCTCTAAGAAAGTTGTTTTACATTCTTTGTCGAGTGTCTCAGAGACCTGCATTTCTGTAGGGCCTGTTTCTGGAGATTTATTTTATTCTTTTCAGTGGGCCATGTTTCCCTGTTCCTTTGTATGCTTTATGACCTTTTTTGTTGAGACTTGGGCATTTGAAAAAACAACTGCCTCTTCCAGTGTTTATGGACTAGTTCTGTGCAGAGGAAGATCTTCGTGACATAGAGGCTGTGTGTCCTTTCAGAGTTTTTCTAGGGATGTGTCTTGCACATATGCTTTTATTTCAGTTCCTGGTAACAATAATTTGCTGCTTTAAATGTCTTAATTTCCCCAAGAAAGTTATCCCTGCTTCTTCTCCGAAGCCTAGGGTTGCTATTTTATTCTTCTGCCCATAATGTTTTGCTCCCTGGTGCCCACAGGACTTCAGATTCCCTGAAGTTTTAACGCATCATGGCACCCACTGCTGCTTTCAGCAACATACAATCTGGTATTCAAACTATGCTACTATTCCCATGAGTCCTTAAAGTCAGGTGAGACAGCAACTTGTCTCTAGAGCAGCCCTCAGACAATGTTGTAAAGCAGAACGTTGCGTGAGTTCCAAATTTTTCTTCCATCCCAAAGGAGGAGCTTGGGAGCTGGGCAGTTTTCCTCATATTATGTCATGTCATGCCATGCTATAATGAGTAGCGGAAGGAGGAAGGGTGAGCAAAAGACAAATTTCCTATCACTTTGGATGAAGTTTTTCTTGATTAGTGGTTTTCTTAGTTGTAGAAGCTTCTTAATAGATTTTTTTGTAGTTCTCACAAAGTTATTAGGTCGGTATGTTGTTGTTAGTTCAGTGTTTTCATGGGAGAACAAGGGCCTAGAGCTTTCTAGTCCATTATCTTCTAGCCATGCTGACCTCCTTCTTATTCCTGAAATGTGACACACATGCTTCCATTTCTAGACTTTGTTTATGTCTTCCCTTTCTCTGCAATATTCCTTCCTTCAAGTTGTTGCCTAAATGTCAACTTTTTGGAGTGGCCTTCTCTGATTAACCTGTTTAAAAGTGCAACCCTGGCCAGGTGCAGTGGCTCAAGCCTGTAATCCCAGCACTTTGGGAGGCCGAGGCGGGTGGATCACCTGAGGTTAGGAGTTCGAGACCAGCCTGGCCAACATGGTAAAACCCCGTCTCTACTAAAAGTACAAAAATTAGCTGGGCATGGTGGCAGGTGTCTGTAATCTCAGCTACTCGGGAGGCTGAGGCAGGAGAATTGCTGGAACCCAGGAGGCGGAGGTTGCAGTGAGCCGAGATCGTGCCATTGCACTCTAGCCTGGGCAACAACAGTGAGACTCCGTCTCAAAACCAAGCAAGCAAGCAAGCAAGCAGAAAAACTGCAACCCTTCTTCTCCCTCGCACTTCTTATTTCCCTTCCCTACCTTTTTTCTGTAGATTATCAGAACCTTCTAACCATCTTTATTTTTTACTTCTTTGCATACTGTCTGTCTCCCTTCACTAAAATATAAACATCAACGGGCAGGAAATAGTTTTTCTGTTTTGTTTATTGCTGTATTCAGGGTGCCTAGAATAAAGCCTGACATGTAATAGATGTTTAGTAAACACTAATTGAATAAATAGACTACTGTTCAAAAATTTGATTCAGAAAAGGAGCTTTATTTTCATTTGTATATCCTTAAATTATAGGTCAGAATTTGACCTGGAAGGGCCAAACGTTCACATACTAATGATAGTATAGTCAAAACCACCTCCTCTCCTTAATAAACATTTGTTTGGAAGGACTTTATGGGTGGTTTGCACCAAATAGTCAACAGCAGACCATCTCTACTTTGCAGAATAACCAATAACGTATAGCAATATAGGAAAATCAAATCAATGTTTTATGAGCCTGAAGAGACCTTGATGTCAAATTGACAAGGGTAGTATGAGAAAGAAAATCTGTGGGCTGATCTCACTTTACAAACATGAGTAATTCTAAATAAAATATTAGTAAATAAATTCTAATTTTATTTAACAAAATGAAATATCAGACATTTTAAAGACAGGCCAAGGATCAGCTATTCTAGCTCCGTGATCTGCAGCTGTGTGGCCTTGAAAAACCCAGCCTCTTAGAGCCTCAACTTCCTTGTTTATAAAACGGGATTGATAAATTCGATCTCATTCATCCTCATTTTCATTCATTCTGTTTTTATTAGTGTACTCATTGTGTGCCATCTATTGCTCTTGGCACTGGTGACTACAGTTGGCATAGTTGCTGCCATGGAGGCCTGGGAAGATTAAATAAGTGAAAATGTCAACATAGCATGGTCCCTAGCACATACTAGTTGCTTAAAAAGGTTGTACTGCGGCCGGGTGAGGTGGCTCACACCTGTAATGGCAGCACTTTGGGAGGCTGAGGCAGGTGGATCACGAGGTCAGAAGTTCAAGACCAGCCTGGCCAATATGGTGAAACCCTGTCTCTACCAAAAAAAAAAAACAAAAAAAAAACACAAAAATTAGCCGGGTGTGGAGGCATCCACCTGTAGTCCCAGCTACTCGGGAGGCTGAGGCAGGAGAGTCGCTTGAACCCAGGAGGCGAAAGTTTCAGTGAGCAGAGATCGCGCCACTGCACTCCATCCTGGGCAACAGAGGGAGACTCCGTCTCGAAAAAAAATTGTAATAAAAAAAAGTTGTACTCCTTTCCCATATTCCATCCTTCGGCCAAACTCTCAATAGTATCACTAATTTATTTTCATACTCATTCTCATCTCTCAAATATCACCTCTAAAGGGAGCCCATCCCTGATCGTCCATCAGAATAACTTGGCATCCCTTTTTATTATACGATTCCATTTTGTTTTCTTCATAATACTTTTTACTTTCTAAAATTATCTTTAAAATGTTTTTCCCTTTCACTGACTGTGTCTCTGTGAAAATGTAAGCTTCACGAGAGCAAGTACCTGTTTTTTGTTTGTTTGTTTGTTTTCCTCTCTGTTGCATCCCCAGCACCTAGGAGGTGCCTAGCATATAGACAAGTCCTACGCATATGCCGCGGATAAGATGATTGAAGGCCTGCCTCTTTTTGCTCTCTGTAGCTCCTGTGTCAGGCACAGGGTTTGGCCCAGAGCAGGGCTCAGAAAGTTTGTAGAATGGAATTCTTGTAGTGTAGTAGCTGCAGGGTCTCCTTCCTAACTGGTTCAAGTGTAAACTGCTTCTCCAGAAAGGTCTGCAGTGCTGGAGAAGTGTTGAATATGACATTAGTAAAAGAGTTTCTGTGCGGAGACAGCTCTCCCACCTCAGAGGTTATAGATATAAATAACCGCAGGGAATGTGGGCCCTGCATTTCCCACATTATGCTTCTGTGCAAAACCCTGCTTTTTCTCTGCTTAGGACTCTGGCCTCCTGGGAAGATTGGCAAGTACAGGAGAGCACGTGTACAGAACAATTTCCAAAGTTTGTTTTTTCTTCCAGAATATCATTGGCTCCTCACGCAAATCCTGGGAGGTATTGGGTGATTTTGCTTATTTTACAGCAGCTGAGGGCTAGGTGACTTGAAAGCCCTCATCTACTTGCGTGTCACTCAGCAAGTAGATGGTGAAATGGAACCCTGTTAATCGCACTTTTCCACTTTAATTTCCATCTTGTGGCGTAAGATGGGACTAGAAACCTGCTCAAGTATGTGTTCAAGTTATAAGGGTAAGTACCATGGAAAAGAAAGAGAAAACGATTTTTTTTGTTGTTTTAAAGAGTTTGTTAAAGATTTTAAGAGAGAGAATGAATAATAAAAGGTTTAAAAGTGCCTCAAAATTACTCTTTTAGGTGGAGAAAAATACCAGGTGCTCTATATAATGCATCAAGAACAGCAGGCATTAGATAATATTATCTGTCAAGAAAAAGTTAGAAAACTTTTAGTAAGTAATCATGATTTTTTAAAAACTTTTTTTTTTTAGTAGGAAGTAAAAACTTTGAAGAACACACAAAATATCCCAACTGATTTGACAATGCTTGAGAGAAAAGAAGCTGAGGTGTAAAAAATTTCAACAATGATTTAACACAAAGTGTTAAATTTATCTGGCAAATCTATATTCTAGCACATTGCTTCCATAATCATTCAGTGCTCACAACAACCTTGCAACGTAGGGATTCTTGCCTCCACTTTGGAGTGAGAACATTGTAGCTCAGAGTGCAAAGTGATTTGTCTAAGTACACATAATTAATAAGGACAGGGCCAGTGTTTGAGATACCCTTTCACAAAGCTGTTTTGGTCAAAAGTCTCATGAGCTACCTGAAAAAGACCCAGCCATTAGCTCTGGGCTCATAGTGTGGGTTTTGTGATGCATTATCAGGGCAAAGTGACATGGAGGAGTACCGCCCTCATTCTCATGACCTGTGCAATGACACACGGGGCAAACAGTGATGGAGCTGTACAAACATCACAAAAGGAATGTGCTATATCTCAAGGTAGGTGGTATCAATGAAGACCCTCTGAGGAATTAAAAACTTTCTCACTTAAAAGAGATCAAGATTCTCACATAATTAACATATCAGCTCCCTTTTCCACAAGGAAGTGATTGGTCTGGAGTGGGTGAGTATAGGATATGGATCAGAGTGGGATGCAAAAGTGGATTGGAAGCCAGAATTAGGCGAAGAAAAGAAGTTAGAACTAGAGCTTTGACAGTGCCCCAGGTCTTCCTGCGTATGGTTTACCTCACCAATGCCCCAATGAGAAGAGTTTGGTTATATCTAAGCAGTCTACGTAATGTGACATGTGTATGCAATACATACGTGCATATAGGTGGAAACCTGTAGGCCCATGAGTACACACACACACACATACTTTCTCTCTGTCTCTCATTTAACTGCTTAGTAAACTATTTCTTCCTCTTTACATAGGGTGTGCCTTAGTCTGTTTGGGCTGCTATGACAGAATATGATAGACTGGGGAGTTTATAAACAACAGAAATGTATTACTTACAGTTCTGGAGTCTGGGAAGTCCAAGATCAAGCTGCTGGCAGATTTGCTGTCTGGCGAGGGCCTGCTTCATGGTTTATAGGTGGTTGTTTTTCTTGCTATAGCCACACATGGTGGAAGGGGTGAGGGAACTTTCTGGGATCTTATTTATAAGGGTATTAATCCCATTTATGAAGAAGACAGAGGAGGTGATCACACTCTTATGATCTAATCACCCCCAAAAGGCCCATCTCCAAATACTAACACATTGGGGATTAGGTTTAAACATATAAATTTTGGGGGCACACATTCAGTCTCTAGTAGGGTGGTTTCAATCCTTACGCATTAAAGTTTTCATTTGGGGAAGCAGCCTAACACAGGGCAGTGATTTTTAAATTTTTAACACTAAGAAAAATGCAAATTATATTTAAAAAATGCTCCTATATAAAACACACAGTTAGTACTTCGCTAATTCATATTTAATTGACCATTTCTTTTTCTTTTTACTTTTATTTTAGGTTCAGGCATACATAGGAAGGTTTGCTATATAGGTACATTGTATGTCACAGGGGTTTGGTGTACAGATTATTTTATCACCCAGGTAATAAGCTTAGTACCTGATAAGTAGTTTTTCCATCCTTACCCTTCTCCTTAAGGATGTCCCAATGTCTGTTGTTCCCTTCTTTGTGTCCATGTGTACCCAATGTTTAGCTCCCATGTAAAAGTGAGAACATGTGGTCTTTGTTTTATTTGTTTCTGTGTTAGTTTGCTTAGGATAATGGCCTCTAGCTTCAACTAGGTTGCTCCAAAGGACGTGACCTCGTTCTTCTTGGTGGCTGCATAGTATTCCGTGGTGTATGTATACCACATTTTTTTTATCCAGTCTACTGTTGATGAGCATTTAGGTTGATTTCCTGTCTTTGTTATTGTGAATACTGTTTTAATGAACATATGCGTGCATGTATCTTTATGGTAGAATGATTTATATTCCTTTGGATATATATACACCCAGTAATGGAATTGCTGTGTCAAATAGTAGTTCTGTTTTTAGCTCTTTGAGAAACCACCAAACTGCTTTTCACAATGGCTGAACTAATTTACACTCCCACCAGCAGTGTATAAGTGTTCCCTTTTTTCTGCAACTTCTTCAGCATCTCTTATTTTTTGACTTTTTACTGATAGCCATTCTAACTGGTGTGAGATGATATCTCATTGTGATTTTGATTTGCATTGCTCTAATGATTAGTGAAGCTGAGCATTTTTTCACATGCTTGTTGGCCACATGTATGTCTTCTTTTGAAAAGTATCTGTTCATGTTCTTTGCCCACTTTTTTAGAGGGTTGTTTGTTTTTTGCTTCTTAATTTGCTTAAGCTCCTTAAAGATTCTGGATATTAGAATTTTGTTGGATGCATGGTTTGTAAATATTTTCTCCCATTCTGTAGGCTGTCTGTTTACTCTGTTGATAGTTTATTTTGCAGTGCAGAAGCTCTTTAGTTTAATTAGGTCCCATTTGTCAATTTTTGTTTTTGTTGCAATTGCTTTTGGTATCTGCATTAAGAAATTTTTGAGGTTCTATGTCCAGAATAGTGTTTCCTAGGTTACTGTCCAGAGTTTTTATAGTTCTAGGTTTTACATTTCAGTTTTTAATCCATCTCGAATTGATTTTTATATATGGTGAAAGAAGGGGTGCAGTTTTAATCATCTGCATACGGCTAGCTGGTTATCCCAGCACCATTTATCGAACAGGGAGCCCTTTCCCCATTGCTTACTTTTGTAGACTTTTGTCAAAAGTAAGATGGTTTTAGGTGTGCAGCATGATTTCTTGTCTCTTTATTCTGTTCCATTGGTTTATGTGTCTGTTTTTGTACCACTACCATGCTGTTTTGGTTCCTGTAGGCTTATAGTGTAGTTTCAAGTCGGGTAAGGTGATACCTCTTGCTTTGTTCTTTTTGCTTAGGATTGCTTGGCTATTTGGTTCGTTTTTGGTTCCATATGAATTTTAATTTTTTTAAAGATTCTGTGGAGAATATCATTGGTAGTTTGATAGGAATAGCATTGACTCTATAAATTTCTTTGGGCAGTATGGTCATTTAAACACTATTGATTCTTCTTATCCATGAGCATGGAATAATTTTCCATTTGTTTATGTAATCTCTGATATCTTTGAGTAGTGTTTTGTAATTTTCATTATAGAGATCTTTCACCTTTCTGGTTAGCTGTATTCTTAGGCATTTTATTCTTTTTGTGGTAACTGTGAAAGGAACTGCATATCTTGATTTGGCTCTCAGTTTGGATGCTGTTGGTGTATAGGAATGCTACTGATTTTTGTACATTGATTGTTGTATCTTGAAACTTTGCTGAAGTTGTTTATAAGATCAAGGAGCTTTTGGACAGAGATTATGGGGTTTTCACATCTTCTGCAAACAGGGATAGCTTGACTTCCTCTATTTCTACTTGGATGCCTTTCATTTCTGTCTCTTGCCTGATTGCTCTGGCTAGGACTTCTAGTACTATGTTGAATAGGAGTGGTGAGATAGAGCATCTTTGTCTTGTTTCAGTTTCCAAAGAGAATGCTTCCAGCTTTTGCCCATTTCATTATGATGTTGGCTGTGGGGTTGTCATAGATGAGTTTTATTATTTTGAAGTATTTTCCTTCAATTTCTAGTTTGTTGAGAATTTTTAACATGAAGCGATATTGAGTTTTATTGAAAGCTTTTCTGCATCTACTGAGATGAACATGCGATTTTTGTTTTTAGTTCTGTTTATGTTATTGATTTATTGATTTGTATATGTTGAACCAAACTTGCATCACAGAGATAAAGACTACTTGATTGTGGTGGATTAGCTTTTTGATGTGCTGCTGGATTCAGTTTGTTAGCATTTTGTTGACGATTTTTGCATCTGTGTTAATCAAAGATATTGACCTGAAGTTTTCTTTCTCTGTGAGTGTCTGTGTCAAATTTTGGCATCAGAATGATGTTGGCCTCATATAATGAGTTAGTCGGGAGTCCTTTCTCAATTTTTTGGAGTAGCTTCAGTAGGTATGGTACTGGCTGTTCTTTGTATATCTGGTAGGATTCGTCTTTGAATCCATCTGTTCCTAGGCTTTTTCTGGTTGGTAGACTTTTATTACTCATTCAATTTTGAAACTTATCAGTCTGTTCAGAAATTCAATTTCTTCCCGGTTCGATCATGGGGGGTTTTGTTTCCAGAAATTTACCCATTTCTTCTAGGTTTTTTAGCTTGTGTGTCTAGAGGTGTTCATAGTAGTCTCTTAGGATTTTTTGTATTTCTGTGGGGTCAGTGGTAATGTCCTTTTTGTTATTTCTGATTATGTTTATTTGGATCTTCTCTCTTTTTTTAAAATTAGCCTAGCTAGTGGTGCATCTATCTTATTTATTATTTCAGAGAACCAACTTTTGAACTCATTGATCTTTTGTATGGCTTTTTGCACCTCAACTTACTTCAGTTCAGGTCTGATTTTGGTTATTTATTGTCTTCTGCTACCTTTGGGGTTAGTTTGCTCTTGTTTCTCTAGTTACTTTAGGTGTGATGTTAGGTTGTTAATTTGAAATCTTTCTAATTTTGTGATGTGGGTGTCTAGTGCTACAAACTTCCATTTTAACACTGCTTTGGCTGTGTCCCAGAGATTCTGGTATGTTGTATCTTTCTTCTCATTTGTTTCAAAGAATTTCTTGATTTCTGCCTTAATTTCATTGTTTACCTAGAAGTCATTCAGGAGCAGGTTGTTTAATTTCCATATAATTGAATGGTTTTGCACAATCTTTTGAGCATTGACTTCCATTTTTATTGTACTGTGGTCTCAGAGTGTTGTTAGTATAATTTCAGTTTTTTTTTAAATTTTCTGAGGATTATTTTATGGTTGACTGTGTGGTCAATTTTAGAGTATGTGCCATGTGCAGATGAGAAATATGTGTATTTTGTTGTTTTGGGGTGGAGAGTTCTTTAAATGTCTATTAGGTCCATTTGGTCAAGTGTGAAGTTCAGGTTTTAAATATCTTTGTTAGTTTCCTTCCTTGATGATCTGTCTAATACAGTCAGTGAGGTGTTGAAATCTCCCACTATTATTGTGTCATTATCTAAGTTTCTTTGTAGGTCTAAGAACTTGCTTTATGAATCTGGAAGCTCCTGCATTGGGTGCATATATATTTAGGATAGTTAGGTCTTCTTGTTGAATTGAATCCTTTACCATTGCATAATGTACTTTAAAAAAAATCATTGTTGGTTTCAAGTCTGTTTTGTCTAAAATTAGAATAGTAATTCCTACTTTTTTCTGTTTTACATTTGCATGGTAGGTTTTTCTCCATCCCTTTACCCTGAGCCCATAAGTATCACTGCATGTGAGGTGGGTCCCTTGAAGACAGCATTGGGTCTTGCTTCTTTATCCAACTTGCCACTCTGTGCCTCCTGATTGGGGCATTTAGCCCATTTACATTCAAGGTTAATATTGATATGTGCAGATTTGATTCTGTCATCATGTTCTTAGCTGGTTATTATGTAGACTTGTTTGTGTGGTTGCTTTATAGTGTCAATGGTCTATGTAATTGTGTTTTTTGTAGTGGATGGTAATAGTCTTTCCTTTCCGTATTTAGTACTCCCTTCAGGACCTCTTGTAAGACAGGTCTGATGGTAACAAATTCCCTTAGTGTTTACTTGTCTAAAAAGGATCTTATTTCCCCTTTACTTATGAAGCTTAGTTTGGCTGGATATGAAATTCTTGGTTGGAATTGCTTTTTTTTTTTTTTTTTTAAGAATGCTGAATATAGGCCCCTAATCTCTTCTGGCTTATAGAGTTTCTGCTGAAAGGTTTGGTGTTAGCATGATGGTGTTTCTCTTATAAGTAACCTACCCCTTCTCTCTAGCTGCTTTTAATATTTTTTTCTTTCATTTTGACCTTGGAGAATCTGATAACTGTGTTTTGGGATGGTTATCTTGTGCAGCACCCACAGGGGTTCTCTGCATTTCCTGAATTTGAATGTTGAACTCCCTACTAAGTTTGGGGAAATTTTCAAGAACAATATCCTCAAATGTATTCCAAGTTGCTTGCTTTCTCTCCCTCTCTGATTTCTTGAAGGTTTTGTTCATTCTTCTTTAATCTTTTTTCTTTACTTTTGTCTGACTCAGTTATTTCAGAGAACTGGTCTTTGATCTCTGAGATTCTTTTCTCAGTCTGGTCAATTCTGCTGTTAATACTTGCAATTGTAGTCCGAAGCTCTTGAAGTGAGTTTTTCAGCTCTATCAGATCAGTTTCCTTCTTTCTTAAAATGGACATTTTGTCTTTCATCTCCTGGATCATTTTATTGTATTCCTTGGAATCCTTGGATTGGGTTTTGACTTCTTCCTGAATGTCAGTGATCTGCATTTCTATCCATATTCTGAATTCGATTTCTGTCATTTCAGCCTGGTTAAAAGCCATTGCTGGGGAACTAGTGTGGTGGTTTGAAGGTAAGAAGACACTCTTGCTTTTTGAGTTGCCAGAGTCCTTGCACTGGTTCTCTCTCATTTGTGTGGGCTAATGTTTCTTCAGTCTTTGAAGTTGCTGTCCTTTGGATTTTGTATTTTTTGCTTTTATCTTCTTTGATGCCCTTGGAGGTTTCATTGTGTTGTAATCTGGGTTCAATAAACTGGCTTCATTTTTAGAAGATCTTAAGGGGCCATGGCTCAACTCAGCACTCTTAGGCCATGAGCTCTAACTCTAAGGGGCTGGTATTGAGCCCCTGGTTCTTTTGTCTGGTCTCTCGAGGTTAGGAACCTGCTGTGCTGGAGGGGCCAAGGTGTTCCAAGACTGTGACCACTGCACTCTGGTGAGTGGTGCTGACAAAATCACTTCACTGGGGTGGTGGCAGCATGATCTGTGCTTACTCATATGTGCCAGGAACAGTGGCAGTGTGGTGGAGTGCATGTTCATTGGCTCAAAAGTTTTCTTGACTCCTTCTGCTGGGTTGTTAGGTCCTGGTGTCCCTTGACTGAAGCTTCCAGAAGAGCAGAGCCGTTCCAATTATCCTGCTCATAGACTCAAAACTGTAGGGGACGAGGGAAAGCTTCCCCTTCACCCTTTGAAGGTTTGCTGAAAATCAACTTTGTCTTAGCCTTGTCCTCCTATCTTCCTCACCACCTGAGAAAGGAGAACCCTGTGGCTCTCCATACTACACATTGCTCTGTGCCCAGGGGTTCTGAGGTGGTGCCAGCCAGGATGGTCATAGCCATGCAGAGCACAAGGGATCAGGACTGGGCATCCAGGATTGGGACAAGGACCATGGTGTCCCCATGCTCCCTGGGCATGAGACCCCTAATTCTGGCTCAGGCTCCAGTGGGAGGAGGGTGCCTCTCCAGAGTCTGCAGAGTCTGGCTGATGCCCGCTGGAGACTTGGTCACTGCCTACTGGCCCAGTGCCTGCCCTGTCCCTCTGGCTGGGGGTCCAAAGGCAAGGCCTTATGACCCGGCAGTACCATGCAGTGCCAGAGCGAGTGCCCCCCCACCCGCCCTGCACAGAAGTCTTATTTTACCATTTCAAATCATAACAATTTCTTATGTCAAAGTCAGTCAGTGAGGACAGTAAGGCAGCTGCAGGGAGCTCATGATTTGAACTGAGGTTTATGAATGACTGTCATGTGTAGCCTCCACATCCTATTTAGTCCTGTATTTTGTTTTATGATTTAGTTGTCCGGTGTTGGGAAAGTTTTGAATCACATAGAAAAGCAGTTACAAATGGCAGGCCCTTAAAAACAAAACAAAACAAAACTATGGTTGACTCTTGAGCAATGTGAGAGTTAGGGGCACTGACCCCTCACACGGTCAAAAATCTACATAGAACTTTTGACTCTCCAAAAACTTAGCTACTAATAGCTGACAGTTCACCAGAAGCCGTACCAAGGATCTAACCTTGGAATTTCTTTTTTGTTTGTTTGTTTGATAAACATTACACTAAACCAAAGCCAGACACGTGAGCATTTAGGCTGTGCTATCCCCTACTGCTATCCCCTACTTGTGCTGACCAAGACCAGTGAAACATCATCTTGGCAGGAGAAATTTTGACAGGAAAAAGGAATTGTAGTCATTCTTTTAAACCAAAGTCATAGCCATCTCAACAAAAAATGTAATACTGTTTTATACAGAAAAGATTTTATACAAACTAGTACAAACACACCTAATGTGCTGTAAGGAAAGGATACCTTTTAGTCTACTTCTAGCACACAGCATATATTCATTCAGGTCCAGTATAAGAGGAATGCCAGTGTAGAAAGCATTTTTTTGTTGCCTTCATGACACTAACAAATAAAACGTACACAGTATATAATACTCCAATCTCTAAGGAGGCAATTAGAATAAATTCCAAGGTTAGGCCGGGTGCGATGGCTCACACCTGTAATCCCAGCACTTTGAGAAACGGAGGCAGGTGGATCACCTGAGGTCAGGAGTTCGAGACCAGACTGGCCAACATGGTGAAACCCCGTCTCTACTAAAAATACAAAAATTTAGTTGGGTATGATGGTGCACGCCTATAATCCCAGCTACTTGGGAGGCTGAGTCAGGAGAATCGCTTGAACCTGGGAGGCAGAGGTTGCAGTGAGCTGAAATTATGCCACTGCACTCCAGCCTGGGCGACAGAGTGAGACTCCATCTCAAAAATGCAAAAACAAACAAACAAACAAAAAAGAAATTCCAAGGTTAGATCCTCGAGGTTAGTCTGAATATTCTTCTATAAAAATATTTTTTCCCCCAAAATAATGCTCAAAGTAGGCTTCTAGAAACAGTGAGACAAAATCAGAACTAGCAGAAGACATAGTGATGAGAAGACTGCAGATGCAACACTAGGGGTTGATTTTTCACATGTAATTTCTAGGTAAAAGATGTATCTTTGGTATCTTTCAGCCCACTCCGACAGCCAAGACTAGCTATGACAATAGGAACTTCAGAAATCTTAAGACAGGGGCAGCTGGTTTGAGTAACCCCTAGATAAGATAAACACTCCCAAATGACCCTCAACAGCTGGGCCATCAGGGCAGAAGGACTGAAACTCTGACTCAAGTAAAAGAGCTGAGAATGAATAGAAAATTTGAAATTTAGGTAAAGCCTGCTGTGGCACTTGGGACAAGGGGGTTTGTAATGGTGGGGGGTTAGTCTATCTTTTTGACAGACCAACTTTATGCTGGGGGAAGGGGACCTCCAGGTGGAATGCACAACATTGGCTTGCTGAGTGGTCTGCGCAGAAGCAGTGGAGAGGTGTCTATTGTTGAAGGAGTACTGAATATAAGAAAGTGTTTCAGGAGAAACAGAGGTCCTGAGAGAATCAGGTCGTTTTCTCTTTGACTCATCAGTCCTTATCATTAATGAAGAGCTGCAGGACAGAGTCAGCCTTTCCAAGAGGTATTCTGTCCTCATTGGCCACACCTCTCCCAGCCTATAGGGCCAACAATGTCCAGAATAATCCCATTGCTTGGAGGTGGGAGCTAGTGCCAAGATTGTTCTGAAAAGCTAACATAGAATATGATCTGCACAAAGAAGCTGCCACTAAACCACTGCCGACGTGTAACTTCTTGACCTTTTTTGTCCACCCTCTAGTCAAGAAGCATTCTTTAAATGCCTGTAAATGGATAAATGTGTGTAGCCTGTTGAAAAGCAACTAGCCCTTTCATCTTTGTGGTGCTGTGACGTTGTGAGGGCTGCCATGCTGAATTTGGGAATCTGCTACAACAGCTGTTCATCAATTTTTTAAATCAAAGAAATATATTCATTAAAAATAGGCGTGCATGATTGGCCGCTACACTCCAGCCCAGGTGACAGACTGAGACCCTGTCAAAAAAAAAAAAAAAAAAAAAAAAAGCATGTGAGTTCATTCTCTTCCGTATTTTCAAACTTCTGCTAGTACTTGTCCATGACATTTCTTTGTAACAATTGGAACTCATCATCCATGATAATGACTCCTAAATATCCAATCACAACTTTGATTTCTGCATCAGAGGAGGAAGAAATGGACAGTGGAATCCCATGGGCCTCCTTATCTACCCGAAACCCTGGCCCAAACTATATTCTGCCCTGCAGAGCTCTGATCAGCCTTGAGGGCATGGGGTGGCTGTGATGAGGTCTGGCTACCTGGGAGGCCTACTCAGGGCTCTACTCTGTCTGTGCCTGCACAGGAGGACACAGCCGCAGGGTCCTCAGGCTCCTCCCACCGTCCAGCCTGAAGCTGCTACCTCCAGACGCTTGCTTATAATTGCTCACTGAGTAACCTCAGGATAATTGTCAGATTAAACTAGTCAAGTAGCTTGGAAGCACAAACAACATTTATGCTTCAACATTAAATCACTGACAATATATTGGCATTTCTGAGTTTCAAACATAATATGGAGGAAATCAAAGGCATAGATTCCTTGGTGGTTTTAGAAGCCCTATTATCTAGTATTTTGGAACATGACTTAATTATCAAATGAGCATCCTTGTGAGTTTCAAAGCTGCCAGACTTCTTGTGTTTTGCATATTGGACCAGAACTTTAAGTTCCAGGTTCACTGTGGACCCTTTATCTGCAGTGGAAGCCTGGTAACGCTGTGACCTGCCCGTCAGAGCTTAGTCACATTACAGAAGCCCTGAAACTCACTGAAACCCCATCGTCATTGTAAAAGGGCAAGGCTGTGTTGTGCCTTGTGAGTATTTACCTAGTTTGACACCTGATGAGCCCTTGCACTGAGCTGGCCTAACTCAGTTTTTGTGCAACGATGCCAGGCACATATCTTGCCATAATACACTGGCTTGAACAATTTTATGTGAATACACATGCCCATGCCTGATTTTTTAAGAGCTTTTTTATTTTTATTTTTTTTTTTTGAGACAGAGTCTCTTTTTTGAGACTTCGTCACCAGGTTGGGGTGCAGTGGCATGATCACAGCTCACTACAGCTTCTAACTTCTGGGCTCAAGTGATCCTCCTGCCTCAGCCTCCTGAGTAGCTACGATTACAGGCGTGTGCCACCACATCTGGCTACGTTTCTTATTTTTCATTTTTGTAGAGACAGGGTCTAGTTAGGTGCCCAGGCTGGTCTCGAGCTCTTGGGTCAAGCAATCCTCCCACCTTGGCCTCCCAAAGTGCTAGAAGTACAGACATGAGCCACCGTGCACAGCCATAAAGACCACTTTCAATCATTCTAATCAGCTTACCCATTTTCTAGATGTTCATGGCTGGTCCCCACCCAAATCTCATCTTGAATTGTAGTTCCCATAATCCCCACGTGTTGTGGGAGGGACCAGATGGGAAGCGATTGGATCATGGGGGCGGTTTCCCTCATGCTGTTCTCCTGATAATGAGTGAGTTCTCTGGAGATCTGATGGTTTTATAAGCGTTTGGCATTTCCCCTGCTGGCACTCATTTTCTCTCCTGCCACCCTGTGAAGAGGTACCTTCGGCTGTGATTGTAAGCTTCCTGAGGGATCCCCAGCCATGCAGAACTGTGAGTCAATTGAACCTCTTTCCTTTATAAGTTACCCAGTCTTCAGTAGTTCTTCATAGCAGCATGAAAACGGACAGATACAATGGTAAATACAGAGGTGGTAAGATAATTCTTCCTCAGGGGCCCGCACAGGCATGAGTTAACACAGATGTGCACAGCAATACACTGAAGACTCTAGCGTGCCGCAGGGTGGTATATGAGACAATTTTGTGTGTGCTTTTCTATGTTATGGCTTTAGAAATTATAGATGTACATTTAAAATGCTACTTGAATCAAATGTTTGCAGCACCTCAAATACCACAGTAGTTTGAAAAGCAGTGATGTAGAAGCAAAGGGAGCTTGAACTGAATCCCGACTGCTGCCTGTTAACTGTGTGAATGTGATTTCACTTCTTTAAACCTCAGCTTTCTCATTTCTCAAAGGGGGTGGCCATTCCATGGGATCGATGTGATAATGAAATGGAACAGTGTGTGTAAGGGATATACTACCAAAGTCTCCCACATAGGGGGCACTCAGAAAATACTAACTCCTTTCTCCCTGACTATAAAATCCCAATTTTATAGAATATAGGTAGTGCAAGGATATGAGACATAAAGCAGAATAAACCATGCACTCTTGCCATCCGCCTCCTGAGGTCTGCTGGAAAGACCAGATAACGCTGTGCTCCAGAGTGGGTTTGTAAGCTCCGCTGCCCATGAATCATATAGGGAGTTCTGAAAAAATACTGATGTCTGGGCCCCGCCCCCAGGGAGTCTGATCTAGCTAGTCTGGAATGCTGCCTAGACACTGAAATATTTTAAGGCTCTCCAGGTAATTTTTAATGTCTGGTCAGAGTTGAGATCCACTGCTCAAGACAGAAGGGCCCATCTATATTTAGCACTTCACTGTCGTCTTGGCACAACACCCCAGTCTCATTTTGTCTCCTTCCCCAAAGGGAGAAGTGTAATTTGTTCTCCAAGTTCTGCCCATGGCCAACGTGTAAGTGCTGCCATCCCTGGCAAGGTGCCACTGACACCATATGCCGTACCGTGTGCCTCCTCTTCCCCTTCTGCTGCTGCCTCTGTGGCTCCTCCCTGGCTCGTGAAGCAAAATACTTGGCACATGCACTGAATGCCTTGAGGAAAATACCAAGTCCCTCCCTTGGGCTAAAGGCAAGCTTGGCGCCCTGCAGTGTGGAGAGACTGTGGTTAACATGCTCCTGCTCACTCTGCAGGGAGAATTGACATTGCCTGGAATGAAAAAGAAATGGCTGGCTGGGCACTGTGGCTCATGCCTGTAATCCCAGCACTTTGGGAGGCCGAGGCGGGCAGATCACGAGGTCAGGAGATTGAGACCATCCTGGCTAATGCTGCGAAACCCTGTCTCTACTAAAAATACAAAAAAAAAAAAAAAATTAGCCAGGCGTGGAGGCAGGCGCCTGTAATGCTAGCTACTCGGGAGGCTGAGGCAGGAGAATGGCATGAACCCGGGAGGTGGAGCTTACAGTGAGCCGAGATTGCATCACTGCACTCCAACCTGGGGGACAGAGTGAGATTCTGTCTTCAAAAAAAAGAATACAAGCTTACTCAGCCTGAGGATCCTTAATCTAGTAAAAGATAGCAGACAAGTCACTTCTGCTCATAGACTTCCACTCAGTTGCTCTGGTCAGAAACCTCCCCAACTCAGTCATTCTTAAGTGTTTTCTGAGCTGCGTCCAAAGGAGAGAACATTGACTTCTGTCTCCAGGAGACACAGGATCCATCACGGAGGAGGTGATACTTGATCTGGGTTTGGAGGAGGTGTTGGAGGTTGGTTGGATGTTGGAGGGCATGTGAATGGAGGTAAATTATGAGCCAAAGCCTGGAGGTGAGAAGTCACTCTGTGTGTTTAGAAATTGTAGCACGTGGAAAAGGAATTGGGAGGTTGTGAGTGCATAGGTCAGGGTGAGTTAGGCCATACCGCAGTAACAAACAGTCTTGAAAGCTCGGTGGCTAGAAACAACAGATGTCCATTTCTCTCCCGTGCTGCAGATCCATCACGGGTCAATGGGAGCTCTGCTCTGTGTTGTCCTGACTCAGGGTGATGGTCCGTCTACCACCTGGATCTTCGTCATTCCCTATGGCAAGGGGACAGGAAAGTGACGAAGGAATTGGCCCTTATAGGATTCCACCTGGAAGTGACACATGTCACTTCTGTTCACATTTCTTTGGACAAAGCCAGCCACATGACCTGAAGTACATGATCTTGAAGTACAGTTCTCTCATAGGCCCAGAAGGAGAGGAGCTAGAAACATTAGTGAATAGCTCGAGTGATGACCACAGGGAGGAAGGGCCTCCAATATCTCACTAGGGAGCTTGAATTTGATCTTGAAGGGATAGGTGGACAAGTCAAGGCTTGTAAGTGGAAAAGACATGGTCAAAAGTGAAGTTACATGGAAGTGGGCTAGAGAAGAGCACTGATTTCCTTGCCTCCTGGTAGAAGTTTTTTCTCTTTTACTGCTTTTCAGATCTGTCTGCCTACAGAGAAGGGACAATCTTTTTGTTTGTTTGTTTGTTTTGAGATGGAGTTTTGCTCTGTCCTCCAGGCTGGAGTGCAGTGGCACAATGTGACTGAGCTCATACATGTTAGGTGGCTTTTCCCAGAGATGCACAGCCTTGTGAGTTCAAGTGATCCTCCCACCTCATCCTCCTGAGTAGCTGGGACTACAGGTGTGCATCACCACACCTGGCTAATTATTTTTTTCTGTATTTTTAGTAGAGACAGGGCTTCACCAGTTTGGCCAGGCTGGTCTTGAACTTCTAACCTCAGGTGAACTGCCTGTCTCAGCCTCCCAAAGAGCTGGGATTACAGGCATGAGCCATCGTGCCTGGTTAAGAAGGGAAAATCTTTATCTGATGTCTGCTTTGGGGAGATATTAACAGGAAAGACTTCCCTCTTACTATTTACCCTGCAGTTTTGAGGGTAAATGCAATTCAGAAGATTATTGTCAACCTGCTTGCCCCCAGGTCTAAGCCTTGTTTTGCAACCTAGGTTTTATCAGGAACAAAGCTGATATAATCATCTGCATCTGACTCGTGGATATATTTCTTGTTTACTGGGTTTCTGACTTGGTGGGGAAAAGGGGGACTTTCTGTATAGACTCTCTCAAACCCTAAGATGGATGGAAAGGAGAAAGAAAGAGGAAGATAAATCAGTAAGGAATTGTACGTAGAAGCCAGATGAAAAGAAGATAAAAATAGTGTGGAGAAAAAGGATTAGAGAGAGCTATTTCTGAGTGAGTAAAATGTGGGAGTTAAGAGGAAGATCTTAGGAGCCTGGCTGCCCCAAGATCCAACTCCAATTTCTATCATTACTAGTAGGATCTGGGGAGTGGAGCAAGACCTTGAGCAAGTTGCTCTACCTTCCTCTCTGCTTCATTTACTCTCTCTGCAAAATAAGAACAATAATATAACCCAAATCATAGGGTCCTGTGAGACATAAGTGACTGAATCCATGGAAAGTATTTAGCATAATTCCTGACATATTGAGTCCTAGACAAACAGTTTTGACAATTATAGTTCTGCATGTTGTAATTATAACCAATTAGGGTTGAGTGTGTATGAAGATACTTGGATCCTTAAAATTAAAAGGACAAGTCCTGACTTTGGCTTCCTCTTTATATCCTTTGACTCTTGCCCTAGAATCAAATTCCTGTTGATAAAGAGTTTTGGTGACTCAGTCCAGATGAATAGAGCTAATACATTTCTTCATATCTTTCTGTCTCTAGTTCCTTATGTGGTTCAAATTCTATTTGTCTCTGGAACTTTACTAAACTTTTTCTTATTTTCATTCTCACCAGTCTGGTTTTCATTATCATTATAAATACCAGTTTCTTCAGCTCCTCAGGTTGGCCTGAGTCACAATCTCTCCATGAGTCTGCAATTGATTATGATGATGTTTGCTAATGGCAGTGGCTCAGAGGGATAAAATATTATGGCTTTCAGGATTACTCCATGCCCTAGGCTAGAGTGTAGCATGAATTTTCTAATATTTTCTTAATGAAGAATCAGATTTATTTTCATATCAGAGTTTTGAAAAATTGTATGGAAGTTTACCTTTGTAGAGGGACTTTTTCTTTAATTTGTATACCTTTGGGTTATTATCCAAGAATGCATCCCAGGTTCTTACAGATGCAAATCTGAGATTAAGGCTAATCTCAGGCTAATATTTCATTTGTGAGGTTGGGAATAATGTTGCGGGGTAGGTTCAGGTCCCTGGAGGAAGATTCTGAGATAAAGGTTTGTGTGCAAGAAGTATATTGCCCTTAGGGGCAAATTTGCAAGGAAGTGAGGCAAGCTGGATTGTTCTGAGAGGGAAGTTGAGATGTGATGCAATTACAATAGAGACTTCAGGTGAGCTCAAGAGGAGCTCAGGCGCTGAAATGGCCCTGTAGAGATGTCCTGAATGGAGTCAAGGGGTCCTTTTACCCCCACATGAACAAGTATATAGATATAGGCTAGATATAGAGAAAATGAGAAGATATGGGATGAAACAGCTCTTTTCAACTGAGGGCAATTCATGGAGAGGGACACAACTATGAGCTCTCAGCAGCAAACACTCAAGGGTGGGGTAAGGGCGTAATGAGAGTCTTTGTCCTGAAAGGAAGATCTGAGTGGTACACCCCAGTATCCACTCTATGGGGGCACTTCTTAATAGGTAGAGCATCATCGGAACTACCAGGAAGTGTTGACTGAGTTTTTTTTCTCCACGTGTGACTATGACCATATTAATTTCCCAGGGCTGCCATAACAATGTACCACAAACTTGGTGGCTTAGAACAACATACATTTATTCTCTCACCATTCTGGAAGCTAAAAGTCTGAAATCCAGATGTCAGTGGGGCCATGATCTCTCTGAGGACTCCGTGGGAGGATCCTTCATTGCCTCTCCTAGTTTCTGGTAGTTGCTGTCAATCATTGGCATTTCTTGGCTTATAGATGTATCAGTCCAGTCTCTGCCTCTGTCATAATTTGGCATTCTCCTTGTATGTCTCTGTGTCCATATTTTTCTCTTTGTGTAAGAACACCAGTCATTGGGTTAGGGTGCGCCCTAACCCAGTACAACCAGTAACAATACAACCTCATCTTAACTTAATTACATATGCAAAGACCCTGTTTCCAAATGGTCACTTTCACAAGCTTTGGGGTTTAGGGCTTCAACCCATCTTTTTGGAAGATACAATTTAGCCCATAATGGCCACCATTTGGAAAGACAGTAATTTATTTACTGAACCATCAGCCAGACCATATCATCCACCTCGTTCACAGAGGCATCATTAACAATAATATCTTCACCTCCACCGTTTCTCTCCTTGGCTATTTATTGTTAAGAATCTCCCTACCATTCTTCCTCCTGTCCCTTTGTCTCTATCTACCCTACTCATTGTTCCAAGGGACCTTTCAAAGATCCAGTTTTGAACATGTAACTCTGCTGTTCAAAATTAATGGTTTTCAATTACCTACATTGTGAAATCCACGCTCTTTTTCAAGGTCCTATGTTATCTGTTCCTGTTAACCTATACAGCCTCATCTATGACTTGTTTGCCTTGTGTTTTACACATAAAAACTATTATATTGCTTATATGTGTCTAGCACATACTAGGCACTCAATAAATGTATTTCCTTCTCTTCCCCCTACAGTTTACAAAAAGACTTTTCTTCTCCAATGATCTAATGAAATTCTCACAATCACCTGGTGATGTAGGTATTTTCACAGGTAATAGATGTAGTTGAAGAAGATGCTGAAAGTCAGAGAGCAGACATACCAGCTGGCTAATGATAAAGCCAAGAATCACACCCTGATTTCTGACTTAAATGTGGTGTGCTTTGTGGTGTGTGCTGTCTGTACAGATCACACTTACGAACTTGACCTTCCATTAATTTAAATTTGTGACCTGTTTCCCATACCGACTGTCTGTGCAAGCTGCACATATTAAATTTAAGGGGCAGATCTCTCCTATATTGTACCAGAAATAGAAATGATTATGGAAAAGAAAATGCATTTTTCCATATGAAACATTTAGGGTACAATAAAAATGAATTTGGGCTATGAGAAACTTCACTTTTTAAAAAATAATTTCTCCCTCATAAGAAGATTGATGCATATCAGTAAATATTCTCTCACTGTGTATCAGGAAAGCACGGTTGGCCCCAGGGATTACTAAAAGCATCAGTTAATGCTTGTGTTTCTTTAAGATACAGCTTTGTGAGTCAGAGGTGCTGTGCCAGGTGTTACAGAGGTTCCCATGGCAACTTTATCTTTATTTTCCCTCCTGAATAGCACTGTTAAATGGTGACTTTGAAGCAACATCCATTTGAGATCCTCAGTGTAAAGGTTCTGTTTCATTTTAAGCTGTGTTTACATACCTCCAAACAGAGAGGAGAACTGAATAATTTCTCAAGGAATGGGGAAAATGTAGACCTTCCAGCTCATTTAGATGATCCACCTTTTCCTATTAGTATTACCTGAGTGATCCCATACTTACTTGAACTCTAAACTTGGCTTTTCCTTGGTAGAAATGCTGAAGGCATTTCATATCTTCACCCTTATGAAGGAGAAATTTCTAGAAATGATTTGTAGAAAAACCAGGTTAGTGTCATTGGGCAAATACAAGGTAGAAAGCATTGCAATATTTGGGCAGTCAAGAGAGCATATCTAGAAAACTGGAATGAGAGTAGATTTTCTAAGGGAATGTGGTCATATTTTATATTTCACAAGCCATAGAAAGAGGCTGGAGTGGGCTAAACATGGTACTGATCTCAGAGTTTTGGATGGTGCCAAATCATCCATTCTTTGTGGCAATCCTATCAGAGAAAAATTTGGCAATGAACTTTGCTTGGACAAAGACCCTTCACAAAAATCTTTTTGTAGGAAAATGCATGTTGTTCTTCTTGGCCAATATTTTCCTTTAAGACTGGCCCTTAAATTAATATCTTACAACTGAATTGCAGCCATCAGCCTCCAGCTGGGGCAAGGACAGTGGACAAAGCCAGAGATGAGGAATCAGGTGACCTGATTCTTGTTAGAGCTCAGTCACTCACTAGCTGTGGGATCTCAGCAAATCACTTAACTTGCTTCATTTTAAAAATTGAATTAATATTACTTCTAAGCTTGTTGACCTTTTAAAGTAGTAGCTTGTTTAAACTTTAAGAGAATCCCATCCAAAAATATCATGCCTGCATTTATTCTGTGGATGGACAAACCACTATTTTATCAGTGGTATTCATTTATCAAGAACCACAGAATATAGGTGTTAGTGCTTGGGCATTCAAGTCTGGCAGACCTACAATTGGCTTCACCTCTTTAAGTCTCAGTTCCTCATTTTAAAATTGACATTGAAAATAACACCTACCACAGGAAGTATTGGGGGGATTCAATAATATGATGTACGTAAAGCATGTAGCACAGTGCTTGGCTCCTTGCAGGTGTTCAATGAATCTTTGCTGAATACGTGGATGGAAACCTTTATTGAGTAGCTACTTCATTCAAGGCTCTTGTTGAGGCATTGAGTTTAGAGAGAAACTTGACATTGTCCAGGCCTTAGTGGATGAGAAAAAAACAAAACATTAATAATTGGCTTAGTCATTGACCATGGCCTTCATCATGGACATTTATGTTATTTGCAAATTTTATTATTAGAAACAGTACTTCAGTAGACATTGTTGTCTATAAGCTTTGAATTCATTTCAGATTATAGTTCCTTAACCTAGATTATGGGAGTGGAATTTGTGGGTCAAATGATGTGATTCACATTACACCAGAGGCAAGCCCCGGCGTCCTGAGGGTACTAAAAAGGGCAAGCATCACGTGACCCAAGCAGGGCGAAGAAGACAGTAAGTGAAAGGTCATGGATGAGTTTTAAAGGAAGAGATGACAACAATACCAAGAATATTAGGAGGTAGATACTATTATTATTCCTGCCATTTTACAGATAAGGAAACAGAGACAGTAGAGTTTGAAACATTTGCCCAAGGCCCCATAGCTAGCATGGGATGGAGCTTGGGTCCTAACTAAGGCTGTCTGATTTTGCTTACTGTGTGTGGGGGAAGTTGGAGGGGTAGGAACAGAGCGAAAGGGGTAGTGAGGAGTAGATAGAAAACGAGAAAAGGGGAAATGGAATTCCAAGGAGAAGAAATAGCATGTGCAAATATAGAAAGTCTGAAAGACCATGGTGCTGTTCTAGGATTGTAGAAGATTTTTATTGCTGTGAACAGTAGGAACAGCTCCTATTAGAGCCCTTCTGGAAAACTATTGAAATATTTCAAGCTACTTAAAAATTGTTTCTGAAAATCCCAACTAAGCTCACCTCAGTGACTTTGAAGGGCTGTTGCTCAGATAAATCAAGATAAGTTCTTTGAAAAGTACAGGATTCTATAAAAATGTGAATATTTATTACTATTACCCAAGTGAGTAAAACTGGAAGGGATTCAATTTATATTCAATTAAATTCATCTACTTTGACTTGTCCATATGGTTCTCTCACTAGCTGTTAGCATGCTCCTGGCTGGTGAATAATCGTTCTGTGGATGGGGTATCTATGGCTTGCTGAGCTTGCAGCTCAGTGCTTTATGAACGATGTTTCTTGTCCTTTTAACTACATTCCAAGGTAGGTATTTTCATACCCATTTGCAGATGAGTAAATTGAGCTCAGACATGTTAGGTGGTTTTTCCCAGAGATGCACAGTGATGCAGGGTAAAACTATTCTTTGAGTCTTCTTCAACCTGTCCTCAATCTGTAGCCCAGCAGCAGGCCAGAAAAGGAGTCCGGGTAACTCTGACTTCTCTGATAATCTCAAATCTGCCTTTCTGCTTCTTTCTTATACCAGGAAGACAAAAAAAAAATGGCCCCCTAATAGGTCTTCCCATCTTCAAATTGCCCACCTCCAACTTCTGTGCATTCTGCTTCCCTAAGCATCTCACACGCTCCTCTCATGCCATTCATTGCTCACTCACCCCTCGCACGGTCCCCACTGCCTCAGCGGCCAAGACAGGCTCTTTTGCTGGCCATACTCTCTGTGCCTCCACCATATATTGGACACTTCTACCTGCCTGGTTTATCACCTGATTCTTGTCATGGTCCAGTGAGGCAGGAATTAAGACCTGTATTTTACAAGACGAGGAATAAGAGGCCCAAAGAAAATAAAAGGTCTAAGGTTACAGAGCTTATAAGTGGCAAAGCTTGAATTTGAACCCCAGCCAGCTGAACTTGAAGTGTGTGCTCATTACAATCTTGAGACCAATGAGGAATCCTGCCATCTATGTGGAGTCCATGTTTAATGCTTATAACGACACAATACACAAGGCGATGCCTGACCTTTCCTCCTTCCTAGGAGGATGGGCGGTGTTTCTCCTTTCACTCAGATGAAGGGACAAAGGGTCCTGTTTCTGTCCAGGTTGCTCACGTTCTTTCCTTCTAGAGGAAACGAGAAGGCAGGTAAAGAAGGAGAAAGGCCCAGAGTGCCCTCAGATCTAGCCTCCAGCCAAGTGCCCTGTTCAGTGGCAAACCAGAGTTCATGAATGGGTGGATGTGCATGAGAGTAACAGCTGTTCACCAGTCTCAGCTGTCCTGTAAGACTGGAAAACCTCAATGAAGAATGTCACTTCCCAAAGGGCAGAAAAGAGAAGTGTGGTCCAGGTATCACTGCTGAGTTGCCATCGATCATGACTCTGGGTTCTAGGATCAAGAAGAGAAATGCACCTTTCCCAAGGGTTTCACTTAGTGTTTATCTATCTATCTATCTATCTATCTATCTATCTATCTATCTATCATCTCTCTCTAATCTATCTCTATCTATCTATCCATCTATATCTATTTATCTAATCTCTATGTACGTATGTGTGTATGTATGTATGTATGTATGTATGTATGTATGTATGTATGTATCTATCTATCTATCTATCAATAAATCAACTACAGACCTAGATTACCCAGAATTAATATGCCCCAAATGGCAAAGGGAGGGCATCTTGCCTGAGAAACAGTTAAATGAGTTCAAGTCCTAGGTCCACACCTTGCTTGCCTCCTTGAGAAAGTGAATTGATTTTTTGGACTTTCCTCACGTGTAAAATAAGGATAACATTTACTCTGAGAAATTGTTGCACAGGATAATGTGGGCAAAATGTGTTACATTACACCCAGCATGCCCACAGGTGGTCAATGGATGGCATCTGTAATTATCGAGAACAAAGATAATTCTATGTTTATACCATATTTTCACAACCAACTTCTTTGGCCATTTGGATGAGGGCTCAAACTGATTTGGAGGTTTTTGACGTCAGGATGTTGCATGTGTCACATTCAGGTTCCATTGCTTACCCAATTTTCCTCTCATGAGAGGATAATTTATTCATTAATTATCTATTTATCCATTTACCCATTAGCTAACCTAGTTAACTAACTAATTAGTTTATTCACTCACTCCTTCAACTATACATCCAATGAAGACTTATGAGCTCGGTGCTGGCATAGGTCCTGGGGAGGCAGAGGTGACTTGAACGTGGGTCCTACCTTGAGTAACTGTGGGGAGATGCTCAGGGGAAGGGTGAACTCAGCCTTTCACAAGCTGCCATAATCCAGGGATTCTCCAATGTGCAATTTAATTTACATTCCAGAATAATCCAGTGAGATGAGCATCACTCTCATGGATTAGGACAGGGAGGGTCCTTCCTATATCCAAGCCTATATACAGGGTCACACAGCTGGCCAGAGTGCATAGATTCCTGCCTCATCCAATACCACATGCTTTTTCAACATGCCATGTGGCCCTGCACAGTGCCATAGAGACAGACACATAACCAGTCAGTTTCATGGAGAAGGTCTAGAGGCATAAATAGGAATACATAAGGTCAGAGGAATGTAATGTTACTTAGCTTCACAGTCACTGGTGTTCCATCTGAGCCTATTATTAGCCTGGTCTGTACAGTGGTACTCTGTGGTCTGCCTTGGTATTTTCACAGTCATTGGTATTCCACCTGAGCCTATTATTGGCTTGGTCTGTACAGTGATACCCTGTGGTCTGCCTTTGTATTATGATGTAAGCCCCATCTTCCCCTTTTTTTCTCCTCTGCATTCGTTTTATACATCATGCTCTTTACAAGACTCCCATGTTGGTGTCCTACCCTCTTGTTTTGCTTTCTTCTTGGGAAGGGTCACTGATACCCCTCTTCTCTTTCCAGCCCTTTGCTCACACTGTCCTCTCCACCTAGGTGCCCACTTTCTCTACTGTCTGTTGAAACCATACTCCAGCAAAAGCAACCTGCCCTTCTCTGAACCCTTTTTGTCTTTTTCTTGTCACTTTTTCCCTTTTTCTTATTGACTACTCATTCCTCTTACACTGTCCACCTGACTATTCCTTGAAAGTAATAGATGTGTTCAATATCCTTCGCCAAGCCCTGTGGTGTGTACCCAGCAGGCAGAAGGTATACTTTAGATAAACGCAAAATGCCATATCCAACCTTTGTAGCTGAGCCCAGTTACCTCCTTGCTATTTGATCCAAATTTGCCTTGCACAATGAGAATACTAAAATTTGCCATGAGCCTACAAAATGGATCCAGCCAGGTTGGCAGACTGGATTTTTTGATAACAAACAATGACAGATGCTTGTTGTGTCCTAACCCCTATGTCACCTACTAGGAATTCAGCAAGACATTGGCTCTTCCCCGAAGGAACTCAGCAAGGGGGTAGGGGGTGGTCAGTGGGTGGGAAGGATTGGCAGAAGAAGGCAGGAAAATCAATAATACTGTCCACTGTGATGCAGAGTGCGCAACAATGGCCACCTCATCTATCTTGGGGTGGGAGGTGTCAGGAAAAGATTCCCAGGGATGGTGGCCTTTAGTTAAATTCTGAAAGAGCAGAATGAATTATAGAGGTATGGGGGAGAGGGAACCGTGAGCATCTGAAACAGAAGAAAACAGCACATGAGAAGGCCTTAGAGAGTAAATTATCGTGATGCATTTGAAGGACTTGTAGCTAAATATGGCCTTGGTTTCTCTAATTGTAAAGTGAAGGATGAATGTCTAAAGATCCTCTAAAAATTCTATGATTTGACAGATAGAGTATTTCTTATACCTCAGTAAGAACTTAAACTCCAAGTACAAAGTGGATTGTAAAAAGAATTGGATATTTAATCTCTATTCTTTACAAATATTCTTACAAAGTGTTCATGCAGCTAGCTCTAGGCAATTTTCTCAGATTTTGAGACTGAAAATGTTATGCAAAGAACCAATCAGTTCAGAATCTATAGAGGACTGATCTGATTAAGTATCTTGAGGAAAGTAAAACACTTTTCAGCAAAATTGACATTCTCATATTCTATCCCTGTTTCTTTTAAAAATGAAATTATTCATTTTATCCCCAGGATCTCAGAGTGAATAGAAGTGTTGAATACTAATGTTTTCAAAATAACTCCAGAATTGCACTTGCTTTAAGACAGAGAAGGTGTTTCCTATTCAATTACACATTATGAAGATGTCCTTAGGTTCTGCCACTGGGAATGGCTGGTAAAAGCTGTTTATTTCTGGGAAAATATGGTGAGCAGAACATTGACTGAATGCCTGCTCTTTGCTGATTACCTCCAACACCTTCCACTTCTAATCCTCACAACAGCCCTAAGACCTGTTCATTATCCTTTGATGGCTCAGTGGGGTCACCCAGCCTAGAAATTATAGATTTGGGATTTAAACTCAGGTCTGTGTGACACCAAGACCCACTGGTCTGCCATGCCACTTCTTGTAGTGGACATGGTTTTACTTGCCTGTAATTTATTCTCTTTTCTTCTGATATTAGCAACTTGATTTTCCTCTGAGGACTCGTTACTTCTTCATCCTCAGGTCTCTTGATTTTGCTGTGGTTGGTTCTAAAACTTGGCCCTGGAGATGAGCATGTGCCCCCACATGTGGTCCATCAGTATCTCGCATTTCAGCTAGCCCTGGGAATCGGTTTAGGGATTGCCCTGTGATCCAAGCCAGGTCAGTAAGACAATTCTGAGATTTTTTTTTTGTCACCATTGTAAAAGAGAAAGTTTTTTCCCCACTGGAATTGTGAGTTGTAAGGATACTGTAAACCTTGAAATGCCAGACCACACAGAGAGGATTTGGCCAGAGATGGAACCAGCACAGAGGAAAAGACAACAAAAGGTGGAGAGTAGGGCGATCGACTTGTTCTGGTTTTCCTGTACTTTTTCAGTTTTAGCACTGAAAGTCCTATATCTCAGGAATCTCCTTATCCAGGCAAACCAGGGCCATTGTTCATTCTACTGGAGAGAGAGAGAGAGAGAGAGAAAGAGAAAGAGAGAGAGAGAGAGATCAAGTTTTGATGCCACATGTCTGATGCCCCACTACACATGGACAATTCTGTTACTGAAGTCAATACATTTCCTTCTCTGCTAAGCCACGTTGAGTTGTTTTCTATCACTTGCAATTGAGAGGGTCCTGATTAATACACGGTATCAAGTTTGAGGTTCGGAACCTTTCCACAGGAGCCTATATGATAAGATTTTGTAGAGAGACAAGGGAAGGCAAAATATGGAATGTTACTAGAGAGTAGTTCAAGATTATTGCTCGAATGCAAGTGCAGTGGAAATTCCAAGGCAGAAAATGTCTAGGAGGAAATTAGTTTTTAATTAGATCTTGAATGAAGTTCAAGACTTGAGCTGTATCAAGGAAAGGGGAGGCAGGAAAAAAGGAGCTCACTGAACAACTAAAATATGTTCAGCCAAAAAGAATGCTTCTCCCTAAACAATAACATCAATTAAAACTGTATAAATTATTCTTACTTTAGGGTTCTTAATTCAGGAGGGATCCTGGAAGGTAGTTACAAGGATTTGGGAACTGTTTTGAAAGTTAACATACGTCAATTATAAGTCTGAAGAGGTTATCGGAAGGGTTTGTTTGCCCTCGCCGTGGCTTGGAATTCTATCAGTTCCTTCCCTCTGGTTGACAGGGAAAGAAGCCTTTGATTTGCAACTAATGTGTAACACAGCAGTGAATTGGATAGACAGGATCTTTTAAAGAGGTCTGTGAGAGGAATCTCAAAGGAAATCTTGGTGCTGAAAGGATTATAAATTGCATATCTAGTATGAGTTACCTCATGGGATTTGAGGTCAGACAGATTTGGACTTGAAATAGAACATTAGCTGTGTGATCTTGGGTTAATAATTTGATTTTTATTGGCTTAGTTTTCTCACTGCTCAGATAAACAAGAATACAATCATCATATTTTTCCATGAGTTTCTGTATACAAAGCACTGTGCCTGAGCTATAGTTCTTACCATAGTAAGAGCTCAGCCTGTGTCTTCGTTCGTTTGCGCAGCTATAACAAAATACCACAGACTGGGTAATTTATAAACAGCAGAGATTTATTTCTCACAGTTCTGGAGTCTGGGAAGTTCATAATCAAGTACTGTCAGGTTCCATCATCTGGTGAGGGCTGGTCTCAGCCTCCAAGATGGCCCCTTGATGCTGCATTCTCCAGAGGGAGGAACGCTGTGTCCTCACAAGGCAGAAGAGATGGAAGGGGTGAGAAGGGCAAACTCCATCAAGCCCTTTCACTGGGGTGCCTGATCTTATTCATGAGGGCTCTTTGCCTTCATGACTCCATCACCTCCTAAAGGCCACACCTCCCAATGCTGTTGCATTGGAGGTTAAGTTTCAACGTAAATTTTGGAGGGCAAAAACATTCAAGCCATAGCAATCTGTTACTTCTTTTCTCCTCCCTAGCTCACTGGCTCACAAAACAAAGATTTGCAGTCTCTTTAAACAGATAGATTCCTCTTGTGTATCTCTAGGGATGGAGAGTTGACTGTCTTTCAAAGTGACTCAGTCCATTCTGGGACAGCTCAGATGGTTAGAAACTCTCTCCTTATTTGGAGCCAACATTTATCTCCTTATAACTTGTTCTTACTGATCCAACTTATGCTCTCTGTAGTTTTCTTAGTAAGTTTAATTTTATATTTTCTGTGACAGCCCTTCAATATTTGACAACAGCTTTCATGTCAACACCTTCTGGATGGATGTGGTGAGGATGACATGTAATGTGGGGAGCTCAGCACAGTGCCTGGTATGTGGTAAGATCTCAGTAGATGGAAGCTCCTCAAACTTTGGGGCTAGGTAGTCCTGGGCTGGTCAAATCCCAGCTTTGCTACTTCCTAGATGTGTGACATGGGGCAAGTTCCTTAACTGCTTTGCAACTCAGTTTATTCTTTATACAATGGGGATAAGAATCTACTTCATAGGGTTATTTTGAATTAGTTAAAAGTGAAAGGTATTATAATGAATAGAAATTAAGTTTCCAACACATCGATATTTTCCACAGGATTCAGGAGAGAGATGTGAACCCCTACAGAGCCCATTGGATTCAGAACCACAGGGAGCAGACACAAAATAAGGAAGACATGGGATTTAGAAAACAATGGGTCCAACCCTGGAAGGCAATTATAGGAAGTCCCAGGGTGTCAGCTATATCCAAGGCTAGAAAAGGACCAGGCTAGAGAGAAGCAGAAATTGGGAACTCTTTCTGCTTCCCAGAGGGTGGGATCCTTGAGAAAAGGGGGCTTATTAGAACACCTAATTGGATGGTGCTTAAAAAAATTTAGACTTACTACTTACAAGAAGTTGCAAGCATAAAATAATGATAATTAGAAACTAGGGACACCATAAAGTTGTACAAGAAAGAAAGTAAAACCATAACACACCACTTGGCTCTGCAGCAGGTGCATGTAATAGTCATAATAATATTATTTACTCATCAAAAGATAATGACACAAGTATTCTTTTTTTTTAAGTTTGTGCTCCAGTATAACTTTTTTAAAAATTATTTTATTTTATTATTATACTTTAAGTTTTAGGGTACATGTGCACAATGTGCAGGTTAGTTACATATGTATACATGTGCCATGCTGGTGTGCTGCACCCCTTAACTCGTCATTTAGCATTAGGTATATCTCCTAATGCTATCCCTCCCCGCTCCCCCCACCCCACAACAGTCCCCAGAGTGTGATGTTCCCCTTCCTGCGTCCATGTGTTCTCATTGTTCAATTCCCACCTGTGAGTGAGAACATGTGGTGTTTGGTTTTTTGTCCCTGCGATAGTTTACTGAGAATGATGATTTCCAATTTCATCCATGTCCCGACAAAGGACATGAACTCATCATTTTTTATGGCTGCATAGTATTCCATGGTGTATATGTGCCACATTTTCTTAATCCAGTCTATCATTGATGGACATTTGGGTTCATTCCAAGTCTTTGCTATTGTGAATAGTGCCACAATAAACATACATGTGCGTGATGACACAAGTATTCTGAGATGATGAGGAAAAGTAAGGTGGAGGTGGAAGTGCCAATGAGCTAATCTTCATTTAGCATATCGAATGGTAAATAATTAATGTCTATAACACATGCATTGTGAGTATTGGGGAGTTGTTGGTCAAAGGATAAAAAATTTCAGTTAGACAGGAGGAATAAGTTTAGGAGATCTATTTTACAACATGGTGACTATAGTTAAGAATAAGGTATTGTATACCTGAAAATCGCTAAAAGAGTAAATTTCAAATGTTCTCACCACAAAAAAAAGATAAGAATGTGAGGTAATAAATATGTTGATTAGCCTGATTTAGCCATTCCACAATGTACGCATATATCAAAACATCATGTTGTATATTATACGTACAATTTTATTTGTCAGTTAAATAAGTAGATAACAATAAAATGAAAGTATAAACTTATCATTGGAATATGGAGGCAAATACCAAAAAATAACTGAAATAATTAAAATTTGTTTCCTCTGAGGATTACGACTGAGAATTGGGGGGGAACATGAAACATTCATTTGTTCATTTAAAATGATATATCTACTTCCTGTGTGCACAGCAGTGTTCTAGGCATCAATGACCAAGATAGTCAGAATCTCTGCCCTTATAGGTCTTACCTTCTAGTGGAGGACACAGGCCAGCCAATAGATAATTTCACATAGAGATAGCTGCAGCGAAGACACAGAGTAAAGCAATAGAATGAGGGAAAGCAGTGGGTGTTATTTGAAAAAGAGTGCTTAGAGAAGACCTGTCTTCAAGAATCTAACACTGGAAGCTGAAGGAATCAAGGGAATGAGCCCAAAGAAGCTCTGGAAGAAAACTTTCTGGACAGAGAAGCAGGCTTCTATGTGTGAGGAAGAGCCAGGAGGCTGGGAAGGCTGATGTAAGAGCCGGAGAGTGTGGCAAGAGATTAATCTGGAGGAGTATATAGGGGCCATATCTTGTAGAACTTGTGTGCTGCCGTGTGGAGCTTGGACCTTATTCCCTGTAAGTAGAAGAAAGCGACATAGCAACACATCTGTTTTATATTTTTAAAACTGTCTCTTTGGCGGCTGTGTGCAGAATGGTCTGTAGTGGGGCATGAAGACCAGTGGGGTGGGGTATCACTTTTTCAAGGAAGGGATGAGAATGGCTTGGACCATTGAAGTAGCAGAGGAGGTGGAGGAAAGGTCAGATTCTGCTTATATTTGGAAGGTACAGTTGGCTGATAGCACTTGCTAATGGACTGAATGTCGGATGTGGGGGAAAAAGAGGACTAGAGAATGACTCCAAGATTTCTGGAATCATTTACTGAGGTGGAAAAGACCAAAGGAGCAGTGTTTCTGGAGAGAAAATTAAGAGTTTAGTTTCAGACACAGTATGCTTGAAATGCCTTATTCAAGAGCTTTTTTTCTGCATCATGATTTTGGAACAATTTGTTCTTTTAGCCACCAATTTGCTATATATTAGAATTATAGTCTAGAAAAAAAAAACATGAGAAAAACTTACAAGAAGGTACACACTCACTCTCTCTCTTTCTCTATCTCAAGGGAAGCAATAATATTCCCCTTGGGTAGACAGTTACCCAAATCAACTTCTCCAAGGCCGTGGTGTCTGCTGCTAATGTTCACAGGAGGCCTTATTTCCAGAGAAGAGCAAATTATTGGGCCACTTGCTGAGGGTGCAAATGAGTTTTCTGATGCCTCCCTGCAGCCCTCTGGAGCATCCAGAGAAGAGGCAGGCCCTATGGAGAATTCTACTACAAGCCCGGATGGGGTTTTCCATGGGAAATGACTGAAAGGTTGTAAAGGTACTACCCTCCTCTGTTTCATGTCCGATTTCATCCCTCGCTTGCTTGAAGTCCTCTGGAGATTTGTCACTGATGTAGGAAAATGGAAACTCTTGGCAAGTCATTTCAGAAGTGGTTCTCCAGCTTCCAGTCCTCTGTGCCCTCTTCCCTTCACATGCCCCTCCAGCTTTTATCACACCTAACCACTAACAAGTTCTCAAATGGCCCAGGCATGCTCCCTCAGGCCCCCATGCCTTTGCACATGCTGTACCCTCTGCCTGGAGTGCGACTTTTCACCTTCGGGCTCTGACAGTCTCCACTTATCTTCCTGCCATTTCCACTGGCCCCCTGGAGCCATCTCTTGTTCTTCTTTTGGGCTATGGCTTCCTGTCCCTACATCCCTTCACAGTCAGAGTCACACTGTGTTACCACGGCCTGTCTCTTGCACTCCCAGTTTACTTCTCTATAAAATGCAGATAAAACCCTATTTCATGGGCTTTCAAAAGGTTATTTTGGGGATAAAATTATCTAGTTGATAGGGGTTCAAAGGGTTGTTTTGAATTAGTTATAAGTGACAACTATCTTAATAATAATTAATACAAATGATCTCCCTTTATTTCCTTACAATCCCAGTGGGTGGCTCTGGAGAGAAGGGGACCTCCACATCCCTGTGGGATCCAGAACCAATGGGAACAAGAGATAATGGTGGCTTGGACCAAGCTAGCAGCTGGGCTGATCCATTTTTATTTTTGTATTCCTAGTGCTTGACCATAGGACGGATCTGTGTGGGTGTTTGTTGAATGATGTTTGAAGCATAACAAACAAGTAAATAAATGTTTGAAAGAAGAATAAATGGTCAAATGTATAAATGACTGACAGCATCAATTCATGAATTGAAGACAAAGCATGGAATTGTGCCTTTTAGTCTATCCTGCTCAGAAAACAAGGAGAGTCATCGAATTTTAGACTCAAAGCCCTTTTTTGATAGATCCTGCTTGGTGCTCCCTGGCCCTTCCTTCCTGTGTTTTGTGACGTTATTCTCTTGCCTGGAGGGTTCTCACCCCAGACGACTCCTGCCCACCCTACAAGTTATTGATCACCTTTGAGCTGGAGCTATGCAGGATGCCCCTCTGCTAAGCCAGCCCCCTCCCAGGCACCAAGATACAGGAGAACCAGGCTCACTTGTGATCATATCTCTGCTCTGACATATGAGTTGTGTGACCTTAGGTGAATTACTTGAAATTTGCAGAACTCAATTTCCCCTTTGTAAAATAGGAATGAGAATAACTCATAGAAGAGACTGAATGAAAGTAAGATAAAGTGTTAAACTCAGTGCCTGGCACAAGGTTTCGAGGTACGCCTCTGGGAACTATTCTGCCCCTTCCACCATAGCCTTTCTCTCCCCCTTCCCCCAGTTCTCTTTCTCACTTGCAAGTGCCAAACTAAAGGCAGCAGCATGGAAGCACATGGGCTGGATTAGCACTGTGCAGTGTTGCTGCTGTTTTTTAACTCTGTTTTTTTGATGAAAGTTTAAAAAAACTATGGCAAAAAGTACATGACATAAAATTTACTATTTTATTCATTTTTAAGTGTACAGTTAGTAACATCAGGTACATTCACAAGCCATCACCATTATCCATCTCCAGAACTTTGTCATCATCTCAACCTGAAATTCTGAACTCAATAAAAAGTAACTTCCCATAGTCCCTGGAAACCACCACTACCATACTTTCTAGCTCTACGATTTTGACAACTCTAGGTACCTCTTCTAAGTGAAATCCTATGCTATTTGTCTTTTTTTGTGACTGGCGTATTTCACTTAGCATCATGTCCACAAGGTTCCTTCATCCTGTAGCATACATCAGAATTCCCTTCCTATTTAAGGCAGAATATATGCCATCGTATATGCAGACCAGATTTTAAAAAAATCCGTTCATCTATCAATGGATACACGGGTTGCTTCCACCCCTTGGCTATTGTGAATGATGCTGCTGCTAACAGGGATGTACAGATACCTCCTCCAGACCCTGCTTTCACTTCTTTGGGTTATATCCCCAGAAGTATAATTTCTGCATCATACAGTAATTCTATTTTTAATTTCTTAAGAAATTGCTATACTGTTCTCCACAGTAATTTTACCATTTTACATCCCCACCAACCATGCACAAGGGTTCTAATTTCTTCATGTCCTCGCCAACATTGGTTATTTTCTGTTAATGCTTGTTTTGTTTTGGTAGTGGCCATCCCAATGGGTATGGGGTGGTATCTCATTGTGGTTTTGATTTCCATTTTCTTCATTAGTGACAATGAGAATCTGTTCATGTGCTTATTGGACATTTGTATATCTTCTTAGGAGATATGTCTATTCAATTCTTTTGCCCACTTTTGAGTTTTTTTGAGTTTTGAGAGCTCTTTATATATTCTGAATATTAATCTCATATAAGATCTATGATTTTCAAATATTTTCCTCCATTCAATAGATTGCCTTTTCACTCTGTTGATAGTGTTCTTTAACACACACACAAGTTTTTAATTTCAACAAAGCCTAATTTGTCTATTTTTAAATTTTCTTGCCTATGCCTTTGATGTCATATCCAAAAAATTGCCAAAACCAATGTCATGAAGTTCTGCTCTGTGTTTTCCTCTAAGAGTTTTATAGTTTAGCATTTTTTGTTCAGGTCTTTGGTCCATTTTGACTTAATTTTTGTATGTAGTGTTAGATAAGGGTGTAACTTCATTCTTTTCCATGTAAATAGCTGGTTTTCCCAGCAGCATTTGTTGAAAAGACTGTCCTTTCTCCTTTCTCTATTTAATAGGCTTGGCACTCTTGTTGAAAATGATTACACCTTAATGTAAAGGTTTATATCTGGGCTGTCTGTTCTGTTCCATTGGTTTTTATGTCAGTCTTTATGCCAGTATCACACTGTTTTGATTACTGTAGCTTTGTAGTAAGTTTTTAAATCAGGAAATGTGTGTCTTTCAACTTTGCTCTTCTTTTTCAAGTCTGTTTTGGCTATATGAGGTCCTTGCTTTCTTTCTGATCTCAGAGGAAAAACTTTCAGTCTTTCACCATTGGATATGATGTTCGCTCTGGATTTTTCCTATAAAGCTTTTATTGTTTTGGGGTAGTTTCCTTTTATCCCTAGTTTGTTGAGTGTTTGTAATCATAAAATGGTGTTAAATTTTGTCAAATATTTTTTCTGCATCAATTGAGATGATCATGTGCTTTTCCCTATTATTCTGTGAATGTGCTGTATTATACTGATTCATTTTTGTGTATTGAATTATCCTTGCATTCCAGCAATAAAACCCACTTGGTCAAGGTGCATAATCCTTGTACTGTTGAATTCTGCTGGCTGGTATTTTGTTGAGGATTTTTGTTTCATTGTTCATAAGGGATATTGGTCTACAGTTTTATTTTCTAGTAGAGTCTTTGCCTGGCTTTGGATCAGGGTAATGCTGGTCTTATTGAATATGTGTAGAAGTGTTCCCTCCTTTTGAGTTTTCTGGAATAGTATGTTTTTTGATTGAGGAGTTTAATTTATTCACATTCAAAATAATTATAAATAGGGAGGGAGTTAATATTGCCATTTTTTTCTGTATGTCTTAGCTTTTTTTTTGGCCCTCATTTCTCCCTTACTGCCTTTCTTTGTGTTTAGTTGATTTTTCTGTAGTAACATGCTTGGATTCCCTTCTCATTTCCTTTGTGTATATTATATAGCTATTGTCTTTATAGTTACTATGAGGATTACATTTAACATCTTAAAGTTATAACACTAAATTTGAATTTATACCAGATTAATCTCAATAACATACAAAATCTGCTCATTTACAATTCTTCAGTACCCCTTTCAGTTACTTATGTCACAAAATTTCATCCTGGTATGTTGTATGTCTAAAAATATAGACTAATAGTTTTTTTTTAAATAGTCTCATAAATTAAATGGAAAACAATGTGGAGCTACAAGTCAAAGTTTCAATAATACTAGCTTTTAGAGTAATATTTATTTATGTATTTATCTGTGAGACATAGTCTTTCCCTGTTGTCCAGGCTGGAGTGCAGTGGTGCAATCTCAGCTCACTGAAACCTCCGCCTTCTGGGTTCAAGCAATTCTCCTGCCTCAGCCTCCTGAGTAGCTGTCATTACAGGTGCATGCCACCATGCCTGGCTAATTTTTGTAATTTTAGTAGAGATGGGCTTCACCATGTTGGTCAGGCCAGTCTTGAACTCCTGACCTCAAGTGATCTGTCCACCTCAGCCTCCCAAAGTGCTGGGATTACATGCGTGAGCCACAATTATTTATTAAAATGTATTAGTCTTGAATCACACGGGAAACAAAAAGAGAAGTTACAAACCATTGTTACAATAATAGTAACTGTTATAATTACCCATGTATTTATTATTAGTGAAATATTTATTTCTTTGTATAGCTTCAAGCTTCAAGTTACTATGCTTTGCCTTTCTTTCTTTCTTTCTTTCTTTCTTTCTTTCTTTCTTTCTTTCTTTCTTTCTTTCTCTTTCTTTCTTTCTTTCTTTCTTTCTTTCTTTCTTTCTTTCTTTCTTTCTTTCTTTCTTTCTTTCTTTCTTTCTTTCTTCTCTCTCTCTCTTTCTTTCTTTCTCTGCCACCAGGCTCTTGAGTAGCTGGGATTACAGGTGCACACCATCACGCCTGGCTAATTTTTGTATTTTTAGTAGAGATAGGGTTTCACCACATTGGCCAGGCTGGTCTCGAACTCCTGACCTCAAGTTATCCACCCGCCTAGGACTCCCAAAGTGCCGGAATTACAGGCATGAGCCACCATGCCCAGCCTGTCCTTTCATTTCAAACTGCAAAACTCCCTTTAAGATTTCTTACAGGTCGGTTCTATTATTTTAAAAATCTGGAAATGTCTTCATTTCTCCTTCACTTTTGAAGGACAGCTTTGCCAGATATAGGATTCTTGAATGAAATTAAAAGAAAAATCTTTTAGTACTTTCACCATATCAGCCACTGCCTTCTGACCTTCAGTTTCTAATAAGAAATCTGCAGCTAATCTTACTGAGGATCCCTCACATGTAACAAGTCATTTCTTTCTTGCTGCTTTTAATATTCTCTCTCTGTCTTTCAAAAATCTGATTATAATGTGTTTTGGTGTTGGTCTCTTTGAGACCTGCTTGGGTTCATTTAGATTCTTGAATGTTTACGTTTATATCTTTCATCAAATTTGGAATATTTTGACTATTATTTCTTCAAATAATCTCCCTCCCCCTTTCTTTCTGTCTTCTTCTGGAACTCCCACAATGCATACATTGGTCCACTTGATGGTGTCCCATCCTTAGGCTCTGTCCACTTTTTTTCAAGCTTCTTTCTTTCTGTTCTTCATCTCAGTAGTTTCAGTTATCTTACCTTCAAGTTCACTGATTCTTCTGCCAGCTCAAATCTGCCTTTGAATCCCTATAGTAAAAGTTTTGATTTCAGTTATTATACTTTTCAGCTCTAGAATTTCTTTTTAGGTTTTCTAGGCCTTTATTATTATTTTCATAATGTTCATATATCATTTTTTTGACTTTCTTCACATCTTCCTTTAGTTGTTTGAGCTTCTTTAAGATAGCTGTTTTAAAGTGTTTAGTAAGTCTGCTAACTGATCTTTCCCAGGAACAGTTTCTGCTGGTTTATTTATTGATTTTTGAATAGGCTATTCTTCCCTGTTTCTTTGTATAGTTTGTGATGTTTTGTCAAAAACTAGACATTTGAGGCCAGGGGCAGTGGCTCATGCCTGTAATCCCAGAACTTTGGGAGGCTGAGGTGGGCAGATCATGAGGTCAGGAGATCGAGACCATCCTGGCTAACATGGTGAAACCCCATCTCTACTAAAAATACAAAACAAAATTAGCTGGGTGTGGTGGTGGGTGCCTGTAGTCCCAGCTACTTGGGAGGCTGAGGCAGGAGAATGGTGTGAACCCAGGAGGCGGAGCTTGCAGTGAGCCGAGATCATGCCACTGCACACCAGCCTGGGTGACAGTGCGAGACTCCATCTCAAAAAAACAAACAAACAAAACAAAACAAAACCAACAACAACAACAAAAAAAAAAAAACAAAAAAGGAAACTAGACATTTGAACCTAGTAATGTGGTAACTCTGGAAGGCAGATTCATCCCATTCTCCTGAGTTTGCTGAATTTTTATTGTTTTGTTCTTTTGATTATTGTAAACTGTCTCCATGTTGAGGATCAGCATTGGGTGTAAACTTAAAGTCTTCCCAGGGATTTTCTGAGTGTGTGCTATCCCCTGGGTTTGCATAGTGGCTTTCTAATTTCCTCTTATATGCAATTGCTTTTGAATGTCCTAGTCTTTAATGACCAGCTCTCAAAAGAGAAAAATGAAGATGGGAGAAAGCCACTTATCTTTTATATCCCCTGGAGCTGCTTCAGCACAGGAGAGGGGCTTGTAAAAACTGGGAAGGGGTACAACAGTGACTATCCATCTCTGTGACCAGGAGCAGGAATCAGTGATCAGAACATTGGTCCCTAGGAGTTGGAGAATAGGTTCCTTCTTTCCCACACTGGCTCCCACGGGCTGTGTGCAGGGTCCCCTAGGAACACATGCACAGCTGTCTGCCATGGGGTTGGGGGTGTGGCATGTGTAGCTGCTGCCGAGCTAAGAGCTAAAATTGAAGTTAACTGCAGTTTATCATCTAGGCCTTTTCCTGAAAGTTGCAAGCCTGCAGTACACTCTAGAGTTCCCAAATAGTTCTGTCAGATAGATTCTGCTGGTATGATTGTTGTCTGGGGAGACAGATTCCTGTTGCTTCCTACTCCACTGTTTCCCAGAATCCCCCATTTTTCACTTGTTTTTAATAGAAAATTTCAAACTTATGCAAGGTATAGAAAGTAGTATAATGAATCCTTATGTACTTATTACCCAGGTTCAAAAATGACCAACTCATGGTTAACTTTGTTTTATCTGTATTCCAATCTAGTTTTCCCTCCTCCCATGCTATGATTAAGCAAATTTATTAAGAAATAATTTACATAACATTGAATTCACCCTTTTAAGTGTATAATTTTATGAGTTTTGACAAATATATACATGTTTGTAACCAACGTAATTAAGCTATAGAACAATTTTTATCTTCCCTAGATCTCTCATGCCCCTTGGCAGTAAATCCTCATGCCTACGTTGGGCCCCAGGCAGCAGTTGCTTAGTTGCTTACTCTCTGTCATAAAGAAGAGAATTGTTTTCCTAGAATGCCATAGGGGTGAAACTGTATAATATGTACTATTATGTGTCTGGCCTATTTTGCTCAGCATAGTGATTTTAAGTTGAACCGTATTGCATGTATCAGTAGTTTATTCATTCTAATACAGTACTATTTCACTGTATGAATATACACAATTGTTTACTATGAAAAATTTTTCCACAAACATTCATGTGCACATTTTTGTGTAGATATATGTTTTAATTCCATTTGGGGAAAATATCGAAGAGTAAAATGACTGGAATGTATGGAAGGTATATGGGTAATTTCTAAAAACGATAAACTGCCAGGCTTTTAAACAAAGTGGTTGTACACACTCATCTTCATTAACATTTGATATGACCAATTTTTAAAAATTTAGCCATTCTAGTAGGTGTGTAGTAGTATCTCATTATGGTTTTTGTTTTCATTATCCTTTGACAAAATATTTTGACTATGTTTTCACATTTTTTAACTTGTATAAATTTAAGGGCTGCAAGTGCAATTTTGTTATATAGATATATTAAGTAGTGATGAAGTCTGGGCTTTTAGTGTATCCATCGCTCAAATAACGTACATTATACCCATTAAGTAATTTCTCATTACCCATCACCCTCCCACCCTTTCACCTTTCCCAGTCTCCACTGTCTGTCATTCTACACTCTATATCCATATGTACACACTATTTAGCTGTCACTTATAAGTGAGAACATATGATATTTGTCTTTCTGTTTCTGAGTTGTTTCACTTAAAGTAATGGCCTCTAGTTCCATCCATATTACTGCAAAAGACATGACTTCATATTTTATATAGCTGAATAGTATTCCATTGTGTGGACATACCACATTTTCTTTATCCAATTTGTTGATAGACACAGGCTGATTCCATATCTTTACTATTGTAAATAGTGCTGCTATAAACATATGAGTGAATGTATCTTTTTGATATAGTAATTTATGTTCCTGTGGTAGACATCCAGAAGTGGGACTGCTGTATCAAGTGGTAGTTCTATATTTAGTTATTTGATAAATCTCCATAGTTTTCCATAAAGATTGTACTAATTTACATTCTCACCAACAGTGTATAAGAGTTCCCTTTTCTCTGCATCTTCGCTAATACCTATTATTTCTTGACTTTTAAATAACAGCCATTTTGACTAGTATAAGATGTTTATTGCATTTTCATATGTCTTCTACTGTGAAGTGTCTGGTTAAATCTTTTCACTGTTTTTACTAGACCATTTTATAATTATTGAGGAATACTTTATATGTTAGATATGTAATTTATCAGATATATATAATTTTTTCTTTATGTCAGTGAACTTTCTTTTCTTTTTCTCAATGTCATTTGAAAAGCAAAGGTTTTAAATGTTTATAAAGTCTAAGTTATTATTTTTTTCTTTTAAAGTTTACCCTTTTTGTATCCTATCTAAGAAATTTTGGCCATCTCAGTATCACAGAGATTTTAGGTTTTCTCTCATAAGTATTGTAAATTTGTAGTTTTAGCTCTTATATTTAGGTCTATGATCTATTTTGAAATAACTTTATGCATGGTATTAGGTAAGGGTTAAATGTGTTTGCCCCAAATTGATGTCCAGTTGTTTCAGTACCATTTGCTTGAAAAGACCCTTCTTTGCCCCATTGCATTAAGTTTACACTTTTGTCAGAAATCAATGGCACATAGGTGCTAGTCTGTTTCTGAATGCTCTTTTTTGTTCCATTGATCGATGTATTTGTCCTTATGTCATAACTACATTATCATGATTCCTGCAGCATTGTATTAAACCCTGAAATCAGATAGTGTTAAGTCCTCCAATTTTTATTTTTCTTGTTTTTCAAAATTGCTTTGGCTGTTCACTGGAAAGAAGCATTAAATATGCACATGGGCCAAAGGACCTCCTAGAAGGAGAAGACTAGAAATCTGCTTTGTTTTTGAGGCTTAATGCTATTGGGAATCCCTGGCAGGAAAGGACATCAGGAGCCAAGTGTGCGACTCACCAGGAAGGAAGGGAATTTCTAGGTGGATGAGCGACCCAAGTTCAACTTAAAGGGTCTTAGGGGCTGGGCATGGTAGCTCACACTTGTAATCCCAGCACTTTGGGAGGCTGAGGTGGGAGGATCACTTGAGTCCAGGAGTTTGAGACCAGTCTGGGCAACATACAGAGATCCCATCTCTACAAAAAATATAAAAATTGGCTGGGTGTGGCGCTGCATGCCTGTAGTCCCAGATTCTCGGGAGGCTGATGTGGGAGGACTGCTTGAGGGTGAGAGGTCGTGGTTGCAGTGAGCCATGATCATGTCACTGCACTCCAAGCTGGGCAACAGATTGAGACCGTGTCTCAAAAATGGGGGTGGTGGGGAGGGGTCTGAAGGCTGGGCTGCTTCTAGCACAGTGCACAGCTATTGTTAGAAAACCCCATCCAGCCTCAGTTGCCCTGGCCCAGTAGAAACAGAGCTGGGCTTGTGAGCAAGCATGAAGGGAGCTGCAATTGTGTCAAACATCAAAGTGGGCACCACTGTGACACTGTCAGGGATCTGGGGCCACTAGGTCATGATGTACTAGTGGACACAAGGATCTTAGATCAGCACCGCCCAGGCTGTAATGTGCCTGTGACTTACCTGGGGATCACATTACAATGTAGGTCCTGATTCAGTCAGTCTGAGATGGAGCTGAGATTCTGCCTGGCCAACGACTGTCCGGAAATGCTGATGCTGCTGGCGTGTGGGCCACACTGTGTAGCAAGGCTGTCCAGGACTAGAGCTTAGTAGAGATGGGTGGAAGTAATGAGTGCTACAGTGGTAGCCATGACTGGATTAGTCAGACTCTTCAGTTCTCTCGGTTTCTGGCTTTATTTATGTATTGTTCTATCTGGCCTTTCAAAAGAGCAGAAGGAGGAGGAGGATACGTCCTAATATGTCCATAGGATTTTCAGTGTGGGAGTGGCAGGGAGATCTAAGACAGAGACAGTGGACTATGCATTAACAGAGGAACTAGGGGATTTGAAAAATTAACTGAAACAATCATAGAAATGCATCTGGGCAGCAAGATGGTGAAGTGAGTTACAAACTGTTAAATGTTCAGTATTCTTCATCAGATTTCATAGCTATTGACTCCAAAGCCTGAAAGACAGGAGTCAGGCATTTTAAATGGCCTTGGGTGGAGAAAAATGTCTGCAGAAGCAGTGATAGTGACTAGTTTATCAAAATAACCTTCCAAATGTCAGCTGTTCTCTGGCAATGCTGTCTGAAGATTTGCTCGCAAGAGTAATTTAGAGACAGTAGAATATGAGGGGAAGATTTTGCTTTACAAAAGTCTGTCACGTAAGAAACATTTGATAGGAAGAATGGATAAATGAGCGAGTGAATGAATGAATGAATACAGGCAATGAGACAGGAAAAATCTCAAATCTGGTTAGATTTCTATTGTCCACATTTTGAATAATGAGCAAAATGTAATAGAAGGGATAATGATTTGCAATTGGATTTTAATCATCTCAGTTAAAACTGTTGAGCTTTTTGAAACATGCTTTCAGAATTCAAAGCATTTATCTCAGATTTAAATGGCGATAAAACACATTGAAGACATCCAGAGTAAGACATTTAGCTGCCATCTTTCAACCTGAGAAAGGGCCATGGTTATTAAGACAAATATGACTCCACATACATGCATTAATTTGTCCTATTTTGTTTTGCTGGAACCTTAATATCAAAGTAAATATCTCCTTTTATTAAAAGTTGCTCTGAATTATAATCCTCATGAGTTAACGTGGCTATTACTGTTCTGGGAGACAAACACTGTCTTTCAGGGACCCTGGCAGTCAGAATATAAGTTATCTTAAAAACAAGATACCCCAATGGGAGAATTTCTCTGTTTCCTTTCTTTCTCAATGTACTTTAATATTTACAGAGTGGCTACTTCATTCCAAGACCTGGCATCTGGGGTCACCGAGAGGGCTGACTCATGAACTCTGTCCTTGGGGGACTCCCAGTCTGGTGGAGGAAAGGAGGTCTTCTCAGGAATCTACAATATGTCATACATGCAAAGACAGGATGTTCAGAGTTTCTTAGGAACAGAGGAGGGAGTAGCAGATTGATGATATAAAATATTCAAAATGAATATAAACAATATGAGCATCCTTGTAGGCAAGAGTCCCTAGTGTTCAAGACCCCTTATTCCAGATAAAATAAAGGACAAAAGACAAGCATCCCCTAGTTCATGAATCAGGCCTCCCTGGGACCCCAGCTGTCAGGCCTTGGGATGAAGTAGCCAGGAGGTAGGAGTGATGGGGAGTTGCACCAGAGCATGGCTGTCTAAAAAAAAAGAAAAACCAAAGTTCCCCTTCCTCCTTTAAGGTCATATTCAATTATCTACCTCCTCTGGGCAACCTTCCCATGTTACTTTTCTCCTCCAGGGAAATGGGTTGGCTCCTTCTTTGAGGACCCATAACCCTTGTACACCCCACCCCTCTGGTGGAGCACGGGTCTCCCTGTGTTATAGTGGTCTGTGTGGATGTGTCTCTGTCATCAAACTCGGAGCTCCTGGAGGGTGAACTGTTCCAGGCACCAGGATAGTGGTGAACAAAAGATAGACAGGTTCCATTCCACAGGTTGTCCAGCCTGATGGGTGAGGTAGTCATTAATGGGATAATCACATAAATAGTTAATTATTTAAAATTGTGATAAATTCCATGAAGCCAAAGTTCAGGTTCCAACAGGCTCTAATCTGATCTGTCTTTTGTATTCATCTTTGTATCACTAGCTTATAGCGCTGGGGAGGGCACAGAGCCGTCACTTAGCAAATGCTTCTTAGAAAAAGGAATTTAACAAGGGCTCAAATAAACTTTTAAGTAAACAGACAAAGAAAAGCCTTTCTACTCTGATTGCAGAGTAGAGTTTCATGTTCTATAATAGATCTAAAAATGAAGACTGAACTAGATCGCTACATTTTACAACCTGCCATTTTCAGGCAGTGGATAAGCACTAATTATTTCTCCCACAACCCCTCAAAAAAGGCAAATAGTGTTATTCAAATAAATCTCTTAGAGATTATAAAACCAAGAGGTTGTGAAAACATCTGCAGCAGAGAATAAGACTGGTCTTAATGGTTGTGTTAAGGGATCTGGAGTCATGAAACCTGGGTTCAAACCCTTATTCCATCTCTAATGGGCTGTGGGGCATAAATAAATCATTCCATCTTTCTGGGCAATAGTGATATGTACCTCAAAGGCCTCTAATATTAGAGGGCTAAAATATAATCTAAGAATGTAACACTGACTGGCAATTCATTTCTTCAGTCATCCAGTCAGTTTTTCTTTGCCCTGAGCTGGATGCTAGGGATCAGTGCAGCTCTTCAGATACACGAAAAATACTCATGTAGGCCGGGCGCAGTGGCGCACGCCTGTAATCCCAGCACTTTGGGAGGCCGAGGTGGGCGAATCACCTGAGGTCAGGAGTTCGAGATCAGCCTGGCCAACATGGTGAAACCCCGTCTCTACCAAAAATACAAAAATTAGCCAGGCGTGGTGGCTGGCGCCTGTAACCCTAGCTACTCGGGAGGCTGAGGCAGGAGAATTGCTTGAACCCGAGAAGTGGAGGTTGCAGTGAGCTGACATTGTGCCACTGCACTCCAGCCTGGGAGACAGAGTGAGACTCTGTCTCAAAAACAAAACAAAACAAAAAACAAACAAAAAACAAAACGAAATAGTCATGTAAATAAAAAATTGCAATGAGATGTGCAGTTGTAATAGAGTTCTATCTATCAGAAGGAGCCCTCAGGAGGGAGGAGCTGATTCCCCAACTGGTCCTGAGGAGGCTTAAAAGTTGTGTGGGTGCTCACCAGGTGAAAGGTAGGAGGGGCAGGTGACACAGACACCTGGGACAGGCGCCTGCTCAGCACAGCTGAAAGCTGCTTCCTCTATACAGTGGTCCTTTCTAGCCACATTTCACAGTGCAGGGCCCTGGCTCTCTCTGGCCATAGCTGATTGGACCAAGGTGGACAGCTGACCCAGGAGATGCACTCCATTGGCTGAATCTAGCCAATTAGATTCACTTTCCTGGGAATTTAAAATTGGGCTTTTGGGACAGTGGGGAGCTAGTGCTGGACCCTCAAGGTCATGTGGACTTGGGGCTGAGACCTCTAGGGAGAGGAAGCTCTTTGGGACCTTCAACACTGAGGGGTAAACAGAGACTGCAGGTTTGCAGAGAAAGCTGTAGAATGAAAGTGAAGAGGAAAGCAAAACCAGAGATCTCGTGGTCCCGAGAAAAACCCCCACACAGGAGGGGGTGGATGTGGCCAGGGCAGTTCCTGCCATATGATAAATCACCTTTGGCTAATGTAAGTGTTTGTATTATTTTGCTTATTCATAAAAAAAATTCTCTGACCCAAGTATTCCAGTCAGCAGGACACTATCACAGGCAAAGTTCTGGAGATGCAATTTCTTAATTTATGCTATCCTTCTTTCTTCCTTTTATTACATGGGCTGTCCTCCTACCCTCTCCTAGGACCAAGCTTTTCTGACTCATTTTAACATCTTTTGTAGCTTTTCCTGAAAGTGGCACAGAATAGCTTTTTATTGCCTGTGTTACCACCACCACCACCACCACTATCGTCACCCTATTCCACAAAGTCAGCAATAAAAAAGTCACATTTTGAATTATCTTTAAGCTAAATGCAGTCTGTCTTAAAACCTCCATTCACTGATGGCCAGTGATGATAAGCATTTTTTCCTGTGTCTTTTGGCTGCATAAATGTCTTCTTTTGAGAAGTGTCTGTTCATATCCTTCGCCCACTTGTTGATGGGGTTGTTTTTTTCTTGTAAGGAGGGATAGCATTAGGAGATATACCTAATGTTAAATGACGAGTTAATGGGTGCAGCACACCAACATGGCACATGTATACATATGTAACAAACCTGCACGTTGTGCACATGTACCCTAAAACTTAAAGTATAATTAAAAAATAAATAAATAAAAAGAAAGCTGAAGTCAAAAAAAAAAAAAAAAAAACCTCCATTCACATGGTTGGTAGGAAATTTAACCTCAGTCATTGTTGGCTTACATATCAATCCAGGATACCGTTGCTCTTGGAGATTCTGCCCCATCCTGGGGTGCTGCCAGCATCCTGTACTGCCCATCTTGACCTGCTCAGTCTACAAAGGACCGCTCCTCATCACCTACAGTGTCTTCAGAGGCATTGCCCTCTCTCTCATCCTCCCGTATTACCTATTAATGAGCTCTTATTCTAGAAAACAAGGCCCAAAAGACAGTTCCTGGAGGAGAAATATAGGAACAAAAATGAACATCTCTGTAAGTTATCAAGCCTCTCAGATAACATTGCCTGAAAGGTTAGTTGAGCATCTACTGCAGGGCAAACATTATTCAAAGAGGTTTTTTTCTTCTCCCTCGATTTAATACAACATTTGTAAAAAAATCCACAAGATGTGCTAGGAGTTGTATGTGTTGCTATGGTTTGAATATTTGTCTCCTCCAAAATTCATGTTGAAATGTAATTTCTAATGCGACAATATTGAGAGGTGGGGCCTTTAAGAGGTGACTCTGTCATGAGGGCTCTGCCCTCATGGATGGATTAGCCTATTAATGGATGAATGAGTTATATCAAGAACAAGACTGAGGGCTCCGTAAGAAGAGGAAGAGAGACCTGAGGTAGCACACTCAGCCCCCTTGCCATGTGATGTCCTGCACCATCTCAGAACTCTGCAGAGCAGAACTAGCAGCAAAAGGTCCTCACCAGATACAGGTCGTCAACTTTGGGCTTCTTGGTCTTAATAACTGTAAGAAATAAATTCCTTTTTAAAACAAATTACCTAATTTCAGATATTCTGTTATAAGCAATAGAAAATAGAATAAGGCACATGCCTTATTTAACCTGGATACTGCATCAACCCTGGATAATATATACTGTAATGATCTCCATTACAGATGAGGGTTTTAAGCCTCATTGAGGTTAATATTTTCAAGGTCACTCTCAGTGATGTGACAGTGCAGACCCCCATATGAGGTTTGTCTGATTCTCCACTTGCCCATTCCTCTAGTCAACGCAAGTGGAGAACTGCACAGAAGAAGTGTGTCACCTCTGGAAACAGAAGGTGTGTGAGTCCTTTCTCTAAGTAAGATACACCTAAAGCTTTATTTCCTGGATCCTGTTGGTGCAATTTCTAGAGCTATTTGGAGAAATTTGAAAGCAGAAAAGATGAAAGCTTTAGATTGTTTTTTTCTTTTTTGAGACAGAGTCTCACTCTGTTGCCCAGGCTGGAGTGCAGTGGCACAATCTCGACTCACTGCAAGCTCTGCCTCCCGGGTTCAAGCGATTCTTCTGCCTCAGCCTCGTGAGTAGCTGGGACTACAGGCACATGCCACCACGCCTGACTAATTTTTGTGTTTTTAGTAGAGATGGGATGTCACCATATTGGCTAGGCTGGTCTCGAACTCCTGACATCGTGATCTGCCCTCCTCGGCCTCCCAAAATGCTGGGATTACAGGTGTGAGCCACCCTGCCCGGCCCGAAAGCTTTAGATCTTAAAGGCCATGCTGTTTAACTTAAGACGATTCTTGCCAACCTGGAGAGTAATAGAAGGGGATGCTTTTGTGGATGCATGGGTCAGTGTTTCATTAAGAAAAAACAGTCCGTTATCAGATGAAAGGATAAAGAAAGCGTAGTATATATACACAATGAAATAGTATTTCACCTAAAAAAAGGAAAGTTCGTTTATTTGCAATAACGTGGATGCAATAACATGGATGCAATAAATGGAGGACATTGTGCTAAGTGAAATAAACTGGATACAGAAAGAGAAATACTGCACAGTCTCACTTATATGTGGAATCTAAAGAAGCAGAACTCATAGAAGTAGAGAGAGGCTCCACGGACCTGCAGGAACCAAACTTCTCATGGTTATAGCCACACTGACATTCCTTGCCCAGGGCACCAGCATCAGTGGGAGGGAAGGCAGGTGGTTGTGAGGACAACAGAATGGTAGGGGCCTACACCACACAACAGGCTGGGCAGTGGGAATCCCATCCAGGGAAGGGTTGGTGTTAGGTGGGGAGGAAAGACTCTGCTCTTGACTGAAGCTTGGCCCTGGGCCTAACATGGGGCTTCTGGACCACCAGAAGAATAATTGAAATCCCAAGAAATATGAAATTTGAATAAACAGAGCCTCCATTGTAGCAGCAACCATAGCCATGAAGGACTAAGTTGCACATGGACACAGAAAGAAGGTGGGTTCCCAGGGCCATGGAGGGATGCCACTAAGCCCAATGATGGGTGAAATGTGGGCAGTTCCAAGAGGGCAGGAAATCTGCTCTGTTCTGCTCATAGCTGTGTCCTTAGAACACAGAGAAGGCCCTCAATAAATTTCTGTTGAAGTAATGCATGGTAAATGCTCAGTGAGAGCTTGAATATACAAACAGATAAAGATAAAACCATATATGAGAATAGAATTCTGACCCACGACCCCTGCAGCAACCAGTCTAGGAAGCCAAACCACAACCTCTGCAGCACTTAGCCCAAAATGGTAAGACATGATCAGTGACTGCCAGCTTCCTTGTTTTTTTGACCTAGTTTCCAACTCAGGACCAACCAGAGAAAGCCAAGTGCTGTCCCCAAACCAGTAACACAAAACATCCTGCTTCTAGTTAGATTCCTCCAGCTTCTCTTTGCCAACAACCTCCAATCAGAGAGTGCTGAAACCTTCCCTTTTTTCCATTACAAAACTTTCCACTCTTCTGCCTGCCTTTGCAAATCTGCTGAACTCAAATGATGGTGCCTGACTCCCTGGCTACAGCAAGCACAGGATAATTAGCTTCTGTTGTTCTTATTTGGGTGGTCTCTATTTATTTCGAGTCCAAGAATGGCCTTTACCGTCTACTTCCTACCTTCCTCATGTCCCTGAACAGTGATCCCTGCCACTCACTGACTCCACACAGCAATCCCCTGCAGTAGGTAACGTTAGTTCTGCTTTACAGATGAGGAAACAGGCTTAAGAGGTGAAAAGACTCGCCAGGACTAAAGCCCAAGTGGTGTTTGACTCCACAGCCTTGTGTTCTTTCCTCTGCTTGGTCTAAGATCCTCATAACATGTTGCTTTTTGCAAAGAATCACAAGTGGTTTTCTTTAGCTTTCCCTGACTCCGACTCATCACCACAGTGATGACACAGAGAGGCTTAAAATAACCATAGTATTTGTCCTTGGGGAGGCTTCCCGCCTTCACCATTGTCACCAGATCTGACTAATGATCCCAGATTGGGCGGATGCACCTGAGCCCTTTACCTCTGTGAAGACCCCTCTGTGAGGCGGACGCCACTTCTGTGGTATGACATGTGTAGAGATATTTTAGGCAGCCGTATGTTACTTCTGGGAGTCTTCTCCAGGACAAGCTGCACTGAAATGGATTCATTTGATTCCTGCATTCATTGCCCAAAATGCTTACTAAACACCAGCTATATGCCAGACCTTGTCTCTTAAGAGACGGGACACTTGAAGTCTGCAAAGTATGATCTGGAGACCTCCTGCATCAGAATAATCCTGAGTTCCAGCCCAGACCTACTGAGTCAGAGTTTCTGTCAGTGAGGCTCGAGGATCTGCGTTTCTAAGGAGCTTCCAGGGGATTTTTATGACCTAAAGCTGGATAATCATTGGCTTCAGAAATGAGCAGCCCAGGTGAGGGGCCCAGGTTGACTTACCTGCCCAAGGTCATCCAAGTGAGTGGATAGAGTCAGGATTTGAATTAAGTTATGTTGGCCCAAGTCCTATCCTTATTCTACTACGCTCTGCTGTATTTCCCGAATGCCAAATATACATGCATTCCTCGGGCCCCTGAGTCTTTGCACACGTGGCTTCTGCCATGGGAAATGGCCATTCATATTTGGTAAGTTCATATTTATCCTTCAGAATCCATCTCCATTGTAACTTTCTCTAGGATGCCATCCCCGATTCCATCTCCATTTCCCTTTCTCCACCTCCCAGCAATAAATGCTCATGGCATTTTGCCTGTGTATTTTCTTTTAAAATGGACATATCCTGGTCTTATAGTCTATCAAGGCCTCAAGACAAGAGATGTCATATTCCAAAGCAAGGTGTGAAACCATTCTGTGGGACTTGCAAAGAGGGAGGCCAACACCAATTCTGCCTCTGTTAACCCTTCTCTCTATCAAAAGTAGAATGCATTAGAGAGTTGACTAGGGTCTGGGTCCTGCCTGAGTAATGTAAAGGATTCCATGGATAACCTTGCAAAGAGCACCACAGCTTCTTGGCTGCATCCTGAAAGGATATCACACACAGGCAGGCTGAAGTGCCCAGGGGGCAGTGGAAGGAGGTCTGTGCTCCTCGTGAGCAGGCCAAAGATGTATGTCTTCAGTGGACCAGGTGTGGGTAAGTAGGCAGGTGTGGGGTTGCCCTTGATTCTGTTATAGAGAGTCCCTAGGAAGGGCAAAGTGAGCTCAAAGGCAGCTGGAGGTGGCCCGCTAACTGGGAATGAGGAATGAGACATGATGATTAGCAGGGAAAAAATGCATTCGCTGCATCAAAGGAATGACAGAGAGAGATCACCAGCAATAGAGGCCTTCAAAGAACCCATAACTGCTACCGTAGGAAAATCATAAAGGAACTCAAGGCCAGATTGAGACCAGACAAGGAAAAATTGTTACTTTCCTGCTTCCACTGCCTTCCATCTTTTATCTCCCCAGATTCCAGCCTAGAAGGGTGAGTGTGGTGAGCTAAGAGGGGAAACCTTGCAATGAGACTCACCATGCATCACGGTGAGCTCTTTGCTTATGTCTCCTGTCTCTTGTCTCTCTTGTTTCACAGATGAGGACACTGAGACACAGAGGGGTAAAATAGCACACAGATGGCTACAGATGAAACTACACATCCCAAGTGTGTGGTTTCCATTCGGGGTACAGTAAAGAGGACGTGGTGCTCATTGGGAGGTTTTCCATGGAACCAAGCAAGAGGCCCCATACCACATGCAGCCAACGTTCCTTAGGACATTTTGGGGGCCTTGAATTTTTTGGTGCATCCAAGAAAAGCTATCAGCCTCTCCTCTGGAAAAATGTTCACATATGCACACAAAATTTTGCACATAAATAAGAACGTTTGAGCTGCGGAGGTGTGAGCAGATGGGCTCCAAAGTTTCTTCTTTTCTCTGAGCAGGATTCAGGTTCACAACTAACAGGTTGTGAGACTGGACCAATCACTTTTCCTTCCACTGTCTTACTTAAGCCTCACAAGTGTTTTTATTCCCATTTTGCAGTTAAGGAAATGGAGATTGAGAAGGTGAAACTGCCCACACAGTGATTCAATGATGAGACCTTGATACTAACCTATGTGTGCTGTTTCAGAGATTTCTTCCAGGTGCCTGGGAAGTCTGAATTGGTGATCTCTAGGCAAGAGAGAGAACTGTAGAGGGGGAGAGTGATTAGGATGGCTTATCTTTTTTTTTTTTTTTGAGACGGAGTCTCACTCTGTCGCCAGGCTGGAGTGTAGTGGTGTAATCTCAGCTCACTGCAACCTCCGCTTCCCAGGCTCAAGCAATTGTCCTGCCTCAGCCTCCCAAGTAGCTGGGACTGCAGGCGTGTGCCATCACACCCAGCTCATTTTTCGTATTTTTAGTAAGGATGGGGTTTCGCTGTGGGTTTCTCATTTTTATGGTTGGCTGCACCACTGCCTTGTTCCCTTAAAATCCCCCGGCATGCCATCCTCCTTCAAGAGTGCTTGTCAGAGCTAAAGGCAGTTGGCAAATTACTGCCAGAGGATTTTGTTCCATAACTTTGTCAAAATCACTGAGCTTCCAAAAAAGCCTTACTCCCTGCTAGGAATGTCAATGAGGTGCCTCCCAGAGGCATCAGAGAATCAAACAAATCTAAGGGTGGAAGTTGGAGTCCAGGGGTGGGGTGACCAGGTGGGGTGGCATGGAGGAGGGGCAGGGGACTCTTCCTTTTGGGCCTCTGATCTTGCCTCCTCGCTCTGAGTGCAGACATCCAAGTCCTCCTCTCTCATTTCCAAGTATCCTCATCCTTGCTCCGATTTCTCTTTTCTTCTTTTCCAAATCGGGATATTTATTGAGCACCTACTATGTATTAAACCCTGGACTAACTTTTGGTAATAATAATCATAGCTATCAATAATTGTTACTATGGGACAGGCACTGTTCCACACGTTCTACACACATTATTTCCTTTAATCCTTAAACAACCCTGTGAAGCAGGAACTATTGTCGTTTACACTTTACAGAGATTGGCAATGAGACACCAGGGATTTAGGTAAGTCTTCTAAGGCCATGTGCTAGCAAATACAGTTTAATTAATAGGCTTTATGTCACCTAATCCTCACAGCAACCCCATGGGAAGTGATTACAACACTCCTGCCCATTTTTACAGATACGCAAACTGAAGCTTAAAGAGGTAAGGAGACAAATCCTAGACTGCAGACCTAGTACAGGCAGAGCATGAATAGAAACCAGTTCTCACCCTCGAATTTAGTGTAGTTGCCACTCTTGGTCACACCCTGTCTTAATTCTGAATTTCCTACCTCACTCTTCCCTGTCATTACAGTGTTTTGAGTAAATGGTGATGGAGTCAGGGTTAGGTTTTGTCATCAGCGCTGGACAGCCTCTGGATTTTAATGATCATCTCTTATAAGGAGGCACAATCTGGTCCAGAGAGGCTGTGCACTTCCTACCTCATCATTTTGGTCAAGCTGCAGCCTCACTCTCTCACTTCACTTACGGATAATGAGGGGATTCATAGTTTCCTCCAAGCAAGGATGCCATGGGCTTAAAGGAGGTAAAAAGGTGTGTAAAGTGCATGGGACATAGTGGATAAATGTTTACTCCCTGTCTTCCTCTCTGCCTCCTTCTCCCAAACTTTAGCCAATAAATTTACTTCCTGTGCCTCAGGATTTCCTATGAACCCTGCAGAGCCACAGTGCTCACATACTGTGGCCCTGGACCTGACCCTAGTTCAGTGAATGACTCTGCCCGCAGAAAAACAGAAGCAAAGTGGTAACACACCTCAGACCTAGCTATTTGGCCTGCAGCTGGATCTGGCCAGGGTCATTGGAAATCCACCAAGCACCTGTTGGAAGCCTCTGGAACAGAAAGCGTCAGTACAGGATCCCAGGAGAAGCTGCTGTATAGCACACACCTAAGCTCCTTGATGTGTTTTCTGTCTTATCCAGCTTGAGTTATGCATTGTGAATCCACTCGGAGGCTTCCCCTGAGAGTCCTTCTGCTCTTGTATTTTTCCCTGTTTCCCAAACATGCCAGGATCTTTCCCATATGTGGCCTTGACAAATGACCTCCGTTCTGCCTTTGTCACCCCTCCTTTCCCACCCTTTGACCTAGGGACATCTTCCTCTTCCCACAGGTCTCCAGGATGCTTCCATGACCCCACTTCCTAGCTCCAAGCAAGGATGGGGCTTCTGATTTCTCTGCTGCACTCTCTTCTAGACCCTGCTGCTGTCCTTCCTAATACTGACCCTAATGACAATACATATTTATCTGTGTGATCATTTGTGTGAAGTCTTGTTCATCCAATGGACACATGCTACTCACAGTGCTGGCCTATGACAAGATCATGAGTTTGTACCAGAATGTCAATCATCATAATACTTCCTTCACTGGGGAAGTCTTGCAATGGAAGAAATGTTGGCTGAACTGAACAGTGTGCACAATGAAGTAAGTGGAGGTGCATTCTAGTACAAGCTACGGTTGGTGGAATGGTTGACTGGAGGCTTCAGGCTGTGCTTTGGAGAGCGCTGAGCTAGACCATGACATGGTGTAGCTGTTGTTAAGGGTAGAGCCACTGGAGCTATACCACCTGGATTCCAGCTTCGCTATTTACTGTGTGAATTTGGAAGGACAACTGAGCCTCCTTGGGCCTCAGTTTGCTCTCTGTAAAATGGGCATAATAGTATTGCCTTCCTCCTAGGTTTGTTTTAGGAGTTCCAAATGACTTGTTAGGTGTGAAGTGCTTAGATCAGTTCCCTGCAGATGGCAAGTGCTTTGCACATGTTGGCTGTTACTGTCAGAAGCTCTGTAAGAGCAGGAATGGCATCCACTGGTGTGCCTGACAAGTCATAGATGCTCAGTTAGTGTGTGTTGAATAAATAAGTGAGTAAATGAGTGCTTCACTGGCTCAGATCGACCCAAACACAAACTACTCAATCTCTTGTTTCAGGCTCTTGCACTAGTGTTGATCTACAGACTTTGGCTATAAAACCGAGAAACCGCAGCATCCTTGGATCGTTCCATCTTCCTTGGAAGGGGTCAGTCTCTTGAATGGGGGTTATAACAGGCTACCCCACAGGGCTATTATGATTAATGAGTTGATACATGTTAACAGAAGTGTCTGTGCTCAGCATTGTTGGCTGCTATTGTTGTTATTATTTCCTGATTTTCTTCAAAAGGAAACTTCACACTTTCGCTGCTTTCCCGTAATGGCTGAGAGAGCTGTTTCCAAAACACAAATGTAATTAACTCCTTCTCCTGCACTTTAAAGTTCTCAGGACAAAGTCCAATAAAAATCAGACAATTTCTTGCTTGGATGTGTGCCAAATGCATGTGTGCTTTGATATGTGCCAAACATTTAGACTTATACACGTTGTTTTATTTAATTCTCACAGCAATCCTGAGAGGTAGGCAATATAATTAATTCTATTTTATCAATGAGAAGGCTGAGGCTTCGTGAGGTTAAGCCAAGCTCTCGACTATAGTATGGGTTCTCAGACACCTGGCCCCTCCCTGCCCGTCTCTCCTTCTCAAAGATGCTCATGTTCTCCATACTTCTCAACATCTCTGAATCTGGTTTGCTCCTTCCTGTCCTTATGTCTATGCCCATGTTGTCCCTCTGCCTAGAATGCCCTCCCACTTGTCTTTATCTAGAAAACTCATATTTATTATGGAAATGCCAACCTAAACATCATCTTTGGGATCCTTCCCTGTCCTTCGTCTCCCAAACCAAGTTTCCTTCCTCGCCTGGGCTTCTGTAGCCCTTGGCATACTCTTTCGGTATTGTGATGATTATGCCACATTGCAGTCATATGTTTCCAGGGCTAAGAGTTCCTCTGGACATGGACCATTCCTTTGGGTCTCCAGGACCAAGCACAGTGACAAGTTTGATGAACTAATGAATTGGTGGATCCTCCCAACATTCAAACATTAAACATAGAATTCATAGGATGAGGCCATAATTCAAAACCTGAAATAAAAAGACACAGTTGAATTTATTACTTTCTATAGTAAGGGACAGCCATGCTGGCCAGCCAGGCAGTCTTTCAGGCTGCTGATCTTGTACAGAGTTTTGAGAAGCAGGGAATTCAGGGATTGGTGGACTTTTAGAAACATAAGCAGGTTGATATTTGCGGAGGTGTAGTTTGACTGTTGTTGGCTGGTTGCACTCAAAGGCAATGTTTTATAGAGTTTGTCCAGAAAACTCCAGAATAGTTTGTTCCTGTTTGGTGGACTTTCAGAAGTGAGGGGTGGCTACTGACTGGTTGACTTGTAAAGGCAGGTTCTCTGAGGCAAGCTGTTGTCGATCAGTTTGGACAAGTTTAAAATCTGCTCCTATGGCTACTTGTTACCATGGCTACAGAATAATCTTGCCTTTACTAGGTTTATGGGAATTTTGTTTATTCTCAGAGAGAGAGTCTTTATGATTCAATACATGATATTAGTAATCTTAGTTAATGCAAATAACTTTGATGAGCTCTGGGTTTCTCAAAATCACATAATAAAACAGAAACACATGCTTTCATAATCATAAAAATCTAACTCCAGTAGCAGCATTTATATGTTTATTCAATGTTTCCAAGAAACTCAATGCTCATGTATCTTAAAGTTAATGACTTCTTAGAATCGAGCTCCCAGTGCTATTTATAGCTTTGAAAAATTATCCATTGCTGTTGGTAGATTACATGTAGAAACACCGGATGCCTGGATTATTTATTTTCAGGGAAATACCGACAGTACTTTGCTTTTTTGAATAAATGAACAACAATCAAGAAAGCTTTTTAGAATTCTGTACAAAATACAAATTCAGCCAGAAATGAGTAATCCTTTTAATCTGAGTCAGACTGCCCCACAATCTGGGAGAATTTCAAGAAGTGTCACAGGGCCGGGGTTGAGTGGGGAGGAAGCGGGCAGGGAGGGAGAAAGGATTGATGGCAGCCATGACCACAGAGCCCATGGGCTCTTCTTAGAGACACTTCTCTCGCCAGTGGTCCAGCAGGAAGAGGGGTGGAGGCTCTGGAGCCACACTCACAGCCTGTGTTTATGTGCTGTCCTGTGGCCTCAGATGCTTTTCTTGAGAGGCAGTGTGATGTGGTCGGGAGCATGCAGTTGCCCCAGCCCCTAGTGACCTCCGTGGTCCCCAATGCAGCAGTGACTCACTGCATTGCCTTGCCAGCCTGCAGGAGCATCTGACTCAGCTCCTCCCGAGCGCCTTTTCCTCCTAGCTTCTGTGACTCCACATGCCCCTGGACTTGCTCACACTTCACAAGTGGCTCCTTTTCAGCTTCTTCTCAGCTCCTCCTTCTTTTCTCAAACTCTGCAAGTTGGAGTGCCACACGGTTCTATTTTGGGTCCTCTTTTCTTCATGCATCCTCTCTTCCTTGGCCATTTCAACCAGTCACATGACAATGACTCACAATGCCATGTCTTGGGTCTCTGCATATCCTTGAGCTTGATGCTCAGATAGTCAGAGGCCTCTCTAGCATCTCCACTTGGTTACCTAATGGCATCTCAAATGTAAAATTTCCAAAATAGACCTCTGATTTCTTTTCCCAGCTCCCTTATTCCTCCTGATGCCTAAACCTATGCCTCTCCCAGCTTCCTCATCGGTCAGTTGCTTGGGTCAAAACCAGGAATCATTGCAGATTCCCCATGTTCCCTGAATCCCCACATCTAATCCATCATCAAGCCCTGCTGAGTTTTCCAGACACATCCCAGCCTGCCCACTTATCCCTTCTCCCAACCAGGCCTCCTCTCTCTCCTGCCTGGACTATGGTGGTTGCTTCTTCATGGGGTCTTCTGCTTCCACTCTTGCCTCCTTCTAATCTTTTCTCCACAGTGGGGTCTTATAAACATGTGAGGCTTCCAATGGCCATCATTTAAACCTGAATAAAACTCAACTCTCTTACTAACACCACCAACAAGGCCTTCTATCATCTAGCCCTTGCCTCTGTCTCCAAGCCCTTCTCACATCAGTGTTTCCATGTTCATTATAGTTCAGACACAGGGACTTTCTTTTTGTTTTCTCAAACATATCAAGGTCTTTCTCTTTCAGGACTTTGGCCCTGTTTGCACCCCTTGCCTCAAACACTCTTTTCCCAGATCCTGGCACAATTTGCTTCTCTTCATTCAGATCTCAGTTCAAATGCAGTCCCCTTCCTGGGAGGCCTTTCCTAACTACGTCATCTAGAGTAGCTGGGTCTCTGTCATATTGCTGTTTTACTTTCATTGTAGTGCTTATTACTGCTTAGTATTTTCTTGTTTATTTATGTGTCCATTGGTTATCTCTTTATACTTGAATGTCAGCTTCAGACAGCAGGGACTTATCTGCCCTGTGCTCTACTACAGTGCAAAGAGCTGGATTCATGGAAGACAACTGATAAGTTTGATTAAATAAATTGTTGAATTTGAGAATAATGGATGATTTTTTCAAGCTTTCTAAAATGAGCTTTTATCATTTTACAACAATAGAGTAAAATTTAAAGTTAATTGAAAGGGGGGGAGAGAGAGAGAGAGAGACATATACTTGATCTTTGCGTTTATCTCTTTATGTCAATCCTTACAATATTCTTAGGGAGACTAACCACCATATGCTCATTATGCACACCCACCCATGCCCTCCTCCCCACACCATTTTATTCATAAGGAGATTAAGGCTCAGAGAGGTAAGGTCATTTCTCCAAAGTTGTGTAGTTCATAAATGGCAGCACCAGGTGCTAAACTTAGATCTCTCCAGAGGAATTTAACTATTAAGTTTAGCATTCTAACTTTTAATGGAGTATGTAAAATAATGAAGGCAGTCTCAATTAGCATCCAATTTACTGCATGGTCTTTACCACTTTTAAGCCTCACAACATTGCTAGGAGAGGAGTCATTAATTCTTACTCCTTTATCCCAATCAATTTCAGATGAAAAACCTGATATCCTGGGTCATAAACATAGTTCCCCAATTTCAGCCAGTGGATAGATGACAGATCCAGAACTGGCTACAGTCCTGGTGTTTTCTCTGCTGCCTGGCTACCTCTGGGTGGGCACACTGTAGCTTTTGAGAGCTGACTTCTGTGCAGAAATGAGACTAACTCAGAGGCATGTCCTAAATTGCCACATGACTTCTGATGCCTGTGTCTCCCTGGCTCCACATCCAAGTATTAAGAAGGGAAGGGGAAGAAGACCCCAGTTATTGTGTATCTACCACCGAGCACTTTGACAGAGTTTAACAGCAGGTCAGAGAATTCCCTTATAAGGAGAAAATTAGACTGGCTTTGTCAGAAAGAAGTTTTAGTAAGCTCACTGTGGGTTGTAAAAAAGCTTGGACGAGATTCACCTGGAAAGAGGTAAGAAAATTGAGAGACGAGGAAGGAGAAATGGGGCTGAGCACAGGGAGGGAAAGATGCCCAGTAGAAGACCTTGTTGCCAGCAGTCTGGTCAGAAATATTGAACAGAGCCATTTGAGGTCATCTACCCTGTGGTGTGTGATTTGAAGCCTGTCTTTGTCTTCCTGTAGACTCTTTGGTAAAATGCACACTGCATATTATTGCTTTGGAGCAATGGGTGAAATTCAGAGCAAGGCTCAGTCCTGCATTGAGGTGAGCTCGAATGGCAGCTCTAATGAAAATAGAAGCTGTCTGGGTGTAAGCTGACTCAGGGTTACATCTACTATCCCTGATTCTCCTAACACATTTCCAGGGGAGATATGATGACTCCCATAACAGGCAGGGGGAAAGAAGGGCTCAGAGGAGATTCATAACTGCCCCAAGACCCTGTGCTGTGGAATGGTTGCAGGATTCTTCTGCCAGAGCTGCGGTCTGTCCTGGGGCATTCAGTTTTCAGACTGCTGGGTGAGAGCAGCTTGAATTTTGCCAGGTCCCATTATTTGTGGATACATAAGAGGCAACAGAGATCATGAAGATTGGATTCAACTGCCCCCATTTACTGAGAAGAAGTGTCCCTAACCCAGAGGTTTTCTTGACACCCCGTGGTGTCTCGCAGAGGTTCTCACACAAGCCCACTGCGGGAGCCTCCATGCCTGCTGCTTCAGTTAGCGCAGCCCCTGCGGTCATGTCAAGCTCCATGCTTGGGGCATCCACTGTCAGCAGGCACAGCACCCCCCACTGGTGGTTGCCACTGACCCACGGAGGCACAAGAGGTATTTTAGAGTTTTAGCCAAATTAGAAGGAACCCCTTGTCTGAGCTCCACCTCATTTGGGGGATTCATTCAATTGCAATAACATGGAAGTTTCAGAACTCCACTAACCCAGGTCTTTCATAATGGACTCACTCTGCATTCAGCTCTCCCGAAGATAGAAAAGCCCTGGGGTGGCAGAGCTCACTTGGACACAGGGTGTCTGCCCACAGTCCAGAGCCAATCCTGGGGAACATGACAGGATGGCTGTGTGCAAAGTGGGACAGCCTTTTTTTTTTTTTTTTTTTTTTTTTTGCTATTTCTGAGCTCCCCTAGAGCAAAAGTGAGGGTCAATGATGAGGGTCAGCATTACTTTCTTACGTCTTTGGAGACACTGAGGGACAATTCCTTTCTATTTCCCAAGTGAAAGCAAGCCACCTGGCCTGCAAAGTCAGGGGGCTTTGTGTAAAGGAATCTGCAGACATTATACCTTTTCTTTCCTCAGCATGGCTCACCTGAGAGAGGGGAACGCAGCTTGGATGGTGATTTAATTAGTAACAACAGAGAGCTGTCATTCCTTGTCAGTGCTTTTCATGATAGAAGACAAATTAATAAACTGTATGTGGTCCATCCCAGCAGGTGTTTAATGGACGAGGTCACATAACGGGGGCTCTGTTGTTTGAGCTGGAGGTGCATGTATTTACTCACTGTGTGTTCCACACGCATGCTCCCACTATGCATCCCGCTATGTGGCAGGCACTTCCTTGTCCTCAAAACCATTCCTCTTCTCTGGCAATGAAGCCTTTTCCTGGGTCACCTCAAGCTGAATTTGCTTCTCAGAAGCTCCATGTTTCTCCTGCAAATTGTTGGCTTATTCTTCTTCCTGCGTGCCTGGCTACCCTGGTGTGTGCCCAGCCCACCCACGGATGCAGTTTGAGTTATTTTCTAGGAGAATCCCCCACCTCCTCCTGCAAATAGGCTTCCACCCCAGGGCCACAGCACCTGTTTCTAGGCCATTTTATACACGTCTGACTCTCTCACACTCAAGCTAGGACTTCCACTCACGGTATTACATGCAGGCAGACTTGAAAGAACACAGTTTATGTGATTTGTCATAATGACTCCTGCCCCCTGTGTTTCTTCGCAAAGTTCTGCTGAGCTTATTACTTCAGGGGACATCATCGGACTTTCATCGTGTGTCAGAGCTCACAAAGACTGATGAGAAACTGGCTAACATGACAGTCCCCAGGGTTCCTTCCATCTAAGGACACTGTAACTGTCTGCCTCTCATTATCTCCTGCACACCCAAGCTGCTCCATGGCCATCTCACTAGACAAATGAAGCCACTGCAAAGTCCACCTAATTAACAGTTGTTTAAGAAAATTGAGTCATCCCTCTTTCTGCCAAGTTTAGGACATCAGTCGTTAAGCAGAGATGCCCCAGCATTTGCTTCTTCTCCCTCGCTGACACCCAGAACTGGAAAACAGGCCATCCTGGGTGTTCATGGGCTGTTCTGCACTGTGCTGTGCCCTGTTTGTTAAATTATGAGATTGGGTACATTCCCATTTTGGATCAATCAATGACTTGGTATCAGAGGATATACACTGGGCCTTCCATTTGAACAACAGTGGTTCATGTTTACTTTACTGTTTACAAATCACTGTCATAACCTTTATTCACTTACCAAACTCCAGTCATTTATGTAGCATCTTCTTCACACCTGCCACCCCATCCCTGGTCACAGCTGTGGACCCTAAGTCATAGCTTTGTCCCACCAGTATTATTTCCTCATTTAGTTGACTCTCTTAGAACGAAAAATGAATAAATGTATTTAAAAAGAAAACCTCATATCAGCACCTTAAATAAGGATGCAACATTACTGGCTATAAATATAAGATAGCTATAAAAATAAATATATTGGGAGGCTGAGGTGGGCAAATCACGAGGTCAGGAGTTTGAGACCAGCCTGGCCAACATGGTGAATCCCCGTCTGTACTAAAAATACAAAAATTAGCTGGGCGTGGTGGTGGGCGCCTGTAATCCCAGCTACTCGGGAGGCTGAGGCAGGAGAATCATTTGAACCTCGGAGGCAGGGGTTGCAGTGAGCCAAGATCGCGTCATTGCACTCCAGCCGGGGCGACAGGGCGACTAAAATAAGTAAATAAGTAAGTACATAAATAAATAAATAAATAAATAAATAAATAAATAAATAAAGTGGAAACAAGATCAAGCCAGGGGATTCTAGACAAATGGGGGCCACGAAGTCCCTATATATGAGATTCTAGCTAATAGGAGTTGAAAACTTGTGAAATAGCTCTCAGGATCTTCATTTAATGGCTTCCACTGAGTGAAATGGAATAAAGTGTGTAGGAGAGACTGGAGTTGAATAGAATGTGTGCAGAGAGTAGAGGAAACATGCATGGGTCTTCATGGCTTGCATGGGGACCGTGTGGCCACTCTTTGTGTATGGTTGCCTGTTCTGGCTCTGAGCTCGAAGCCTTCTGTTCTGACTCTTGTGAAAAGGAAAGGGAGATCAGCACGGGTTAGAGGTGGTGTTAACAGTATTAGCAGCATATGGAGACCTCTTCCCAGGAGCAATCAGAAATAATACCAAGTCTGGCACTGTCTACAATTACCTCTACTCCATGAATGTTCTGTAGCCTGCACGTTGGGAAACACTGCATTATCCCATTTGAACCTCAGGATAGTCCTAACTGGCAGATGCTATGATTCCATCTTTTTTTTTTTTTTTTTCTTGAAACGGAGTCTCGCTCTGTCGCCAGGCTGGAGTGCAGTGGCGCGATTTTGGCTCACTGCAACCTCCACCTCTCGGGTTCAAGCAATTCTCCTGCCTCAGCCACCCGAGTAGCTGGGATTACAGCTGCACGCCACCTTGCCCAGCTAATTTTTGTATTTTTAGTTAAGACGGGGTTTCACCGTGTTGGCCAGGATAGTCTCGATCTCTTGACCTCGTGATCTGCCCGCCTCGGCCTCCCAAAGTGCTGGGATTACAGGCGTGAGCCACCGTGCCCGGCCTTACAATTCTATTTTATAGAGCAAGATGTTGAGGTATGTGGAGAGGTGATACACCTGGTGTCGCAGACTGAGGAGGGCTTCGATTTCAGGTTGCATCTGTCATGTCTTCCATGGCTGAGCAGAAGGCCTACTCCTGGGTTCTTCACTCAGCTCCTACCCCATTCCCAAAGGAGCCCTGAGGTCTTCAAAGATGTTCTTGGGGTGGACAGAACCTTCTTGTCGGAGAAGGTGTGGCAGGCATTCATAGACAGAGGGTGATAATGCCCAGCACTCTGAATCCCCAGGATAGCACACAAGGCTTAATAGAAAGGAGGTGCCACATGCACATGACAACATTTCTACTCTTTTTAATTCTCTGTTGCCACTGTTTGTCCCGGCCAAGTTTATGAGCTGCTGCAATTAAAGACAGAGGCTTAATTTTATTTATTCCAAATAAGCTACAGTTTCTCGGCAGTCTCATCATTTTCTGGATTTCGTTGAATAGTTGTTAAATTGAAATAAACAAGGTGGCTATCCTTTATGGCTTGAGAACATTTAAAAATAGCTTTCCCTATTTAATTCATTTCGATTCAATGTATTTCCCAGACATTGATTGAGCACCTCGTATATGACAGACATTGTCTCAGTTGTGAAATACAAGACCAACATGACTGTTTCTGCCTTTGGGGAACTCATATGCAAGTGGGGGAGACCAACACATAAACACATGAACACAGTATAGTGTCAGGGGGTTAAAATAGAGGTAGGTGCAAGATAGATAGATGACACGCAAAGTCAGTGGTTGCCAGGAAATACATTACATTTCTGAGTTGGACTTTGAAGATGAGTAGGAATTCGTCAGGTTTTCAGGAACTGAGTTGAGGACCTTTTAGGCAGAGAACAAAACAGAGGTATAAAAACACATTTTATTTCACATCCTGTCTCTCCTCTTTCTTATTCCAAACTGATAGATACTATTGTTTTAATTCAAAAATATGTATTCAATGTTTACAAAATGCAAGTCTCCATCTTAGGCAGAAACAGCAGTGAACAAAACAGGTAAGGTCTTATCATTCACAGAGTTTTCATTCTGGAGAAAAAGACATCAACAAAACCAAACATCAATCGATAAGAAAAAGTCCAAATCCTAATGTGCTTTGATAAAGAAAACAGAGTTTGTGATAGAAAGTGAATGGGAAGGGAAGGAAGGCAGCTGTGGTTAGGGAAGTGCCTGGGAACTTTCACTGGAGCTGACCCCAATGGCAGGAAGGGCTTGCTGTCGTGAGAGCTAGCCTGGAAGAACATTCCCAGCAGAGGGAACAGCAGGTGTGAAGTCGCTGAGGAGCGAGTGACCTGATGTGTGTGTCCAGAGCAGAAAGAATGCTGTCGTGATTGGGCCAGGTGCAGTGGCTCACGCCTGTAATCCTCGCATTTTGGGAGGCCGAGGTGGTCAGGAGTTTGAGACCAGCCTGGCCAACACGGTGAAACCCCGTCTCTACTAAAAATACTAAAATTAGCCAGGCACGGTGGCTCATGCCTGTAATCCCAGCTACTTGGGAGGTTGAGGCAAGGGGATTGCTTGAACCCAGGAGGCGGAGGTTGCAGTGAGTCGAGATTGTGCCACTGCACTCCAGCCAGAGCAACAGAGCAAGACTCTGTCTAAAAAACAAAACAAAACAAAACAAAACAAAACAAAACAAAACAAGAATGCTGTTGTGATTGGAGGGAGGTGAGCGTGAGGGTGGGGATATAAGACGAAGTTGGTGCAACTGGAGTCGTGAAGTAATTCCTTCTAGGCCATGCATAAGCATTTGGATTGTCATCCAAATGCAGTGGAAAAACATTTTTTTCTTAAGATATATTTTGGAAAGCCCAATGCTAACTACTTCGGCAGTGAAATCTTGATTTGTTCCTTGAAGGCTTGCGCTATCTCAAGCATCCTTCTTAAATCTTGAGCCTTAAACTGTAACGTTTTGCTTGCTCCGGGAGCCATCTCTGGATCTGATTTCCTTCCTGCCACTCAACTGCAGGGAAGTAGAAAGAGCTACAAATTGATCTAATCATTTTCTGAAACAATTGAGCACTTTTGCTGATCTCCATGGAGACTGCCTTAATACCAGCACTGCTTGTATCATGTCCTATTCATACCTAAGAGCATAATAGATTCCATGATCAGATTCTCTTTGGGACCTGCTACTTATGGTGGGAAATTAGACCTTTTAGGACTGAGCGTTAATAAGACTTTTATCTAACTAATTCTTTGAGTTCTAAGACAAAGTTACCAGGCGGGTTGAAAAGAGACCTTGGCTGGAGGGCTAGGATGTTGGCCTCAGAGAGCTGAATAGAGCAAAGGCTTTGGGCTGTACCAGTCTTGAGTTCAGATGCCGACTTTGCCATTTGCTAGCTGTGTGTGACCCTGGGCAATTTATTTATGCAAAATCTAGGACAGTGCCTGGCACACACTAGATACTCAATTCAAAAAGTGTTATTTCCTCTTTCTCTTCTCTGTTTCCTCTTCCTTACGGTTGCTAGAATAAAATGTGCTGCTCTTTTCTTCGATCCGCTGGGTTAGCACTTTGCTAACTGGGCTTATGGATTCTAATACTTGTTCACTTCTGATAACAAAGATGTTTTTAAAAAATTTAATAAGGCAGGTCTGTAATTGCTACACTTGATTAACTCAATCAAAGCTCAGTGGGAGAAGCATCATTCCAAAGGAATGGAACGTTCTATACAGCCTCATGACAATTATAACAACTCACATTTACTGTGAATTTACTATGCACTAGACATTTCACAAACATCATCTGGTTTAATCCCTATAACCTTAAGAGATAAGCCTTCTGCCCATTTTAGGGATAAGACAATAGGATCAGAGAAAGAAAGTGAACTGATCATCACTTTTCTAAAGCTGGGACTCAACTGAGATCCCTCCCTCCCCAGCATTCTCTTCACCTCCACTCTTGAAGGACCTGTGCGGATACAGCCATGTGGCTGTCCAGGTAGCCATTGTCTAAAAGATCTCTACCAGACACGCAAGACTCCATCAAGAAGTTGTATTGACTAACTAGGAAATAAACTCGCTGAACCTGAAACCAAGATACTATGTTAAGAGCTAACCCCTTGACGACAGAATACTCAGGAAAGTGTTGGATTCATTTATTAAAAGTGTTTTTTTTTTAAAATCATCTGCATATTTCTATTCTATTGTTTTAGTAGAGATTATGCTTACAGATCCACCAAAACATATTTTCCTCTGCATGGGTTCAAATATAGTTCAGCAAACACTGAGGATGCTGCTCAAAAAGAGGACTACAAAGGGTCACACCCACTGTCACTCACCTGCTCTTCTCTCTGCCCTTGCCCTTCTCTTCCCATTTATGTATCAGATTGATGGCATGTGTTTTAATTTGCCATCACTACTCTTCTGATTAAGTGAATTGAGCAAAATAAAAACCATGCAAATGAATTTGTGTAGTTTTGCCCCAGGCTAGGCAAAGGGTCAGAGACAAATGAACCATTAGGTTGACTTTTCCAATCCTCACATCAGCTCACTTAATCCTTCTGGTTCCCAATTCCCTTATATCCAGAAATGAGGCCAACACCATGGCTTCCAAGAGAAATCAGGGACTGATGAACAGGCAGTCCATCTTGCGAATGACCACAGGAAATTCAGAAATTGACTCCAGGCTTTGGTTCAATTTTGTGTGTCTTCTCTGACGTTGAAGGATCCAAATCCTCAACACAACTTTTATTCCATCTCCATCCATTGGGTATTAATTATTTTCAAAACAAATGTATTACATTCTTGACCTTTCCTCCTGAAAATTTGTCTTATAACTTCAAAATGTAAACTTTTTGGATATTTATTTGTTCCCCTCAATGTCTGCTTCTTTATGGACACTTTACATCCCTTGGGCACATCTTTATGGCACAGCAGAGTTTCTGTTGACCCAGAGAAACCACCAGTAGTAAACACTCTCCTTTACCCAGTGCTTATTATGTGCCAGGCATATAATAATATTTCCCAAACACTATAAGGTAGATGCTGATATGATTTTGTCCCAATTTTTTAAAAAGAAGAAGATGAAGCTCAAAGAGGCTAATGAACTCCCTGGGGTCCTCACAGTTGGTAAGTCATAGAGCTGGAGTTGATTCCTATCTCCGTTTGATTCCACAGCTGTGTTCTGGCCACTGTGTTCATTACTGTGACCATTAGTTAAGTATGCAAGCATTGTGGTTCACGAGAGAGCCGAAGGGAACAGGCACTCATGGTAAAGTGTCAAGTGCTAGGCAAATGTCTGTCTCAGGTAATGCCCGATAGCATTATCTTCGTTTCACAAACAAGGAAACTGATCCTTGATTCAGATACAAGTCCCGTCTCCTCCTAGGTGTGCCCCTTGTACCTTGTGCATAGAAATTCCAACACTTTCTACAGAGACCCCACATTGTTTCCTGCTCTGTCAGTCTTTTCTGTAAGACTGCGAGATCCCTGAGGACAAGACCGTTGTTGACTATTGACTCATCTCTGAGCCTCCAGAGTATAACTCAGTACCTGGCATGAAGAAGCATTGAGTAGGAGCTTGGTTAAGGGGGCGAATAAATGCTGGAGGAATATGCCAGCTTCTTTATGGAGTGCCTGTTGGATGTGAGTTAACTACGTGCTGTGACTACCAGCTTATACCTTCTTGGGCTGAGAAGCAGGTGGGCACTTGCCAAGGATGGGCACACTTCTCATTAGTGTGGGAACTCAGCAGCCATCTATGGGCAGGGGACCAATTAAGCCTTCGATGACATCACCAGTCTACACACTTTCAGCTCTGATGAGAGAAGACCGCTGAGTCAGGTTGAGAAAAACTCTCTTCACCATCTGTGCATTTTTCCCCCTAGGTTTTCCCAATGAAGAGTAACTTCAGATTGGGAAAAAGTCATCTCCCAAGTATAAGTTGTGCAGCAGAGTTTAAAAAGATAGGAGGCAGGCAAACTGGTCCTCAGGTTTAACAACAACAAAAAAAAGCCCTGGTTTGCAGTGTGTGCCAGCTGCTGTGGCGTCTATACTCCCACCATGACCAATTTCTAGCTAACAATGATTTAACAACCAGGCAGTAAAAATTCCTGGATACTTAACAACCAGCTGTCTCTGGCTGGCGGGCTGCAGCCCACACTGAGGAGAAGACAGCTCAGCAGGAGGGCAGGCGCTCCCCAGCTGCTGGGGTGGGCACCCAGATTGACCGTGGAAGAACCCTGCAGCCCTGGACATGTTACTCTAATGTCTGGGTCTTGGTTTCTCATCGGTAAAATGGGGATAATTATAGAACTGTCTCGGGAGCGTCTTGGGCATTATAAGAGCCAATACATGAGAAATGCTTAGCATAGTTTTGTACTTGGGAAACAGTCAGCACATGTTAGCTGCTATAATCATAGAACAGAATGGGCAACTCATTTGGAGTAAGAAAAAAATATGGATTCCACTCTTGGGTTTGACATTGACTCTCTGTGTGAGCTGGGACCATTGACTTCAACTTTCTGGAAATTAGAGGCCTCGTCAGCAGAATGAGGTTGGTGACAAGCCCAGGTGACCTATATGGACGCTTGCTATGTGCAGGGCACTACACCACATTCTCTACATCTATCATCTTTGCAATTTTTGCCACAAAACATGTGGAGTAGATTCTAACATGATCCTTATATTAAAAGTTGGAAACTGAGGCTTAGAACAGTAATTGGCCCAACGTCATATATCTAGTAAGGGCTGTTTAAATCCAGGTTGCCTGACTCCACAGTTTGTGCCCCAAACCAGCAAGCTGTAAGGCCCATTTCATTCATCAGCAATAAGTGTTAAATGACATGGTACAGCAGAAACATTTTATAAACTGTAAAGCAGTGGCAAACAATGGGTATTCCTTGAATATTGAAAACATACTTGGAGTCTTTATTTCATGCCAGGTGGTGGGCACCCAGGGGGAGACATGGCAGGCCCCATCCCAGGCCTGGTGGGCCTACCTTTGAGGAAAGGGGATAGACTACCTACAGCAAATAGCAGAATCGAGTGATCCACAGCAGTGCAAACTGGAAAGGAGTTGGAATTCTTGTTGCCCAAATGTTGCAAATGAAAAGCTAACAGGATTCACATCTCTGGCTGGCACAAGGGACCAAGATCTAAAACATCACTGTCTGCTGTGTGTTCTCAGGGAGCTAGGATCCTGAAGGTGGGAAGGGAGCAGATGTCCACCAGACACTGGGCCTGGCTTCTAGATGTTGATCTCACCTTACCTTCCCCACAGCCCTGTGCAATGGGGGTTGTTTTCTGTGTTTCTCTCTGGACATGAGGGAGGCTCAGAGAGAGAGCGTCACCTGTGCGACATCACACTGTAGATGCTGTTGCAGATGTGTGCAGTGTGTGCCCTCCTCACTGAGTCCACTGATCCTTCCTCTCTCCTGCTTTTCCCAGCCCTGTGTCACATCAGCAAAGGGCACAGAGCTCTCTATCACCTTGGATGGGCTGAAGCAAAGACACCAGCAGAAAGGACATGTGATGCCTCAAATCCACCACCTCCTTCCTCATCACCAGTTGCTGGCTGCTGATGGTGCTCTGATTCTCAGAGACACTGCCTCATTCTAGCTCTTCTCCCAGATCCCAAATTATCTCTCAGAGCAACATGCCTGCCTGAGGCAAGGTAACAGTCCCATCCTGTCTGAAGACCTTTGTCCTTGTTATACTGCATGACAGATGCCACTTAGCTATTCAGCTTTTTAATAAAAAGACAGTTTGATATAACTTGATTTTCCCCTCTTCTAAGTTTAAAATATTAATAAATCCATCTGAGAGATTTACCTTGAATGGATCTCCCAGTAGCTCAACCAGCCAGGTGGTCACCCATGCACCTGCTCAGGCACCTGTGGATCTATCAAACATTTCTTGTTTGCCAGACCCTGTGCTGGAGGTCAGAGAGAACAGGAGAGACATTATTTGTCCTGTGGGGCTCATGGTCTCTGGACCCAGAAGCCAGAAGCCAGAACTGCAGTGGGCTGAAGCGATCAGAGCAGAGGCAGTGATGAGAGTGTCATTGTAGACTACTCTTCCCAGCTTGGCTAGAAGGACAAGAGAGCACAGTAGCTAGGAGGCCAGGCAGGGTCATGGGAGAATGTTTCCGGACTGAGAAAGACTTTAGCACATTGAAGGGTTGAAAGAGAAACGGTCAGAGGCACTAGAGTGGCCGGAGGAACAGGGGAGAAAGGTCAGGAGTGGAGAACAGGAGGAATGCCAAGGAACTGGGGATTCTGGTGGGGAAAGGAGGAGACCTCTATTTGCCTTCATGGGAGAAAGTGCTGAAACAGAAGGGGTAAAAAAAATTGCAATTTTGATGTTAGTCAGCCTAGGTTCTGGATCCCAGAGGAAAGGTCTTGGCTTTTAGCACCAGGATCCATGCTCACCCATAAGGTTAAGATGACACAAATATTTTCAAGTGGGGGCAGATTTAGGGCCACCCTCCCCGTGCCCATTCTCCTTCACATTGCCTTGGCTCATGCTTGTTGCTAGATATCTCTGGCTATACCTCCCTGGGTGCCCTATTCTTTTTATTACCCCTGAGAATACCATTCTTTTTTTTAAGTGCTCATCAATCTAAATCTCCTCGAATATTTATCTTCTGCACAGACAATTCACGGTGTGGATGCATAACATTTTTCACAAATGGCATTTCCTTGCTAATTGTTCAGAGAGGGCATGCACAGAGGGCAGGTGAAGATGCTGAACAGCATAGTCTATATGACCAGATAAAGGCAGATGCAATTTCTTTGTCATGTTACTCTGAAAAGAAAAGAAAATAATTACTTCCTTATTCTTTCCTTTGTTCCTTGGAGAAACTAAAATGTAATGACAAGATCTCAGGTCAAAGAAAATGTGAAGAGGAGAGACAACATTCTATGTCTGAGATATTATAAGAAAATGATTCTGCACACTCTGAGCATTTGGGCCAGGCCTGGAGGTTCAGAGTAGACAATCATGACCACACATTTGTCTGTAAGGGGCTCAGGGACCACGGGCAAGGCAGGCAATTATGGTGGCACAATAATATCCTGAGACAGTAGCTGGAGCTGCCTTCTGTCTCATGCTCCTCCACCTTCTCGTACTCATTAACTTTCACTATCCAGGGAACACGGCCCTATCGCTCAGGAGGAGACCATCTACAGCCGAGAAAAATTATTGGTAGACAATTCCAAAACAAGCTCTTGAGACCCATAATGGAGTAAATTTCTTTAAAACTAACGTTTATAATTTCAAGAGTCTGGAAATTCGAGACATAAAATGCCACCTCCTCCTCCTCCTCCTCCTTCTTCTTCTTAAAACATTTGACTCCATAAAAAGCCACTCTAATGGTTTGTTTCATAAACGTAGACTGGGAAAAAACATGCCTTCCACCCCAGACTTGGCAAACATCCTGTAGGGGAGGTGAGGCAGGGAAGTAGGAGGGGAATGAAGAGAGTGAGGCATACATGAGTGTTTCTAAGAGGACCCCAAGGTAGGTCTCCCAGCATGAGTCCCAGGAAGAGAACCATAGAAGCCTCAGATGCATGTTCAGAAACCAAGATCAGCTAGACTGTCATCTGGCACTCTGGGGGGAGACAGCCTTGCAAAGGCTCAGCACTAGCATGGACATGGAAGACCAGCAATTGTTGCAGGACATCTCTCTAGGTGAGCCAGACACTCGAGAGATGGCTTGTGGCCAGGGAAAGGGAGATGCAGAGAGCCCGGTGTGCCTCTGTCTTGGGAAAACTGAGGGGATTGTGGATGTCAATGTGGACTCCTGAGGAGCAAGTGTATCAAGAATAAATAAAACCAATAAATCATGTACAGGTGAGTGCTCTACATGTCAGTAGAAGCTCTCACAAAGCTGGAGACCAGTGCCTCTTCCTGGATGCCAGGGTGGCATGTAGGGCCTCCACATTTAGATCTTCCTTAGGAGAAGGGAAAGAGAAAAAGGAGAGTGAGAAATGTAAATGGATACAAATGAGATGGTGAAAATTCAAAAGTGTCTGAGCTTACCCTGAACTGGCAAAATTATGTTTCCTACTATCCAGAAGAGATAGGGGCTCAAAGATAGAAGCTAAGTTTGGTCATAGAAAAATAAAGTCCCATGTTTGCCTGCCTCAGTTTGAAGTTGAAATCTGTACCCATTACACAAGTATGAAAGAAAGCAATAATACAGCATGATGAAATGAGAGTTTAGGTGAAAGCAGGAGAAACAGCCAGACACACCTTCTTAGGGGGAAATTAGAAGTTCTTCTAACTGTTCTCCAATTCACCACAGTCATTAACGATGAAACAGCCAGAAGATCATTAAAGGCTGGGCACGGTGGCTCACGCCTCCCAGCACTTTGGGAGGCCAAGGCGGGCAGAACATGAGGTCAGGAGATCGAAACCATCCTGGCTAACACAGTGAAACCCTGTCTCTACTAAAAAATACAAAAAATTAGCCAGGCTTGGTGGCGGGCGCCTGTAGTCCCAGCTACTCAGGAGGCTGAGGCAGGAGAATGGTGTGAACCTGGGAGGCGGAGGTTGCAGTGAGCCGAGAGCGCGCCACTGCACTCCAGCCTGGGTGACAGAACAGGACTTGGTCTTAAAAAAAAAAAAAAATCATTAGAGAGGATTGAATCCTGCTCTACTTACCTTACAGTTGGAAAACCTGAGGTTCAGGTGGGAAAGGATATGTTTAAGTCCATACAGACCACCTGAGAAGAACAAGGCTGGAAACTGGGTTTCCTGACAGCTGGCCGAGGGCTACTCCACTTTGCCATGCTGATAACACACTTTTTTGGGTTTCTTCCCCTTCTTCCTTTGATGGTTTCAGAAAGTGAGAGGATGTAGAGAAATCTCTCTTGATTTGAAGGGAAAATGGACAACAAGTTAAAAAAGACCTGGGTAATGTTTCGTAGGAACACATAACCCCATTGGAATGTTCATCTGCGGTTAAGGTAGAAAAAAATGGACCCTGAAGTGTTTTGAGATCATCTCTAAGAGCCGAGCTCAATACTTGCACTTTCAAGGGCACTATCTGCCCTAATAAGTGGTGGAAGTCTGGGAAAGACACATGAGTAGAGAGTCTCTGAATCTCTTCCCAACTTGAATAGAAAAGATGATCGTGTTGCAGGTGACAGGCAATCTCTGGCGTTTGCCCAAATCGGTTAGACATTGAGGTCAGAGGTGGCTGTGGCTTTCAAAAGATGATATCATACGCTTTGTGGTAGCCTTTCTTCTTTGAGCCCAAAGTGCTGCCATCATTAGGATAAATATGGGAGATAAATTTGCCATAACTTGTAGATGGATTGAACGTTGGAGACTAAGCAAAAAAGATAATCTAAGATTTAACTCTCTTAGGGTTTTGACCTGAGTGAGCCACTGGACTGATGATAGTGCCATATATTGGGATATGCAACTATTATTTGAGTAGGGATTTACAATCTGTTCTGCAACCTTCATGTACAAAATCCTTCTCCATGCAGAACAGGCTGCTTGTTTCATAGAAAAGGAGTTTTAGGCTCAGGAAATTGAAGTATATTTTCTAAGATCACACAGGATATATATGGCAGAGCTGAGATTTTAACCTAGACTTGCCTGACTCCCAAGCTGGAACTCTCTTCATTATATTTGAAATGTCTGAAACATGGCCACCCAGATTAGTGGTTGAAAGCCATAGGGATTGGGTGATCTATTGTTCAAACTGTGTCTCTTTTGAAAGGGAAGATAGAGAGGGATATTGATAATTAACCCAAATCAACAGGTAAAAATTGAGACTGTCCCCGACAAACCCAAATAAAATGCATAGTCTCCCTACATAGGGGGTGGCCACAGTGTCTCCAAGCCTTCTTTGTTGGTCTAGTAAGATAGTGTTAGCCTGGATGGACTATTGGGCTGGCCCCATGAATACAGCCACAGTGCCCAGAGCATTTCTCTTTCAAGGGTTGTATTACACAGAACTAGAGTAATCATTTCCATCACTCTCCCCTCTAGGCTGAGGGCTGACTGCAGAGAGGGTGAATCCTAGCTTATCACTGCCTCTCAGTGCAGCACTAACCTTGAAACAGGCTTGACACTCAGGCAATTTGGTTGAATAAATGGCCCACAGTTTGGTGCTCTGGTTCAAAGTTGAGCCTCATCTCTGTGTGCTCTGGGCCACACCTGTATTTCCCATGGTGGATGTTTAGTGGTAAAAAAACAACCAAACTATTTTCTTGCACGATACTTTCAATGTAGAATATTTCTGGTCACCAAAATGAGTGTGGGTTTTCCCCCACATTAAGCAATTCTCCAGTGGACATAAACTAGCTGTCTACTATAGTTTGGTTTGTTCATTCCCTGCAGACCTCATGTTGAAATTTAATCCCCAGTGTTGGATGGTGCCTAATGAGAGGTATTTGGGCCATCAGGATGGATCCCTCATGAATGGCTTGGTGCTGTCCTCATGGTAATGACTGAGTTCTCACTCTATTAGTTCCCATGAAAGCTGGTTGTTAAAAAGAGCCTGGCACTTCCCCTTGCTCTCTCTTACTTCCTCTCTCGCCATGAGGCCTCTGCACGTGCTGGCTCTCCTTTGCCTTCTGCCATGGGTAGAAGCAGCCTGAGGCCTTCACCAGATGCCCAATCTTAAATTTTTCCAGACATTAGAACTGTGAGCCAAATAAACCTCTTTTATTTATAAACTATCCAGCCTCAGGTATTCCTTTATAACAATACAAATGGACTAAGACAGTGTCCTACAATTCAATTCAATTCAATTCATTCATTCATTCAATCAATTCAATTCAATTCAATTCAATTCAATTCAATTCAATTCAATTCAATTCAATTCAAACACTAACTAAAGTTAGCCCAGACCCCACAGGTTAAGGGCTTAGTCCTGTAAGGCCACCCCAACTTCAGGCCCCAACTACAAGTCCCAGGTTATTACCTGTACTTCTGAGTGACTGACTATAATTTGAGGTTCCCATGACCCCTTCCTTGTGTTCAATAATTTGCTAGAATGACTCACAAAACTCAGGGAAACACACTTAATGGTTTATTATTTGGTAAAGAATACAGATGAACAGCCAGATGAAGAAGTACAAAGGGTAAGATCTGGGGAAAGGAGTGAGGAGCTCTGTGCCCTCTCTAGGTGTACCACCCTCCCAGTACCTCCACGTGTTCAGCCACCTGAAAGCTCTCTTAACTCTATTGTTTAGGGATTTTTCTGAAGACTTCATCACATAGGCATGATTGATTATAAACTCAATCCCTAGCTCCTCTCTCCTCTCCAGGAGAGGGATTGGGGCTGAAAATTCCAAGTTTCCAATCATGACTTGGTCTTTCTGGTGACAGCCTTCAATCCAAGAGCCCACTAAGAGTCATCTCATTAGAAAAAACTATGGTCCTATGACCCAGGACAGGTTCCAAGGCATTTAGGAGCTCTGTCAGACACTTCCATCACTCAGGAAACTATAAAGGCTTTAGGAGCTCTGTGTCAGGAACTGGGGACAAAGATCAAAATACATGTATTTTTATTATAAATCATAATAAAATGGTGAGAAAGACAGCAACCTCTTGAAATATCAACAAATGTCGATTATGGCCCTTACTTGGTAATAATAATTCCTTTACATCCTCTTGTGAAAAATGTACCTACCTCTCATTTTGGTAATTTTCTATTATTTTATTAATATTTTAAGTTACAAGATATTAATAACATGCTATTATGCTAATCATAGTGACATTTATATAGTACATTTATATCTGCTATAAAATTTAACTCTTTAAATATCCCTGTGATGAAAGAACCTATATTAGGTATTTATTATTTTATCTGTTCAGTGCCTTTCACTTCTGGGACCAATATGCCCATCCTAGAGACTCACATCTCACTTCCTCATCCTACCAGCCTCTAATAGGTGGTCAGAAGATGAGCTGTGACCTTCCTCTAAGACTTTGAATCCCCAGGGCATGACTGGGAGTGTTGATCTGGAAATGGGCATATTACCCACACTAAGATAGTCAGACTTCTTCCCAGGGAACTGAGGGCAGAGTCCTTTCCTCTCTGTCAATGAAGATGGGGAGAAGTGTCTAAGGGCTCTAGTCCTCACCATTCCAGTTTCTCAGAAAATGTTAATTCTAAGAGCAAAAAAGACAAGATGTGCAGAGAAGTATACATTAGAGGAAGAAGGAGAGTTGTGATGATGCTTGAGTCCTTGGATCCAGTAGACTTTGCCATGTTAGGAGTTTAAAGGCCCAGTACACCCCCACTTTTGATTAAGCCACATTGAGCTGAGCTTCCATCATTTCAACCCCCAAAATACTGATATACTGTCCTATATCAGTAACATAGATATCCCCATTTCACAGATGAGACAATTGAAGGTCAGAGGGTCTTGGTTCCTTGCTCAAGATCCCAGAGCCTCTCAGCGTCAGTGTTAGGAACTAGAAATTAGAAATAACTTGTGCTGTTTAGAAGTCAAGCCATATCTCTTTCTCACTATGCAGTACCTCCTTTCTTCAGGGGCTTTTTCTATTTGTGGACTTTTCCCTTATCAATAAAAGAATGTTTCCTTTCCCATTGACTTTCTCAAGGGTTATTTATTTTATTTCTGTGGTGAACTCTATGCTTTCTGCCTCCTAGGAAATCCTCATGTCCTCAGGCATTTGACAACATGGTTTGTTTGTACTCCATTTCTTCTGTTTGATTAAGCTCTGACTCAGTTACTCTTCAGTCACTTGAACAAAATCAAAATATTATGATATAATATGAAAGCAAGATGGTTTCCTGTATGGAGAAGTCCTAAGATCTCAGGGGAAACCCAAGTTCCAAAACAAATTTGGACTCAATCTTAGGCCAAGTAGGTGCCAAAAGAGACTGACTATTTGGATCCAAAGTGAGTCCAGATGTTCTTGCCATCTGTGGATGGTGGGACTCAGCCATATGGAGTTTCCATGATGCAATGGGCCAACTAAATTCAACTAAACCTGCGCCCTCATCATCTTTGCTGTCTCTCTTTTCCACATGGTCATCTGCTCCAGGACATGACTTTTATCATGCTCAAATACAGGGCATTGCATGCACAAAAAAGAAAGCCTCATCATAGTGATTTTTGTGAGTTGTTTATCTCATCATCTGAGCCCTGTCAACTGGGAGAAATCCAGAAACCCTACTGTGAAGTGAAATGTAACATTTGCAAAAATTCTTCAAAGAAAGTATTCCTCCTCCTCCTCCTCTTCTTCTTCTGTCTTCTTCTTATCCTTCTCCTTCTTCTTCTTCTTCATCGAAAGGCAAACAGGCTCAGGGAGGTGAACTAAATGCTAAAATTCTATACCTTCAGCCCAGAACATGTTTTTGCTTTCTAGGTCCATATGTTCCTTTGGTTCTAGGACACAGCCATCATTACTCTATCCAGTACCACAGAGTCAACATTTTCAAAGCTGAACTTATCACCCTTATCACTCAAAACTGTTCACTGTCTCAGCCGCTGTTCTGCCCAACCATCCATCCATCCATCCATTCATCCATCCACCCACCTATTCACTCATCTACCCATCCATGTATTCTCTATCATCCACCTATACATTCACCCACCCATCTACCTCCTATTCATTCCTCCAACCATCCATCTATCTACCCATTTATACATCCATTTTTCATTCATTCAGCTGTTCAAGTCAGAAAATTGAGTGAATAACAACAGTGCTTTAGAGATGAATTCAGGCTTGAGTTTGAACTTTGCTCTGACATTAATGTAACTTCTCTCACTTCTTGTATCCATCTTGGTTTCAATTACTTCATTTGTAAAAAGAAAATTGTGATACTGAGTCAGACATCTGACGCTGAACAAAAGCACTTATATTGCATTATATTTTTGGTAGAATAGAAAAAATGTGTGTGCACATTATATAAGATAGTGTTTGGCACTTAAACAAGTAATGAGTGATTATTATCATTACTATTTGTATTAATATACAATTGTGCATCTGTGTAAGCCCCAGAGCACTCTGTACATGTGGATGTTTACATACATATACATGCTGTGTTCACAAACTCACATATGCCAGTGTATAATAGATAGACAGGCAAATCAATTAAATAAGATTGGCAAAGGAATGTGTCATTTTCTCCCCAAGGGGAGTCCTTGCAGCTTTACATTTGTGTAAGAGAATTTTAATAAATGTTAAATACATAGTTATGTCTTCAGAATAATTTTCTGAGTCATGTTCTTAACTAATTTTAACAGTAGCTACTACTTATTCAATATTTACCTTGCGCTAAGTCTGTGCTCAGTGCTTTATATATGCCAATTGTTTAATCTTTGCAATAACATTGGAGAATAATATTTGGAGCCTTTGTTTGGTAGATGAGAAGGCTGATGTTTAGAATGATTAAGATTGTTGCTCCAGATTGCACAGTCAATCCATGTCAAGCTGGGAGCCTACCACTTTTTGTTTTGAGACAGAGTTTCACTGTCACCCAGGCTGGAGTGCAGTGATACGATCACGGCTCACTGTAGTTGCAACCTCCTAGGCTTCAGCAATCCTTCTGCCTCAGCCTCCGAGTAGCTAGGACTACAGGTATGCACCACCATGTCTAACTAATTTAAAACAATTTTTTTTTTTTTTTTTAGAGATAGAGTCTTACAATGTTGCCCAGGCTGGTTTTGAACTCCTGGGCTCAAGCAATCCTCCCTCCTCCACCTCCCAAATTTCTGGGATTACAGGTATGAGCCACTGCACCTAGCTGGGATTCTATCTTGAGTCTAATTGCAGATCCTGGCCTCTTGCCCCCGTTTGTGTCCTCACACAGCAGAGAGCAGATTGTTATTAACAGACCTCTGCCTTCAGGGTCTTTTTTAAATCAGTAGCTGTGGGCAGTTTTCCAACTCTGTGTCCCAAGGTCACAATAGCAGTCTCATGTCTCTTTCTGATCAGGGTCAGCTGTTGCAAAGTGATGGATTTTCTCAGTCTCCAACTTGGCCCTGGAGGATGGACTTCACATCTAAAGTAGCATTTGAATAGCACTTTTCTTCCCAAAGGATCCCAAAGCCACTTATCAGGTTTGCCTCCCCAGGGGTTGTCTTTCAGGCCTGACTACTGACTGTGAGCTAGGTTAAATACCCTGTTCTGGGGGTCCCAGAAAAAGCCAAGATGGGTGATGCTGCTCTCTGCACCCTAACATTGCAGTAGGATGGGAGGAGGAGTTGATAAATGAGCCAAGCTAGATCCATTTGATCCATTTCCAAGACACCCAATACACACACAGCCTTGGTTCTCCATATGAAATGGGATGGAGAAAGTTGTGTTTACTAGAGCTCCTCTCAGGAGAGAAATGTTTTAAATGGCGTTCTCTAGCTACACTGCTTAGCAGAGCTGCTCTCTAAGTTGGGTGGTTCCATTTATCTATTCATTTACTAATTGCATTCTAAGTGTATGCACAGACAGGACTGTTGTGAAGGTCTTACATGACCAATCTCATTTCATCTTCCCTACAACCCTATAGAGACACCATTATTATTTCCATTTTATAGATGAGGAAATAGCTGCAGAAAAGTGAAGTCATTAGTTTAAGAACATGTAGTCAGAAAGTGGATTTTGAACCTACACTCTTGACTCCAAAATCTGAGGTTTGGCCACTCTGCAAGATTGCCTTTGACATCAGGAAGATGAAGAAAGACGCAGAGGTGTCTTGACAGCTAAGAGTCCAGGGAAGATTTGGGAAGGTCATGCCCAGTGGGGACTTGTGAATGTGCAAATGCTGTGTGAAACGCAATGTGATTCTTCCCTGGGATGGGTGAAGTTTTGAGTTAAAAATCACAACAAAAATATCAATATGTTTGGTGTGACAGTATTTTGGGGGGAAGCTAGTGATGCAGCTGGGTTTGTGCTGGAATTGGTAGGGGATGAAGCAGCCTGGGAGGACGAGGAGTCAGCAGCCACCTGGGAGGACGAGGAACAGTGCCAAACAGGGGTGAAAAGGGCACCGTTCAATCCCATTGTACCGCCAAACCCACCATTAAATCTCTTCATTAATGAGGGGCATGCACATGTTTTGCTCGCTTAGAGAAGCTTTCCCTAACTAGTTTAAGCTCTGTGCAAAGCTCGTGACATTTGGGATTTAAATTCCATTTAAGTGTTGCCAAGAGGAAGGTAAAAATCATACACACAGAGCACAGAATGGCCCTTCAACTCCTACAGCATCAAAGCACTTAAAAAAAATCTCTAAAAGGACTCTGGGGCTTTTGCAAATTTCTCTTAGAAAATAGCGTTTTTGTCAGAAAGAGGCGAATCAGCAATGCATGAATTAAAATCCTCTTGAAACCCAGATGGATTTTAAGATTGAGGATGAGAAATTGCTTCCCTAAAAGCCAATGAAGCCAGACCATGGAGTCTTTTTTTTCTTTGAGGCCATTTCTGTAGGAAGTCAAAGTGTCCATTAGAAAAGTATTTAAAAACCTAGAAATCATGAAATAACAGGCATTATTAGGAAGCCCTGTAAATCAGTTTGAACTTTTCATTAAAATTGCCATTTTTTTTTCCTGAAATCCTATGAGGTAGCCTCATAGGTGATCCCAAAGTTTTGCCAAGCCAGTCCTTGTAGCTATAAGGCAAAATCTGCTCTCTCTCATCATTTTACAGTGAAACTGCGCTGGACAAATGGCTGCTGACATTGTGGACAGGCTCTTCTGGTCTATTAATTTACCAGGGCATGTACTCACATAAAGGCCTGCCCATCTAGGGGATGGGATGCTACCTAATTGGTGTCCTACATAGGTCTGAATAGTGCCTCGGGGGCTACTCTGGGATCAATCTTGTTTACTCCAACCTCATGGCTAAATAGACTGCCAGCAGGGCTCCAGAGGCTGAGGGGATATCCCTCAGATGAGTTGCAAAAAGGTGCCCCAAGCACTTTGTGGTGAAGATGCCCCCTTTTCTTGCCACTCCTCCCCCAAGCACCCATCATTAGGTGATGCAGGGCCCTGTTGCTCAGCATGTCTGCAGAGGGGAGCTCCATGCGGCCATGACCCAATCAGTCACCTCCAACCATGTCAGCAGACAGGGGAGGTTAGGTTTGGAAAAGAGGCATTCAATGAGCATTTATTGAACCCTGATTCGGTTGCTTTTATTTATGCTATGTTACTGAATTCTCTTAGAAGCCCAGAGCAGTTTAATTATTTCCATTTTTAAGTTGAAGAAATTGAGGTTCAAGGATAATAACAACTGGTCCAACACATTCCTCTACAATACTGTTTCTTGGGATAAATGTTGGGGAGGCTTATACAGATATAGTCCTTGAAGACAGAGACATACAGTTAATATCTCAGTGTATTTTCTGGCTAAAGAAAACATTTATTGGGTGCTTACCTTGCGCTGGGTACTGTTCTAAGTGCCTCACATGTGATCATTCATTTCACCCTCAGAAGAGCTCAATGATTTTATCCCTAATTTGCAGATGGGGGGAAAACAGGTACAGCACAGGGAGACTGAGTAACTTGTCTAAAGTCACAGAGCTAATCAGGAGTGGAGCTAGGGCTCAAACCCAAACAGTGGGGCTCTGTATTCTTTCTCCCCACTACATTCTGTTAGGAAAAAATTCAAACATACAGAAAATTTGAAAAAAAGGGAGAAAATCTACAGTGGACACCTGTGTGCCCACCCCCTAGATTCTGCACTTTTAAGCATTTTGCTGTATTTATTTTACCACGTATCTGTCTACTCACCCATCAGCCCCTCTAATTTCTTGATCCATTTCAAAGCAAGTTGCAGATATCAGTACACTCCACATCTAAACGTGCCAGCATAGATATCATTAACTAGAGTTCAAAATTCATTTACAGTTCTTTTTTGAGATAAAACTTACATAGAAAGAAATGCACAAATTTTGATTGCACCATTCAGTGAAATTCAGCAAAGATATACGCCTGTGAAACACAAACCCTATCAAGGTATAGGATGTTTCCATCACCCCAGAATGTTTCCTCACACTCTCAGGAAACCACCGTTCTGAGGTTTTATTTTTATTTTTTATTTTATTATTATTATTTTTTTTGTGATGGAGTCTTGCTCTGTCACCCAGGCTGGAGTGCAGTGGCGTGATCTCAGCTTACTACAACCTCTGCCTCCCGGGTTCCAATGATTCTTCTGTCTCAGCCTCCTAAGTAGCTGAGATTACAGGCATGCACCACTACACCCAGCTAATTTTTGTGCTTTTCGTAGAGATGGGGTTTCACTATGTTGGCCAGTCTGGTCTCGAATTCCTGACCTCAAGTGATCCGCCCACCTCTGCCTCCCAAAGTGCTAGGATTACAGGCGTGAGCCACCATGCCTACCCTGTTCTGACCTTTTAGAATTGTAAATATGCTTTTCCTCTTCCAGAACTTTATCGAAGTGGAATCATACAGTGCGTACTCTTTCATGTCTGGCTCCTTGGGTGCAGTGTAATGTGTTTTAGATTCATCCACTTGTTCATGTGTCTGTAGTTAGTTCCTTTACGTTGTTGAGTAGTTTCTCATAACGTGAATACATCACAGTTGATTTGTTCATTCTCTTGTTGATGGACACCTGGGCTGTTTCTTCTCATCCCCGCTTTTGCTCTTTTGAATAGGATTGCTATGAGTATTTGTGTACTAGTTTTTCTAGGGAAGCAGGCTTTCATTTCTTTTGGGTTTAAACTTAAGAGTGGAATTCTTGGGGCAAAGGGTAGATTTATGTTCAGTTTTATAAGAAACTGCCAGACCACTTTCCAAAGTGGTTGCATACTTGTACATTTCCACTCAGCAGCCTGTGGGGGTTCTGGCTTGGATGCAAAGATTAAGCAGTATACACTGCTGCCTCTCCAAGTAGGAGGCTAATAAATATTTGCAGTAGAATGAGCTCAATAAAGGTTAGAAAGATGAATTAGTTTTCAGCAGAGATGACACTTGCCAGGCCAGGGAGGAATCTGTTTTTAGCTCTTCAACTTAATTTTCTTAATGAAAATCACCGGGGCTGCCCCAACATGACTACAAAGCAGTGTATGTAGAAAACTTGCTGGACGTGTGGTACCTGGGTAAGTAAACCCTTTACGTGTGTGTGGATGTGTATAAATAAATAAATATGTGTGTATGTGTACTCCACAACCCTTCACTCTTGGAGTTAGGAGCTATATTTAGGCCTATTTTATAGGTGAAGAAACTGAGGCTGGGTGGGGGGGAGGTGAGTGACTCACCCATGGGAATTCACCAAAGGAAAAGCCAATATTTGATTTGATCCCACTTCTGTTTGACTTCCAAATCTAAGCATGTCTTACTGTATTCTAAAATCTTCTGCTATGAAGAAAGACAAGTTGGGAGAACCTAAGGGGATCTGAGAGATGAAGCTGAACACCCTGTGCCCCGTGGTGTCCCGATTCCTGGGAAATCTGTAACAACCGGAAGGCATCTAGGGCCATGGCGATGGGCATAAGTCTCCTTGGTAACTTTGCTGCTGAAGACTTCATCCTTAAAGGGAACTTAGAGGTATTGCAACTGCAGAGACAGAAAATACTGTACAATTAGCAATTAACTCTGCAACAAGTAATTGTAACTCGGATACAAAGAAGTAACCATCTTGACATAGACAGTCATGGAAATAAATAAGAAAACAACCAGCACGGGACACAAGGAAATGGGAAGTCATGTCCTTAATGGCAAAAACTGGCAACTAAATACCCATAAACAAGGACGAGTTGAGACAAATGCTGCTGCTCCCATGCCACGGAGCTCTGCGCAGCCAGTGAAAAACAATGAGGACAATTTCTGGGAACTCATATGAAACAATGACCAGTGTATATTTAAAGTAAACACACACAAATGCACACAGATGCACACACAAATTCAAATATTTTATGTAGAATGTGAGGTTATTTGTGTTAAGAATTCTTTTCTGCTTGTAAATACACAGCACATTTCTGAGAGGACACACCAAGAATTCACAGTGGTTACTTCTGGAAGGTTAAAAAAGAGAGCTGAGAGGAAAAGGAGAGTTTTCCTTCTTTACACGATTCTGAATTCTTTGCATTTTTTTTTAACACTGGCAACATGTAGAAATAATTACAAAAAAGGATTCTGAAACCCGAGGAGAGAAAAACAGAGGAGGAATCTGGTTTGTGTAGAACAGTGGCAGTTTCCTTTGTCCCACTTGGCAAATTGTTTTGCCAATTTCTGGTAAGGAAGAATTGGAAATGAATTCTGGAAACACTTGGACATTATTTATATCTTTGCCTGGAGATAATTTTGCTTGTTGGCTTTTATAGCGTGCTGCGGTTCTGACACTGCACCATGTCAATAAGTCTTTTCTCATTTAATATTCATTAAGTCCCACATTAACCAAGCCGACTAGGTACAGGTGTGGTAGCTCCAATGGGCTCTGCCTGTGAGTATTCATGCCCTGGTGCGGTCCTCATTCTGCAATGGGCTGCGGCTGTGAGTATTCGTGCCCCGGTGCGGTCCTCATTCTGCAATGGGCTGCGGCTGTGAGTATTCGTGCCCCGGTGCGGTCCTCATTCTGCAATGGGCTCCGGCTGTGAGTATTCGTGCCCCGGTGCGGTCCTCATTCTGCAATGGGCTCCGGCTGTGAGTATTCGTGCCCCGGTGCGGTCCTCATTCTGCAATGGGCTCCGGCTGTGAGTATTCCTGCCCTGGTATGGTCCTCATTCTGCAATGGGCTCTGGCTGTGAGTATTCCTGCCCTGGTGCAGTCCTCATTCTTTGAATGTAGGCTAGTCACGCAACTTGCTTTTGGCCAGTGGAAATTCACGCTGAGGAACTTCCAATAGTGGGTCTTATAGCACTGAAATTTCCACCTGGGTCCCTGGGAATACTTGTGTCATATGATAAATCTGACTATCTCAAGATTACCAAAGTGTAAGGAAGTCCCCATGCTGGCCATGTGGAGAGGATGGATGCGGAGAGAGAAGGCCCTGGCCAGTCATAGCAGACCCAGTTGTCACAACACAGGATCCAGCTGGGTTGAGCCTTCAGATGGCTGCAGCCCCAGCACCATCTGACTGCAGCTTCATGCAGACCCTGAGTAAGAACCACCCGGCTCTGCCCAGTCAGCCCACAGAACCATAAGAGAGAATAATACATTTTTGTTTTAAGTCTCTAAGTTTTAAGGTAGTTTGTACTCAGTCATAGATAACCAGAACAACTGTTTATGAACTCTCAGTGATGCCTTTAGCCACAGGACACTGAGTACAAATGAAATATCGCACAACTGCCTAACAAATAAAACATAAAATAGGACTGATTAGGCTGGAGCAAAGGCCTGTTGGGTTTTCCTCCTAGTACCCTTCACTGCAGACCAGGTACTCCGTATTAGCTAATTGCGAGGCTGAGACAGAAGAATAGGGCAGGGTCCAGCTGGAGGACCACAGCCCAGGGCCTGGGTTTGCTGGAAATCTCTGCAGACAGATTTTATGTCCCAGAATAGCGCGAGGCTGTTGGCACAAGGATGAGGGAGCCTCGTCACCTGTCTCCAAGCCCTGGTTCCTAGGGTTTTCTCTTCTACGTTAATTTCAAAATTGTTGGTGTGCAGGGCCACGGTGTTGCATAACTGTAAGGGATACCATGCATATTCCAGGCTGTAGAAACGGCACCACTGTTGCTGGGCTGTGATTGTCCACTGTGGCTGCCCTGGCTGTACGGTCTGGAGTTCCCTCTGGGGGTCTCCGCCGTGCTGAAGCTACATAGGGGCTAGAAGCCCCAATCGTCTGGGGCTTTGCTCTTGGGAGCTAGGAAGTGGCTTTTGGCCTGGGGAGCTGGGAAGAGAAGCTCCCATCTGTCTGACCTGTTAACCTCTGCCATTCTTTTGGTGCACAGGGGACTGGTTTAGTGACAGCCTCCTATCATCCTTCTCCTATCATCCTTCCTCCAGAGGGATCTAAAATGCAGAGCTAACCTCATCACTCTGCAGCTTGAAACGTCCCATGGCCACCCCATTGCCTACAGGAATGAGTAATGCTTATTCTGGCATGTGAAAAATGCTGATTCCTGGGCTTCATCCTCTAAGGTGTTAATTCTTTGGTTTTGGGAGTGGGAATCAGTTGCTGTGTTTTTTTTTTTTTTTTTTTTTTTTTTTTTTTTTTTTTTTGGAGACAGAGTCTCTGTTGCTCAGGCTGGAGTGCAGGGGCATCATCTCGGCTCACCGCAAACTCTGCCTCCCAGGTTCAAGCAATTCTCCTGCCTCAGCCTCCCAATTTGCTAATTTTGGGCCACCATGCCTGGCTAATTTTTACATTTTTAGTAGAGATGGGGTTACATCATGTTGGCCAGGCTGGTCTCCAACTCCTGGCCTCAAGTGACCCGCCCGCCTTGGCATCCCAAAATGCTGGAATTACAGGCATGAGCCACTGCGCCCAGCCAGACGCTGAATTTTTAACAAGTGCTGCAACTTGATTTTCTGCATGTTTCTCAGACTACTCACACTCTGGGAAATATTGACTTATGGGAAATGCCAAAATTTTTCCAAAAGATATTCGGGGCCCTGTGTGATCTTTAAGCCACTTTTCTTTCTGCTCTTCTGCATTCACTCTATTGTCCAGTCACACGGACTCCCCTATCTATGTTCAAATATGCAGCTTTTTTCCCCATCTCCCTGCCTTGGCACAGGAGAAACATGGCTGCCCTCTGCCCAGGGCACCTTCCTTCCTCACTTGCTCTGCCTGGAAAGCCTGTGCTCACCTTCCGGGCCCCCATTCACCCAGCCTCCACTGGGATGCCTCCCTGCCTGTCTGGTGGGACAGCCACGCACTTCCCTGCTTCCCTCTGATCCCTTTAGTCCTTCTCCTGCTCCTGGAGTCACTTGCATCTGCAGACTTGCCCCTGGGCTGTGAGGATCTTAAGGCAGGGACAGTACCTGGTGGGGCTCTGCATCCCCGGGGGTGTGCATGAGGCCCAGGCCAGTGCTCAAAAGTAAAGAGTAAAGGAAAAAGTTAAAGGAAGGAGGAGTTCAGGCAAGTGTCAGCCTAAATGTCCTTTGAGTCCCCTAGGAATAGAGAAAAGGGAGGCAAAGAGCAGGAAGACAAATCCAGATTCTGAATTAGATCTCCAGGGACACAAAAGGAAACTCCTCTGGCCAGAATGTTGGCCGCAGACCCAGGGACTACAGTCACAACCTTAGAGGCACACTGAGGTGGCCGGGTAGAGAATTCATTTTCAGGTTTCTGTAAGGAGCTTCCGCGTGGATGCAGAATTGTCTTCTTGGTTCTTCGGCCCCTGAATGGATCCTCCTCATTTCCAGGCTCCCACTCATCCAGATGCCCCAAACCCGGGACGTATCCTTGGCTCGTCTCTCTTCCCCACTGATGTTCCATGGAGCCCAAGTCCTGCACTCTTACATCATCATCTCTGCTGATTTCCCTCCCTGTGCACCGCAGCCATTGTCTGACTTAGGTTTTCCTCACCTGGAGTGCTCAGGCACCAGCGTTTGCAAAGAAACATTTACAAGCAGGCACTTCAACACGCCCCGGAGGATGACAGACCTCCCACTTGCAGAGATTTTACCAAACCTTTAAAGGTTACAGTCTTCTACCCTACAATCATCTCACTAAAGCTGTCAGGGACATCACTGAAAATGAAAACCTGCAATGAACAAAGTTCACACAAAAGAAGCCTGCCAATCGTCGGCGCATCGGGATGTGGTGGGAGTTTCTGAGACTAGATTTTTGTAACCAGCCAACTGTCCAGCGCAGCAGCTCTCTCACACTCTGGGATGGATTTCTCCCTCTTGACCTCCAAGGGGCACCCTGGGGGATTGGACAGACCTCAGGCTTTGGAAGGCAATTTTGTTCCAGGTGAGGAAAACCTAAGTCACAATTTTGCTTCAAACTTTGGCTCTGCTGCTGCATGACTCTCAGGGTCATTCAACATTTTGAGCCTCAGTTTCTTCATGTCAGTAACCCCATCGACTTGTCGTGAGGGTTATATGTGGACACAAAAGGTAAACAGCCCAGCGCAAGGCCTGCTCATTGTGAGACACTCTCACTTTGGCCTGATGTCTATGTGTCTGTTCATCATATTTATATTTTTTCTTTTCCTTTTTTTGAGACAGAGTTTCGCTTTTGTTGCCCAGGCTGGAGTGCAATGGCGCAATCTCAGCTCACCGCAACCTCCGCCTCCCGGGTTCAAGCGATTCTCCTGTCTCAGCCTCCCGAGTAACTGGGATTACAGGCATGTGCTAGCATGCCCGGCTAATTTTGTATTTTTAGTAGAGACAGATTTTCTCCATGTTGGTCAGGCTGGTCTTGAACCCCTGACCTCAGGTGATTCACCTGCCTTGGCCTCCCAAAGTGCTGGGATTACAGGCGTGAGCCACCATGCCTGGACCTGTTCATCATATTTTCAATTAGGAGAGGCCCCCCCAGCAGTCGAATCGGAACATACTCTCCACACCCATACCAATCACCTGGATTCAAATCCCAGCTCTGCCATTTCGAGCTATGTTGTCTTGGGCAAGTATTCACCTCTCCATGTCTCTATTTCTTCATCTGCAAAATGGTGCTAATAATAGCTTCTGACCCCTTAGGGTTATTGTGAGGCTTAAATAGGCTATGACACAGGTGCTTGGGACAGAGGCTGGCTCATAATAAACTCTCAATAAATGTCAGAGGTAACTATAAGCCCTCCTCCTATCAGCATATTGTAAGTGCTTACAGCTGGCCTGTTGGTGATTCCATAGGAACCTATAATTAAGCTGAAGAACTTGAGTATATGCCCCCCAATAGCCTGGTCTTAAAGAACTACTTCCCAATGGTCCTCATTAGCCCACCTTAGCAAAACATGGGTGCATTCTCATGTTATTAACTGGCCCAGCATTAGTGGACTGCAGTACGGTTAAGCAGGATAACCCAGGCTTTGCAGATAAATAGATCCAAATTCACGTCTCAAGCTGTGTGACACTGGGCAAATGGCCTCACCTCTCTGAGCCTCGGTTTTCTATCTGTAAAATGGGGATACTAATACCTACTTCTTGGGGCTCGTAGCATCTTTCTTGTCCCATTCACCAAGCCACACAAAGTCTTTGGCTTTTCAAGAATTGTTAAAAAGCAGACTGCCTAGGAAGGAGGGCTGGCTAGTTCAGGTGGGATGCTACTTCAGAAAGTTGATGAGAGCCGTTCCTGACTCACAGCTGTGGAAATTTCCTGGCACAGCTCCCTGGCCTTCCTCTGTCCTTAAATGTGCACTGCCTTCTCAATTCTGACTCACCAGCAGCTTCCATGGCTTTCTCATGCCCCACACGAGTGGGAGGTGGTTTTGGCTCTAATTTCAACATCTCATTATCCTGGGGCACAGTCACTCAGTCACACAGTACCAGACCCAAATCCATCCAGACATCTCCTACCCTCACAAACAGGACCCCCACCTGCAATGACTTGCAGAGACTTCAAGCAGCAGCACATTGTATGGGGCTGGGAGGGTCAAGGTGGAGACAGAAGTTGATGAAGATACTAGTCCATATTACTGTGCAATAGAAACGTCATACTCACAGGCCTAGTTAATCCTCATGGCAAGCCAGTGATGTAGGCAATATCATCCCTAGCTTATAGATGTCAGACCTACCACACAGAAAGATGACACCTCTTTCTATCATGGTAGAATTGAAATTGGAACCTAGGTCTTTGGTTCTTTCAAAAAATGCATACACCTGACCATTATAGGATACAGCTCCTCACTGCCCCAAGCCAGCTATGAAGCTGTGGTTCTCCAGGTAGATGTTATCAGTGTGTCATGATTAGCTCCTCAAAATGCAGCTTAATTGAAAACACAACATATGAGCATAGGCACACACACACAGTCAGATTTTGAATGCCAGGAAACTTTCTGTATTATTAACCTGATATCTCCAACTGTTTTTGACTTGAATAATCACACTCAAGCTGTGGGAATGTGAAAAGAAAAAGGATGTACAGATAAACAATTACAAAAGCAAAACCCAAACAAGGCATCTGTGACCTCTGCCTTGGGAGTCAGATGGACTAAGGTCCCCTGTCCTCCACTTATCTGAGACCACACAGGGAGAATAAGTGAGATCCTGATGGTGAAGAAGGAAAGAAGGGAGGGAGCAAAGAAGGAAGGGAGGAAGGACAGAAGGGAGGGAGGAAGGAAGAAAGGAAGGGAGGAAGGACAGAAGGGAGGGAGGAAGGAAGGAAGGGAAGGAAGCAGGAATGGATGGGTGGAAGGGAGGGGAGTGCATAAGGGGAAAAGGGAAATGACGGTGACAATAGGACAAGCCCCAGGAAAGTGGTTGTTCTTTTTGGCCTTAATTACAAATTAAGCCTCAGTTTTCTTATGTATAAAGTGGGCACTGAATCCAGGTTGGCCTCATTGTAAGCCCTTACCCTTCTTCACACAACAACTTCCCAGTTGCTTCCTGAGACAATGCAAGTGCTGGGCATTTAAGAATGGGTGTATCGACTGGGTACGATGGCTCACATGTGTAATCCCAGCTTTTTGGGAGGCCAAGCCCGGTGGATCACTTGAGCTCAAAAGTTCGAGACCAGCCTAAGCAACACGGCGAAACCCCATGTCTACAAAAAATTAGCTGGGCATGGTGGTGTGTGCCTGTAGTGTCAGCTACTTGGGAAGCTGAGGTGGCAGGATCAGTTGAGCCCAGGAGACAGAGGTTGCAGTGAGCTGAGATTGTGCCACTACATTCCAGCCTACACCGTGTTCGCCAGAATGGTCTCAATCTCCTGACCGCGTGATCTGCCCGCCTCAGCCTCCCAAAGTGCTGAGATTGCAGGTGTGAGCCACCGCGCCCGGCCTCCAACTCCTTCTTACGTAGAACAAACCTCTTTGCCATCTGGCCCTGCTACAGTAGCCTTGGTTCTTGCTACATCCCCTCCCAACTTTGTTTTCACCAACTGAATATAGTTTCCTCAAATCCCAATTCTATTTCCAGCCTCTATATATTTGCATGTGCCTGTTCATCTCCTTGGAAATCCCTTTCCTAGCTCATACATCAGCTCCTTCTGGGAAGCCTTTCTGACCCCGCCCCACTGCCCAGCTTTGAGCAGGGGCAGTTAATCACTCCCCCTCCGAGCTGTTTCTCTTCGGAGCACACACTTCTATTACCAACCTTAGCAACTTAGTGGGAAGTTGCTTGCAGCAATGTTGATCCCCCTCTAGGCCATGATCTCCTCCAAGGAGCAGGTTTCCCCGTTCCCGGCTCCCCAGTGCGTGGTACAGGGCAGTCCCAGGACTGTTGCTAATGAAGGATGGTTGGTTGTATACTAGCCCAGTGCAAAGGAACTCTTTCATCAGCAGCAAACCTATCAAGCAGGGGCAAATAAAACAACATGTTTCCTGGCGATGAATAATCATTTATTTGCATATTAAATGCCCATTTTCTAAGGAGGCATCAGATTACTCATCCACTTAATTAAAGTATCCTTAGTTCTAACAGGAGCCTAACTAGGTGATAATTACTGCTGGCATCCCCTCACATCTCTAAGATTGAAGAACTGCTGACACATTGCACGAATCTTTACTAAACACTATTTCTAAAAGCAATATTGCAGAAAGCCAGACTGAATGTGTTAATTGACTAGTACTTGGATCTGAAAGGTGAATTCTCAAACTCAGGCTGAGCCTAGAATATATACAGGCTAGAAAAAAATAATCAAAATGAGAAAAGTGAATGTTTATAGAGTACTTACTGCTTAACTACTTTTATTCTCTTTTCACAGTTGAAGGAACTGAGGCACAGAAAGAGAAGTGGGATTTTAGAACCTGGGATCTTGCTATATTTCCTTCCCAAAAAGGGAACTAACACTTAATTGATTGCCTGACATTTTTCTATGCATGATAGAATTGTCTCACATTAATCCTATATTGTAGTGTTAAGAAAATGGTCTTTGAAGTAGAAACCTTTTGCTTTGAAATAGGGGAGAAATAAAAGACAAGGTCTCCCAAGAGAAAGCTTTTTGCCTCATCTCTTCCTTCCTGCTTAGGTTGTTGGTATGAGGACATGATGCCTGGAGTAGCAGCAGCCATCTTGTGACTATCAGGCAACAAGTCAAAATGCTGAGAATTGTGGAGAAGAAGAAATAAGATGTGTCTTAGTCATTAAGTTCCTTGACTAAACCGGGAGCCTCTCACTTTTAGACTTTTGGTTAGGTGAGATAATTAATTGACTTTATTTTTTAAGCAACCTTTGGTCAGTGATTCTCTTAGCTACAACTGAAAGCATTTCTGTTTGCTATGAGAGCTTTGGAAGTCTCCTTGAATAGAGTCAGTGGTCAGTGTCATATCCAAATCTTATAGGTGAGGAAATGTGACTCAGAGACGTGAGGAAATGTGACTCAGAGACTTGAGGTCAGTTGTTCAATATTATACAGGCAGTGGGACTTGAACCCAGGTGTGCCTGCCCATGACCCTTAATGTACGGTTGGCCTCTCAGGGTTTCTTCCTATTCATGCTTCCCCGAAGTTCATTCTCTTAGTGTGATTCTGGATCACACATGTCCGACCATGCTGGGTGGGTGGAGGGGTGTGGATCGTAGGAGGAGGGCACAAACAGCGTGATTATCAGTGCACTAGAACACTGCTGGAGGCCTCCTCCACTGCCTGCTAGAGTGGTCGAGTGGAGAAGAACACCAACAGGCCCCCCTCACTTGCTGTCTCTTGTGGAGAACCGATGACCACAAGTCTTTCACCCTTCCCCATGCCTCTCCCTAAACCTGACTCTTCCTCTACTCTGATGTTGTGCAACCTCTTCCTGAATATTGAGAGCAGCCAACGTTTCTCCAATCTGCCCAAGAGACATCCCACTAGAAAGGGCCAACTCCCCTTCCTTTTCCCAAGCCTCTCTCCTGACCCCTCAGCCTCAACCCATCTGGCCTCACTCTTGCTGCTTTCCTCCTGGGTCCTGGCACCTGGGTTCTCCCTGACACTTGATTTCCCCTCTGATCCTGACCTTGGCCATTCTCCTCCAGTATAACTCACACTCAGCCCCAGTTCGTGCTGCTTTAGGTCAGACTGTAGAACTTCCCCATTCAGTACAAACCCTTATGTTCTGGGGTCTGTTGCTCTAAGCTGGCAGGGCTCCCACCTTTCCAGACTCAGTGTCTTTCCTTATTGCCCAGGTGTCACAAACCCCCGCCACAGACCCCAACCCTCAGGCAACTGCAGAAATGCCACACAGATGTCCTTTCTCACCTATCCAATGACTACGTCCTTCAAAAGAAAGCAGAGAATTTCACTTTGAGAGTGTTATGGGCTGAATAGGGGTCCCCACCTCCACAAATTCACATGTTAAAGTCCTAGCCCCAGTACCTCAGAAGGTAAATGTATTTGGAGACTGGGTTTTTATAAGAGGTAAAAAATGAGGTCATATCTAATGCGACTAGTGTCCTTATAAGAAGAGGACATTATGACACACACACAGAGGGAAGGCCATGTGAAGACCCAGAGAGAAGGTGGCATCTACAAGCCAAGGAGAGAGGCATCAGAAGAAGCCAACCCTGCTGACACCTTGATCTTGAACTCTTGGCCTCCAGAGCTGCAAGACTATACATTTCTGTTGTTGAAGTTCCTCAGTTTGTGGTGTTTTGTTATGGCAGCCCCAATAGACTAATATAAATAGGTTAACCTATTGGTGGCCATCTCTGTTATGTCTCGGAGAGAGAGACAATCACCTTCACGGCACTGAACGCCATAGGGGATAGTGGAGGCTTCCCAGAGCTTCATAACAGAGCTTCCTAGTTCTCACCCAGGTGCTCTGCACTGTCCTGTGTGAGCGGAGTGGAAGGGCTTGTCAGTGTTGTGCATGAGGAGAAGATGGTCTGTGTCTTACTCTAGGGCTGTTACACCATCCACAGGACATGCAAACGCATTGTTATCTAGCACGTTCCTTAGGGGTCAGGTCATGCTTCTCAAGTCCTGCCCATGAGACCTGAGTGACATCAGGAAAATTAAGGCCAATGGCTTCTAACCAACACTTTGGAGCCCATCAGAAAAATATTCTTTCCCTAGGGAAAGGGCTCTATTTTGATGGTCCTTAATGTGCACATCCACATATAAATAATGTTGTTTTACACACACACAGGTGCACACATACACACAATGATTCTAAGATGAACAGAGCTCAGGGATTTAGGAAAAAGCTCTGCTAGTTGGAGAACATGAGTTCTATTTATTTTCCATCTCCAGCCCTCCTCAGGGGTTCCATTGTTGAAGAGCACAATATCTTACTGATATCTATAATAAAATATTTGGCCACATATGACAATAGCAACAGAAGAGGATCTTATTAAAGTGAGAAAGAACATGCTTCAAAATCTAAGGTTGGCATCACTTTTGAGGTCAGGTTCTAACAACCTTTCCTACCTCAGATAAAATTTATTTACTTAATCTATATGGCTGTGCTTTCAAAATCGGGAGGAATGGTGGAGTTAGTGATACCCAGTGAGTCACATAGGTCTGTTTCCCCTGCCATATTTATTCAGATAACACAGTCTCAGAGAGGTTATGTGACTTACATAGGAATGCCCAGCTAGAAACAGCAAAGCCTGTAACTGAAATCAGGTCTGTGAGAGTCCAGAGTCCATGCTCTTAACCACTAAGCTTCACTGTTCCATGCACCCCCATTTGAGGTGAGGAGGAGGTTGAAACCAAAGGCAGCCATTGTTTTGGAGAATCACTGCCCTGTTCAGACGTTTGACATCAGCACCTGAGATACGATCAGTTTCCAGCCATTCACTGGGGTCTCCCTCCAGCCTGCAAGGATATGCCAGGGCAGGGTTCTTGGGATTAGTCGAGATACTTGTGTAGCTTTTTGGGAATTAGGGTGACCCGCTGCACTCTAGGAGACTAAGAAGTTCTGGCAGTATCCAACTGGCTCAGGTTCTTATGGTGGCATCTATTAGGTGCCTATATTTGAGACTTTCATGTACCTTCTGACATACATTAGTTTATTGCTCTTCATGTCCACTCAAGAGGTAGACTTACCTCTTTGGTATGTTTTCCAAAGAGGTAGATACAATTATCCTCATTTATTAAACACAAGTAAACCAAGGCTCAGAGAAATTGAGTGCCTGCCTGATAACACACAGATAAGGAGAAGGGAAGAGAAGGTTTCAGATTGCTAGGCTTCCAAACCCACGTTATTTCCACACTCCCATGGTCAGGCTTCAAGACTTTCCCAGCCCCTGATTAAAACAGAGCATCCAGTATTTTTTTGTTTTTGTTTTTGTTTTTTTTCTTTTTTTGAGATGGAGTCTCACTCTGTCGCCGGGCTGGAGTGCAGTGGTGTGATCTCAGCTCACTGCAACCTCTGCCTCCCAGGTTCAAGCGATTCTCCTGCCTCAGCCTCCCGAGTAGCTGGGACTACAGGTGTGCGCCACCACGCCAAGCTAATTTTTTGTATTTTTAGTAGAGACAGGGTTTCACCATGTTAGCCAGGATGGTCTCGATCTCCTGACCTCATGATCTGCCTGCCTTGGCCTCCCAAAGTGCTAGGATTACAGGCGTGAGCCACCGCGCCCGGCCAGAGCATCTGGTTATTTTATTTTTAACTTCAGTTCTTAACATTTCTACTGACTGACTGACTTGGTGGGCAAGAACGTTCAAAGTCGTTCCACCAGCCTTAATTTTTGTTTGAAAGGCCGGAGTTCTCCCCTCCCCAGTACCCAGTGCCATCTGCAGCTCAGCAGTTACCTGCTTTGTGACACTTTCTGCAGTAGGTGACGAGTGTCATCCACATATCAATCAGTCGGCCCTCCCTCCTGAGCAGTCAGCAGGCAAACAGTCTCACCTAAGCACAGCCCTGTCCTCCCACTCCCCATTGTATCCGAGCTCTGCTGCTTGCAGTAACGAATACCCCTCAGTCATATATTTAAACATTTTTTATGCTAACAAAAGCGCTCGATCTCTTTCTGCTCTTCGTGGTGACTGACATTGTTTCAAAGCAGATTTAGAAATAGTCTTGATCCTGACGTTTATACTGTGAGGGGGCGTTGTTTATTGCTGAGCAATTAGAACATAGGTTAACATAATATCACTCCTCAACTTGAAAACCGCGGAGAGCGCTCTGTGAACGGGTTCCCCCCAAACTCACCCAGCTTGCTTGCTTTTGTCTTTTGCTTCTTCCTCCTCCACACCCATCCACTCACCTGCCTTGAAATATGCTATTTCAAATGTAGAGTTCAGGAAAGTTTGTGGAATCAAAGTCATAAAAGGAGATGTCTTTTTCTTCCACCGCAGGAGCAGCCCACGATAGCTGTACTCTCAACCAAAAAGGCATTTTTTTTTTTTGTCCTTGAAAACTTCTAACAGCAACAACAACAAAACCTATGTCCTCTTTTAACTCTTGGAAGCAAAGGTCAGGAAGCAGGAACGAGCTGGTTAAGCATCTTCTTTAGTAGAAACCCGCAATCTTGGATTCAAGGGCACCTAAGTCTTGTAAGTTACACTTGCCTTTTCAGGGAAGGAGATTCTCCCCTGGGCTGAACTCTGCAAATAAATGCTAGATGAGGGGAAGAGATTCTTGAAAATTGCATTTGCAGGATGGGCCACAGACCCTCCTGGAACCTGTAAGGGGTGTCTGTCACAAAGTCCCTGTCATACTACGGGACTGGTATAATGAAAACTCATGAGTGAGGACAGCCCTCTGCTCAGCAGTCCTCGTTGTCACATGCTTTGCTCATGACTTCTGCCTGCCTCCGAGTTCTCATATTTATAAATCCAGGGTCCTGTCTCTTCTCACCACCCCCACCTCCTGGTCTAAGCCCTCAGTAGCTTTTGCTTGGATTGTGTGCAACAAATTCCTTCCTGGTCTCCTTGGCACTGCCCAGTTCCCCTTCAACAAGCAGCCCGAGGGATCCCTTTAAAGCTTGGCAGATAAATCACTCCTGTTTCAGGGTCCCAAGACCACCCTCAGGTTTAGCAATTCCCTGGGAGGACTCACAGGTTCTGCAGATTGTTGCACTCATGGCTATGGTTTTTCCAGAAAAGGATGCCAAACACAATCTGCGAAGGGAAGAGGTGCATGGGGTGAGGTCCACAGGAAAGCAGGCTCCAGCTGTCAAGGGGTCTCGCCTAGTGGAGTCACACAGGACGTCCTTAATGCCCCCGGCAATAAGTTACAAAATATTGTCTTCTACCAGGGAAGCTTGTTAGAGACTCCGGTGCCCAGAGGTTTTATTTTTACCGGGGACTGGTCATGATAGCACTCCCTTCCTGGCACATATGCAAATTCCAGACTCAGATGGAAAACAAGTGTTCAGCTAAGCCACATTGCAGAAAACAGTTTAGGCACAACAGGCCACCCTATCAGAGGATGGTGGGAACTTGCCCCAAATCTAAGTTCCCAGATGCCAGTGAGAGACCAACCATGTGAGCAGGCCCTTCAAAGCATAGCAGGCAGGCCGAGTGTGCTCCCTTTTCCACCTTTCTCCTCTGCTCACAAAAACCCTGCAAGACACCTCATCTCACTCTGAATAAAAGCCAAAGTAAAAGCCAAAGTCTTGAACGTGGATCCCAAACCCTGCAGGATCTAGAGCTCTACCCTCCCCTTCCCGTACTCGCTCCGTTCCCCACTCAGTCCCGGCCGTGCTGGCTCTCTGCTGTCGGACACACCACCCAGGCTCACACCTGAGAAATGGACTTGCCGCTCACTCCTTCTTCCTGGAATGTGTTTCACCAACAGCCTGCTTGGTTTTCTTTCTCCATCGTCTCCCTGCCCCAGTCTATCTCCTGCCACTGCAGTTTTTATGTACTTTTTCTCCTTTATTTCTCTCGTTTTCTGACATAACTGTATAATTTATTACATTATTGCCTGTATCCTTTTCTTCACTGTGATGTCTCTCTTCCCAACTCAGGCCTTCACCAAGCAGTGACAGTTTGTGTCACGCCCATAACCTAGAGCATATGAAAGAGCGAGCGCTGTGACGCCGACTGGGTTACCATCTTCACTCCACCAGTTGGTACCGGTGTTCCATTAAGTATGGTCCATACACTCTGACCCTCAGTTTCTTCATCTGTTAAAAGGGCACATTAATACTGTCTGGGTCATAGGACGGTTGTGCCTGTGAGGGTAATGAATACACACAAGGCCCTCTGGAACAGAATAGTTACTCTAGATATCTTAGCACTCTGTTGTCTTCTCTCCATTAAGTCTTCATTATCTTGAAAACATTTTGTTATGGAAGATTTCAAACATAAGCAAAAGTAGAGCCATAATAGAATGAACTTCAATGTACCTCTACCATTCAGCTTTAGTGATGATCAACTCAGAGCTAATTACTTCTATTACTATTATATCTATCATCTATTACTTCCACTCAAAGTCCTGTACCCCCATACCCAGATTATTTGAAAAACATTTTAGATAGCATATCGTTTCATTCATAAATATATCTCTAAGATATAAGGACTCACTTTTTAAAAACATATGCACAAAAATTTAAAATCTGAAAAAATTAACACCAATTTCTTGATATAAACAAATATCTAGTCAGTGTTCAAATTTCCCTAGTTCCTCATACTCTCCTATTTGGACGGCATCCACAATGATTTCCCTGTCTGCAAACTATTTAGTGCATTCACCTCTGCTCTGGAGACTCTTTATAAATCACAAATCTGGCATTGTCACCCCCTCCTACAAATCCTTTGATGTATCCCTATTGCCTGCAGGGTGGAGCTGATGTCCTTGAGCCTGCCCTTCAGAGTCTTTCATAATTTCCCCCAACCTCTCTTTCCTGAGCCACCTTTTCCTTGGACTCCCTTTCAAACGCCATCTCTGTCAGTCTGCCTTTGGGTCACCGGCTTTCCTTCAAGTTTGCCTGGGCTGTTCCTTCTGCCTGGATTTCCCCTTTTCTTTCTTCTCCCCTGATAATCTTGTCTTCCACTGTTCTCTTAGAACAAGACAGTCACCCCATCCGCAGGGTCCCCATGGTCTCTATGCTATTCATCACCTCACCCCGAATGATTTAAGGTTTATATCATCATGCAATCTGGTTAAATGGCAGCGAAAAAAGTAAACATCAAGATATACAAAAGTTCTGGCAGATTGTTAGCACATGGATAAATGATACAGAGTGTTAAAAAGTATGAGAGTAATCATTTGCTTTTCTGTTTTAATGTTTTAATATTTGCAGTTACTGTTTATTTTTCTGACATAAACTTTTTTTCATGTTGAAACAGGAACTTACTGTGTTGCCTAGGCAGGAGTGCAGAGGCGCAATCTTGGCTTACTGCAGCCTTAAACTCCCAGGCTCAGGTGATCCTCCCACCTCAGCCTCCTGACTATTTGGGACTACAGGCATGTGCCAACATGCCTGGTTAATTTTTGTATTTTTTTTTTTGTAGAGATGGGGTTTCACCACATTGTCCAGGCTTGTCTTGAAGTCTTGGGCTCAAGCGATCCTCCCACATCAGCCTCCCAAAGTGCTGGGATGACAGGTGTGAACCACCGTGCCTGACCTTAAACTTTCTCATTGTGAGAAAGTTTGCAAAGTACAGAACATACAATTGAATATATTTTCTGTAATTGCAAATATCAGGATAACATATTTTATCATTTGTCTTGATGTAATAAAAACTTTGGCATGTAATAATTTCACTTCTTCCTTCTCTACCGTCTCAGAATTTTACAGTTTTATTGAGGTATAATCAATATACAAAAACTGCAGGTATCTAGTGTATGTAATTTGGTGAGTTTAGACATTGCCAAACACCTGTGATACCATCACCACAATCAAGGCAATAAGCATATCCATCACATCAAAGTTTCCTTGGGTCCCTTTGCTTTTATTTATTTATTTTTGTGGTAAGAATACTTAACATGAGATCTATCTTCATCAAATTTTTAACTGTACAATACTGTACTGTTAGCTGTCTGTGACTTTGTACTCATGAACGACAATTCTCCATTCCTCTGGCAGCCCTCATTCTACTTTTTGCTTCTATATTTTGACTATTTTAGATGCCTCGTATACATGGAATCATCCAATATTTGTCATTCTGTGACTAACATATTTCACTTAGCATAATGTCTTCAGGATCCATCCATGCTGTCTCAAATGGTAGGATTTCTTTCTTTTTTAAGGCTGAATGATATTCCATTGTATGTATATATCACTTTTTTCTTTTTTTAGTAGTGATGTCTCTCTATGTTGCTCAGGCTGGTCTCGACCTCCTGGCCTCAAGTGATCCTCCCACCTCGGCCACCTAAAGTGCTGAGATTATAGGCATGAGCCACTGCACCTGGCTCTGTATCACATTTTCTTTATCCATTTGTCTGTTAATGGACATTTGGGTTGTGGAGAAATTGGAACTCTTCTGCATAGTGATGGAAGTGTAAAATGGTGCAAACACTATGGAAAAGAGTATGGGTCCCTCAAAAAATTAAAAATAGAACTACCATATGATCCAAAAATCTCACTTCTGGATTTACATCTGAAAGAATTAAAATCAGTATCCCAAAGATACATATGCACTCCATGCTCATTGAGGCTTTATTCATGATAGCCAAGCCATGGTGCCATTCATCTTGATACACCATAACTGTTCACTTCCCTCTGTGGCCCCCTGTACTGTGAGTTCCTCAAAGGCAGGGGCTCCATCTTATTCATTTGGTCTCCTTAGAGCCTGAGCAGGGCTGGAAAACATGACGGGTGCCCACTTGTATTGAAATGAATGAATGGATGGGTTAGCAGATGAACAAATGGCCAAAACACTTGGAAAGAAGATTGTTTGAGTCCATAGCCTTGGATATCTCTTTAGGTCTCCATTGCTCCTTTTTATGTTCAATGTTTTACCAGACCATTTTCTAGCTTGTGCAGCTGGCTTGTCTTTCTGCTCCCTGGCAGGTCAGAGCTTTTTAATCCTGAATAATGGCTTCTCCCTGGCATGCTGCCTGCTCCCTGACATGAGTCAGACAGGCCCTGGCTCACAGTGATTAATTACCTGAGACGCTGCTTTTCTCTGAAATGATCCCAGGGCAGAAGGGCAGCCTGAGGAATGCCTGGGGAACATGAACCTCCAACCATAACCTGGATGAACAACGGTTCCTGTGCTGGAAATGCCACATTTCAGCTGGACTGGCCACCATGCACCAAGAGGAACTAAGACAGAGAGGCGAGAGAAGTGGGAATGTTTCCTCCCCCTTCCATTTTCCTTGATGTTAAGAGAATCAGGAATTATTGCATTGGGTCAAACGTAGCTCTTACAGTTTGGTGATGCTAAGGACTTCTTGCTCAGTATCCCACTATACTGGGACCTTTACAGGTGCAATGCCATCTGTCCCTTTCAAGGCCCTGGCAGAGGAGGTATCACCCTCATTTTACAGATGCAGCAGCTGAGACTCTGAAAGATCATAAAGTTGCATAGGGAATATACGAAGTACTGGGATTCAACCTCAGGCCCGCCGAGAGCCCTTTCCAGCAGAACAGGGCTTTCCGTATTACAAGTTCAACCTACTCAAGGGGAATAAAACTAATTTAATGTGTTCAAGACTAAAGTAATTAAAATAAGATTAGACTAGAATAAAATATATAGATTAGAGAATAGAGTACATTCTGGGTAGTATGGATCAATACTATTTTATGAAACCCCCCTTCAATTTATATCTAGCTATATCCATATCTATATACATGTGCATAGATACGGGCATACCTTGGAGATATTGTGGATTTGATTCCAGACCACCACAATATTGAAATAAAGTGAATCACACAAAGCTTTTGGTTTCTTGATGCATGTAAAAGTTGTGTTTACAATATATTGTAGTCTATTAAGTGTGCAATAGCATTATATCTAAAAGGTACATATTTTAGTCAAAAAGTATGTATTGCTAAAAACATTGTATAGCATGCAATGCTGTTTGATAACTTTTTACCCACCACTAGAACTTCTTTCATAATTGGAGTCAGTCCTCTCAAACCCCGCAGCTGCTTTGTCAACTAAGTTTACGTGATATTCTAAATGATCATCTGAGCCTTCAGTGAGTCATCATCTTTTCGTTGGTGGAGTAGGGCCTCTGTGTTGATGGTTGCTTACTGATTAGGGTGGTCGTTGCTGAAGGCTGGAGTGACTGTGGCAATTTCTTAACATAAAACAACAACGAGGTTTGCTACATAGATTGACTCTTCTTTTAATGAAAGATTTTTCTATAGCATGCAATGCTGTTTGATAATTTTTTACCCACCAGTAGAATTTCTTTCATAATTGGAGTCAGTCCTCTCAAACCCTGCAGCCGCCTCATCAACCAAGCTTATGTGATATTCTAAATCCTTTGTTGTCATTTCAGTGATGTTCGCAGCATCTTCAGCAGCAGTAGATTTCATCTCAAGAAACCACTTTCTTTGCTCATCCATAAGAAGCAACTTTGCATTTGTTGAAGTTTTCTCATGAGATTGCAATAATTCAGTCACATCTTCAGGCTCCGCTTCTAATTCTAGTTCTCTTGCTATTTCCACCACATCTGCAGTTACTTTCTCCACTGAAGTCTCAAAACCCCCAAAGTCATCCATGAGGGTTGGAATCAACTTCTTTTAATCTCCTGTTGATATTTTGACCTCCTCCCGTGAATCACAGATGTTCTTGATACCATGTAGACTGGTAAATTCTTTCCAGAAAGTTTTCAACTTACTTTGCCCAGATTGACCAGAGCAATCACTATCTATAGCAGCGATAGCCTTATAAAATGCCATTTAAGCCTTAAAAGTCAAAATTACTACCTTTTTCATGAACTACAGAATGGATGTTGCATTAGTAAGTATGACAACAACATTAATCTTTTTGTACATTTCCATCAGAACTCTTGGGTGACCAGGCCTATTGTCAAAGAGCAGTAAGATTTTGAAAGAAATCTTTTTCTGAGCAGTAGGTCTCAACAGTGGGGTTATAATTTTCAGTAAGCCATGCTGTAAACAGACATGTTATCACCCAGGCTTTGTTGTTCCATTTATAGAGCACAGACAGGTTAGATTTAGCATATTTATTAAGGGCCCTGAGAATTTCAGAATGGTAAATTAGCATTGGCTTCAACTTAAAGTCACTAGCTGCATCAGTCCCTAACCAGAGAGCCAGCCTGTCTTTGAAGCTTTGAAGCCAGGCATTGACTTTTCCTTTCTAGCTATTAAATTTCTAGATGGCATCTTCTTCCAATACAAAGCTGTTTTGTCTATAGCCAAAATCTGTTGTTTGGTGTTACCACCTTCAGCAATGATCTGAGCTAGATCTTCTGGATAATTTGCTGTCGTTTCTACATCAGCACTTGCTGTTTTTCTTATTTTGGAGGTGGCTTCTTTCCTTAAACCTCATAAACCAACCACAGCGGTTGGTTCTGACTTTTTTTCCCCAAAGCTCCTTCACCTCTCTCAGCCTTAATAGAATTTAAGAGAGTTAGGGCCTTGTGCTGGATTAGGCTTTGACTTAAGGGGATATTGTGACTGGTTTGATCTTCTATCCAGACTGGTAAAACTTTCTCCATAACAGCAATAAGGCTGTTTCACTTTCTTTTTATTTGTGTGTTCACTGGAGTAGCACTTTTATTTATTTGTTTATTTTAAATTTTTATTTTATTTTATTTTTTGAGACAGAGTCTTGCTGTTGCCAGACTGGAGTGCAGTGGTGCAATCTCAGCTCACTACACCCTCCACCTCCCAGGTTCAAGCAATTCTCCTGCCTCAGCCTCCTGAGTAGCAGAGACCACAGGTGCCCACCACCACGCCCAGCTAATTTTTGTATTTTTAGTAGAGACAGGGTTTCACCATTTTCTGTCATCATTTTCAGTTTGACTTGATTAGCTTTGATTCCATCCCCTCCCCTCCCCTCCCCTCCCCTCCCCTCCCCTCCCCTCCCATTCACATGAAATATCCTCAATTTCATCCCACTTAGATGAAACTTCAGTTCCTAGTGTGGGCTGCACATTTACTAGCCACAGTTTACGATCTCAGATTCCTTTTCTGTGTCCCAAACTCAAATTTATTTCCCTTCAGCTTCTAAAAGAAGACAGTCTATTTCATTATTCTGGCTGTGCTTTTCCGTGGACATTTTTGTGATCTGGAGTTCAGTATGAAGTTGGAGCACTGGATGTAGGGGCAGACAGGTTCAAATCCAGAGCTGATGCCTGGAAAGTGCTGATGGCAGTACCTGGCACAGAAGTGCTCACTGCATTATAGCCAAACAACCACTTTACTCGGGTTGTCTGCAGTTATCAGATTGTGTTAAGGTTGATGTCCTTAAAGTTTTCAGCCTTGTGGGAGAGTCATGCATGGCTGTAGCAGGAAACTCTTGAGTAGGATAATGTGGGGACACTGTGGTGTAAACCTACATCTGGAGAGAGGCATTTTGAGTGGCCACTGGGGGTCCCCTGTTCATAAAGACCTATTAGGCCTCCTGGGAGAAAAAGGGCAAAGGGCTTTAAGACTAAAAATCAAAGTTCTATGAAATTTTCTACTGCAGTTAAGACTATTAAAGAAAGGGTGGTAACCGTGGACATTCTTACACTCAGAATAACATGCTACAAATAAGGTGAGTTGGGCAGAATCAGAGCGTGAAGGATCCAGGGACCACTGGTTCATTGAAGGAAACCATTGTGCCAATCTTGGGGGTTAATATAGCATAGCTGGTAAGAGCATAAATGCCATGGCTTCAAATCTCAGCTCCACTACTTACTAGCTATGAGATATCAGGCAAGTTACTTGTCCTCTTTGGGCTTTAGTGCTTCTTACCTGTAAAAGAGGGATTTTAACTAGCACCTGCTGTTGTTTGTGAGAGTAATGGATTATTACTTATAAGTCTCCTAAAACACCACCTGGCATGTAATTAATGCTCACTAGAAACCAACTGCTGTTGTTATTAATATTATTTTTCAATCAGAATTCTTTTAGTGGCAACCAATACAAATAGGCTTTAGCAAAAGAAAAAATAAAGAGGATTCTACTGCCTCACACAACTGAAAGCTCTAGAGTACAGCTGGCATCATATCTCGCAAACACCACCAGAATTCTTCTCCAGAGTTCAGTCCTGTTCTCCTCTGTGGTGGGGGTACTTCTATGCAGCTGTCCCAAGTGGTGGCAAAGATGGAAACCAGCAGCTCCAAGCTTCCACACTACTAGCTAAACCCCCATGGAAACAGAAAGCCTGTTTCCCAAGAGGTCCAGCAAAAGTCCCAGGGAAGATCTTCATTGGCCCAGCACAGGTCATGTTTCCACTTTTGAACCAATTACTATTTCTAGGGGCCAGAGTCAGCCCCACCTGAACCACAGGCACACAGAGAGGAAAGGGAAAGCAGAATGTAGTGATCAGAGCAGCGGGCGGGGTGGGGGAGACTGGATATAGGGCAGACAGGACAATAACTGCTCCATTGCAGACCCTGGCTGCATGAATCGGCACTGATTCATGCAAACAGCATCCAAACCAGCCTGAAACTTCTCATTATTGCCATGGCTGTTTTCACCCTCCATGCCTTTGATCAATGCTGTTCCTTTTACCTGAAATTACCCTTTTTAAGCAACCACAGTTACCTACCCCAAATACATGTACTTGCCCCAAAGCTACAGATCCTTCAAGGGCCATCACAAACACCGCATTCCTCTGAAAGCCATTCTTGACTTTGCCAGTTAGAAGTACTCCCTCTCTTCTCACTCCCTTTTACTCTCAGATCTCTCTCTCTAGAATTTGCCATGCATGAACTATGTACTATTCTCTCCACCATCCCCTTTTCTCCAAGTTAGGGTCAGATTTTCCCCTCCCTGAATTCCCAGCTACACACCACATGCCCTGGACTCAAGTAAGCACTCAGCAAATATTCATTAAATCAGGTTACATGTAACAATAACGAAAACACCAGCTATCCCTTGAGCAGATTCTGCGTGTCAGCTGCTGTGTTAAGTGCTTTGTAAGTGGGATTTCATTTTGTCCTTTTGACTATATGGTGCGGTAGGCCCATATTATTATCCCATCTGTATATATTATCCCATCTGTTTGCATTATCCCATCTGTTATTATCCTATCTGTATGTATCTCGTTGAATCTGTACATGAGAATATAAAAGCTCAGAAAGTTTAAGATCAAGTTCACACGGCTAGTACTTGCTGCAGCCAAAGTTCAGATCTCAGCATGTGTGTCTTCAGAGCACACTTGAGGCCCTTGAGGCTTGTGTAGTTAATAAACTATTTGACAATTGTGATATACAGCCTGAAGGCTAGGGAGGCTACATATCAATCGCCCCATTTAGAGCCAGAGCATCTGAACCTGAAGTGGAGTATCGGCTTGGCCACTTGCTGACGGGGCCACCTAGGAAAGCTTGTATCCTCTCTCTGGGCCTCAGTCTCTCCCTCCTGTCCTGAAGGAGGCAGCTGGATATCATGGCTTCAAAAGCCTTTTCCAGCTATAATTTTTCTGACTCCAGGCTCTTGTCTGGAGACATGAGACTGATCAGGGGTAGACTCAGCCTAGACACTGAGTGTCCAGTTCTAATCACCCACTTTATCTTTTCCCCACCATAATGAGCTTCTTTATGTAATTTCTCCCTTGTTCATTTTCTTCTAGTTTTCTAACTGCCTACAAATTTGAAAGAAAAATGACTATAGGAATCTGGCTAAGGAAAAAAATAGAATTCAACCCAAAGTCACCAAGACAGAAAAATCTATATATTTTTTTTTCTTTTTCTTTTTCTTTTCTTTTCTTTCTTTCTTTCTTTCTTTTTTTTTTTTTTTGAGATGGAGTCTCGCTCTGTTGCCCAGGCTGGAGTGCAGTGGCATGATCTCGGCTCACTGCAACTTCCGCCTCCTGGGTTCAAGAGATTCTTCTGCCTCAGTCTCTGAAGTAGCTGGGATTACAGGCACGTGCCACCATGCCTGGCTAATTTTTGTATTTTTAGTAGAGACGGGGTTTCACCATGTTGGTCAAGCTGGTCTCAAACTCCTGACCTCACGATCTGTCCACCTCAGCCTCCAAAGTGCTGGGATTACAGGCATGAGACACCACACCTGACCAAAATCTATATATTTGTGAAACTCTTAAGCATTTGAATTAGGAATGGCTTGGACTTGGATATTAAAGAAGCCACACACACACACAATTGGCTTTGGAAGTTCATGTTCTCAGCATTGTTGTCCAGATGACTCAGCTAATTTACAGTCAGTTCTTCCTTTTTTTATTAGGCTGGTGCAAAAGTAATTGCGGTTTTCACCATTGAAAGTAATGGCAAAAATTGCAATTACTTTTGCACCAGGCTAATATTTGCCCACCTTAAAACTCTTAGTACATTTTATATTCCCATAAGAAATATACTCACTTAAATTCTCTTAACAACACTGAGATGTAGAAAGCACTGTTCCCCATTTTGCAGATAAGTAAACAGAGGCAAGGAGCGTCTTTCCCAGGGGTACACGGCTAATGAGAGGGAAGTCAGTGTGACCACTGAACTCTTGACCACCACTGTCTGCAGCCTGTGAAGTCTTCTGATTTCTCCCTATTCTTCCTCCTGGAAGCAATGGGGATCTGAAGACTTCTCCTAAGTTAATGATAGACTGTCTCACATTCGTGCCCTGTTGGTAAACATCCAACATCCTCAGGGCCGCAGTGGAACTGACAGGAAGGGGTTAACTGTTTCTACGCATGTTCCCAGGGAAGTCAGAACTCACACCAGGGCACAGGAAAGGACTTTGCACTCCGGCAAGTTAACAGCCATTTGCTGAACAAGATAGAATGCATGTAAAAGTCAATTCCTCTCTCAGGCAAGAGAGACTCGTGATGGTGGGATTGAGCTGATGATGAAATTTATGCAGCTTGATGGAAATAGGATCCGAGTGAGACCTGCATCTCCGCCCTCTGCCCTGGAGTGTCCGCCCTCTGCTTAGGAGGGAAAAGCCTGCAACAGAGTCCAGTGCAGTCTCTGGGGAGAAGAACCAAGGACATATTTTCTGGCTTCTATACATTTTATTTCAAAACAGAAGCATCCCTGATGCCATAGAGCAGCCTTTCTATCCTTGCCTTTGTAGGGGAGGAAAACTTTTTTCTCTATCCATCTTAGGTTCTTGGCTGGGGCTCTGTAACAAAAGATAGATTAACAAGAGAAAAGCAGAAGGTGTAAATATAAGTTTTAGGTGACACGGGAACCCTCACAAGGAAATGAAGACCCAAAGAAGTGGCAAACCTAAGTGCTAATATCCTCGGTGGAGCAAAGAGAGACAGTTGTGGGAAAGTAACTAAGATATATGAGGAGACTGAAGGAAGGTAGGAGAGTGATTTTGACAAGGTCTCTGTGTTTGGAATTCTCTTTGCCTCGATTCCTTGTCTTTGGTGATAAGAATGTTTCTTCTGCCTGGTATAAAAACGGCACCTTTCACAAGGAAATTTCTTCTCCCCCTTTCAGGAAGAAAGGAGGAGGCCACAGTGCCCTTCCTGCACCTTCTGTTTTTTAAATGTCTTTAGTTCAAAATAACTCTTATGCCAAAGTAGCATATTTTGGGGTGGCATATTCTGCTACTCTGCAGCTCCTGATGCTTCTCACACAAATCACAGACAGAAGAGCTTCCCTTAATGAGCCCCTTAAACCTCCTGTGACCTCTACCTTACCCCCACCCCCTCCACCAACACACACAACCTGCCTTGGGGTGGCCTCTTTTCCAAGGCTTCTATTACCATCTCTCTGCAACTCAGTCACTACCTCCAGCCCCTACCCCCTCTACGGCATGGGCATGGCCACGTGGACGGCCCCAGGTTCCCCAGGCTCCACTGTTGAGAAAGATTCCATTGCCTCCCTCCTTCTGGGCTGCCTGACCAGGAGACTGGGCATAACTTTAAGTTTTTTCTCTCCCTAGTTCTCTACAGCCAGTCACTCAATAAGAACTGTCAATTCTATTTCTTATGTGCCTCCCACAGCCTTCTCCACCTCTCCACCTCCACCACCAAGGCCTGGTTCTGGCCTTATTGTTTCTGAAATGGACTTCCTATCACCAAACCTTGCTGGACACCATCCTCCTTATGGAAACTTATCCTTATGATATTTCTAAATGCCAAACAGATCCTATTCTCCTCTGGATAGAAACGTCAGTGACTCTCCAATGCCTGTAGCCTGATGCATGTGGTTCTGTATGTCAACCACGCTCTTTAATCATCTTAGTCAGTTCATCCACCTGGCCTTGACCTCCCTGCCCTGCCTCTTCTACAAGCCATATTCTACAAACACATGGACACACACACACACACACACACACACACGGGATTCTAACCACTTTAGATTCTTGGCTTTCTCAAGCTTACTGTGAACTCTCATGCCTCCCTGCCTTTGCCCATGCTGTATCCTTTGCCCATGCTGTATCCTTTGCCTGGAGCTGTCTACCCTCACTTGCTGGACCTGGCAGCTCAAGCTGCCTTTTTACCTCCTCTGATTTCTATTTAGTGGGGCCGTCTTCTGTGCTTCTTTACATCTCTGTTAGCCTCATGGCATTCCCTAGCAAACCTTTCTTTTCTAGCCTGCTTCCTCCACTAGATGCGATTCTCAAGGACAGAGACCCTGCCTTATTAATCTAGAGGATCAAAATTTTATTCAGCACTGGGGCCCCACATACAGAGGCCTTGGCATGAAGGTTCATGGAACAAACTGGTCCCTCGAAATATAACACATGTGACCCCTATCCTATTTAATTCCCCATCTTCCAGCCAATACTCTCTTATTCTCTAAGAACTGTTGAGGGAGAGGACAGTAGTAGGAATATACATGTCATCAGAATTCTGCAGCAATTTTGTCTGTAGCATGTAGCTAAATTTGGTATCTATATAAAACATGAAGAAAAAAACAAACACGCTGAAATAATTAGAATAAATGTATGAAGCTGCAAATACTGTCTTAAATTCACTTGTCAAAATAAAGCATAAAGTCCTTGTGCTAGATTTTTGAGGCAGAAAGTTCGTCTCCAACTAATTTGTAGCAAAGTGGTTATTTATATACGATAACTTGGGGAGAAACAAATTAATCTCTGATTTTTCTTTTGTCAGTTTTCAGAGTCAGTGGTGAAAATATCTGCACATTCCTGGGCTTTTATCAGCTTCTTAAAAACCAGATACCTTTGCATAAGATGCTGGAAAATGGGTACTTTTCATATACTGCTAGCAAGAGTATAATCTGCAGCAACCTTTCTAGCAAGCAATTTTCACAGTAGTCCTATCGAGGGAATATTATCCTTTCAACATTTTACAAAATGGGAGACAAACTCAGAATAAAGAATTTCTCCAAGTTGCAGAGGTGACAAATGAAAGAGCTGAGATTTGATCCAGAGCTTGATAGGTCCTAGAGCCCACCGACAACCCTGCACTACCACTCAGGGCAATGGCAAGCTCTTACTCTCTTCAACCACCACCCGTGGAGCCTGGGGCCTGTGGTGGTTGGAGTCAGGGCTTGGAGAGGGCTCAGCACTGACCAATGGCCTGGTGAGAATGGAGTCCTGGCTTCTGGGACTCACTCTGTGCAAGCTTGAGAAAGTGACTGCACCTCTCTGAGCCTCTGTTTCCCCAACTGTCAGTAGGAGGTTGATGATCCTCCCTTTGCCTGGTGACCAGATGATTACATGGAACTGTGGATGTCAGTGACCTCCAGAGGCTGCAGAGCGCTGCTCTGGTGATAGTGCCTGTCAGTGCTCTGAGACCTGGCAGATGCTTTCTGCTGTGGCTCCACTCGCATATTAGTGATACAATGTGCTGCTGATTATCGTTAGAGGAAGAGCACACTGTGGCTCTTAAAACAGGACATGTGCAACTAGATCTGAACTTAGGGACCAAATTCTGCCACTTTTCAGAACATGAAGAGACGACAGTTAAGCAGGCAGCCTCTGGTGTCAGGCTGCCTGGGTTCAAATCCTGGCTTTGTTGTTTTCCGGTGTGCTAATGACTTAACCTCTTTGCTCATCTGTAAAATGGGGAAAATAATAGTGCCTACCCCAGAGGGTTGTTGTGAGGATTATGTGACAAAATCCACTGCTGAACATGTGGCAAATGTTCAATAAATGGAAGATGGTACGACTTATTGCTATAGATAGCAATGGTGTCCATCTGATAGAGCTGCCATGGGGATTAACAGAAGTATTATGGCTAGGGCTGTGATTGGTGAAGCCTTGGTTATGTGCCTGTACCCTAGCTGCAAGGGAGCCTGGAAAAGCTAGTTAGAGAAATGAAAGCGTATGAGGGCAGAGCGCTCATTAATGGATTAATGCCACTATAAAATGGGGTTGCAAGAGTGGGCTCTCTCTCTTCTGCCCTTCTGCAATGTGAAGACACACAGTTTATTCCCTTTCATTCTTCCACCTTCTGCCATGAGGGCATGGCAAGGAGGCCAATACCAGATGCTGGTGCCTTGATCATAGACTTGCCAGGCTCTGGAACTGTGAGATAATACATTCCTGTTTGTTTGTTTTTTTTTAAATAAATTACCCAGTCTGTGATCTTCTGTAATAGCAGCATAAAACAGACTAAGAGAATCACAAAACTTCAAATAATCCAAATGTGCATCAACGGGTGAGGGATAAACAAAGCTGTGGTATGTTGATACAATGGAATACTACTCAACTATAGAAAGGCACATGAAAAAACCTTGAAAACATGCTAAATGAAAAAAGTGGATACAAAAGATCACAAAGTGTGTGATCCCATCTATATAAAATAGCCAGGAAAAAAAGGGAAATCTATAGACAGAAAGCAGATTGGTGTTTGCCTGGCTGCGGTTGGAGCAAGAATGGGGCTGGATGACAAATGGGTATGCAGGATCTTTCTGGAGTGACGAAAATGTTTCCAAAACTGGATTGTGGTGGCCGGGCACAGTGGTTCACACCTGTAATCCCAGCACTTTGGGAGGCCAAGATGGGCGGATCACTGGAGGTCAGGAGTTCAAGACCAGCCTGGCCAACATAGTGAAACCTCGTCTCTACTAAAAATACAAAAATTAGCCAAGCATGGTAGCAGGCACCTGTAATCCCAGCTACTCAGGAGGCTGAGGCAGCAGAATTGTTTGAACCTGGGAGGTGGAGGTTGCAGTGAGCTGAGATCGCACCACTGCACTCCAGCCTGGGCAACAGAGCGAGATTCCATCTCAAAAACAAAAACAGAAACACTGGATTGTAGTGATGGCTGTTACACCTCTCTAAGTTTACTGAAGTCCGTTGAGTTGTAACTTAGAATGTGTGAATTTAAAAATGTGGTGTGTAAATTATATTTCAATAAAGCTGTTTAAAAGTAAAGTGAATTAGGGAGTCAAAATTCACATGGCAAGGAAGTTTTCTAACTTAAAAGGGCTTTTACAGGTGCTAGAAGGGCAACAAGAATGACAAATGCACACTATATACTTCACCTTTATGGCAACACTATGACATTGATCTCTTCATACCCTTTTGTCAAATAAGGAAACTGAGGCTCAGAGAAGTAGGCTTTAAAAATTAATTTTTTTTTTGAAAGGAACTGTCCAAGTAGCCCTGCTAAGCAGCTTATTACATTAACATTTCTTCTTAATGCTCCCCTTTCGTACCCCCAAGTCCTGTTACTTCCCCAAGTCTCAATTTCTTCATCGGTAAAATGCACATAATCATATGGGTTAAGAGAGATAAATAGATAAAGTAGAAGACTGGCAGAATGCAAGGCTTACAATATGCGGAATCTGAATGTGAACCCCCATGTTTAAAGGCCCTCTGCAAACACTTATTTTCAGAAGTTAACATTGGTTCTAAAATTCATTAAGTTTTTTTTAAAAAGCATGGCTGTTTATCTTTTTTTTTTTTTTTTTTTTTTTTCTTGAGAGGGAGTCTGGCTCTGTCACCCAGGCTGGAGTGCAGTGGTGTGATCTCAGCTCACTGCAACCATCCACCTCTGGGATTCAAGCAATTCTCCTGTGTCAGCCTCCCCAGTAATTTGGACTACAGGGGTGTACTACCATGCCCAGCTAATTTTTCTGTTTTTGGTAGAGACGGGGTTTCAGCATGTTGGCCAGGCTGTTAACCGAACTCTTGAACTCAAGTGATCTGCCTGCCTCAGCCTCCCAAAGTGCTGGGATTATAGGCGTGAGCCACCACACCTGGCCATGGCTGTTTATCTTTAAAATATATGTCATATATATTCTAGTACCACTTCTTTTTTTATTTTTATTTTTTCTGAGACAGAGTCTTACTCTGTTGCCCAGACTGGAGTGCAGTGGTGTGATCTCGGCTCACTGCAACCTCCCCCAGTTCAAGCGATTCTCCTGCCTCAGCCTCCCGAGTAGCTGGGATTACAGGCATGAACCGCCACACCTGGCTAATTTTTGTAATTTTAGCGGAGACTGGGTTTCACCATGTTGGCCAAGCTGATCGGGAAGTCCTGACCTCAGGTGATCCGCCTGCCTTGGTCTCCCAAAGTGCTGGGATTACAGGCATGAGCCACTGCACTCGGTCCCAGGATCACTTTTAATGTTACCTGTTCCAAAGTCAGTTGTGCTGCATACAAATGAACATAAATGAAGTAGCTGTGTTTCATGAGCACTTTGTCAGAAATTGGAGCTAGTATTTGATGCATGTATAAAATGCAACACTGAATTGTGTTTAGTCATTACAATCAAATGAATTCTAAGCAGAAAGGAGATAATGGATTAAAAAAAATCTATTGTTGCCAATTGTATAGGTTACTCAATAGACTTATTTTTGGCAGATATCATAAGAGATTAGCCTGGTCTTGTTAATTTGATGATTTTAACTGAATTGAGCAATTATGAAGCTGCAGCAGCTGGACAGAAAAACTGCATTCGTGTATGGGCTGTCATCATTGCATCTCTTATCATTTTTCTTCCTGGACCTTAGATCCCACCTTCTCCTTGGGTTTCCTGTTCACAGCCTTGTTCACGAAAGCACTAGACCTAGTGTGCTAACACATGTACCTAACTAGGTCATTCCTTTCAGTAGTTCCAACTATCCTCAGGGTGAAGTCTAAATTGGTAGCTGGCATTCAAAACCCTTTCTCCATGCTCTGTGTTGCTGTATTAGATCAGCCTCCAAAACCCTGATTTATAAGCTTATTAGTTATGTACATTAGTCAGTGTTTGTTGTGTAACAAACACCCCTTAAATCTCAGTGGCTTACAACAACAAATACGATCTTCTTGTCCTCAGATCTGTGCGTCAGCTGTGGTTCTGATGAGTTCCGCTGGACTTGGCTTCCCGCAGTAGGTTGAGTTCAAGCCTTTTCTGAATGCTTCTTTAATCTGGGAGTGAGTCTCAAGAACCCATTTCTAGTTGAGCATATTCTGGAGCCATTGCTTTCTGGGGCATGCTCTTCTGATGGCAGAGCATAGGAGCTCAATAGGCAAGTGAAACTTGTAAGCACATTTTAAGCTTCCCTTGAGATGTGGTGCACATCACATCCATTTTCACTCTGTTAGCCCAGAGTCAAAGGTGGGCATACCAAGAGACCTGCCAAATTACATGACAAAGGGCATGGATTTATAATCCTGTTACAGGGAAGAGTGGCAGATTTGAGATAAAGAATCCAATCTAGGCCAAGCATGGTGGCTCATGCCTCTAATCTCAATGTTTTGGGAGGCCAAGGTGGGAGGATTGCTTGAGCCTAGGATTTTATGACCAGGTTGGGCAGTGTAGTGAATTCCATCTTTACCAAAAAAACATTAGCCAGGCACAGTGGTGCATGCCTGTAGTCCCAGCTACTTGAGAGGCTGAGGCAAGAGGATTGCTTGAGTCCAGGAGGTCAGGGCAGCAGTGAGCTATGATTGCTCCACTCCACTCTAGCTTAGGTGACAGAGTGAGACCCTGTCTCTTAAAAAAAAAAACAAAAACAAAAAACACCCCATAAAACAAAAAAAGTAGAAGAATCCAGTCCATCACACCAAGGAAATTTAGACTAATGACTTTATCTCTCTGAACTTCAGTTTTCTCACTATAAAGTAGGGCTGTCGACATCATGCAGAGTTAAAATAGAGATTAAATGAGGTAATGAAGGTGACAGCACCTTTTAGGCTATAAAGAGCAATAGAAGAATTTGATCCTTTTTTTTTTTCTTTGTCAGAGTCTGGCTCTGTCACCCAGGCTGGAGTGCAGTAGTGCGATTTCAGCTCACTGCAACCTCCACCTCCCAGGCTCAAGCAATCCTCCCACCTCAGCCTCCCAAGTAGCTAGGATGACAGGCCTGTGCCACCATACCCAGCCAAGTTTTGTATTTGTTGCAGAGCTGGGGTTTCACCATGTCTTCCATGTTGGTCTTGAACTCCTGAAGTCAAGTGATCCTCTTGCCTTGGCATCCCAAAGTGCTGGGATTACAGACATGAGCCACCACACCCCTCCTGATGCTATTCTTTATTACAGACACCACGGTCTCATGTTTCTTCATTCCCAGCATAATCTCTTCTGTGCAGTACACGTGCTGTAAAGGAACGAGTGAATAAATATTTCTCCAGGTTACTCAGCCCTACTGTTTTGCCTTCCCATCATCTATTCCTCCTTCTCTTGAGAACAACACCTGGATACTCCTTTGAGGAACTAGAAAATATCTCTTTTTCACTATTACTTTGCATGGTCAGCCCAGGGTGTTTACCCGAACTATAGCTCCAAGAATGGGTTTACAGCCCAGGACTGGTCTATAGACACCCTAGATGCCTTAAGAAATTGAATCTGGAATGAGCACATATTACATGTCTGACCAATCAGAGCCAATTGCATCAATCCAGGAATGTTGCTAGAGCTATTTAGAAAGAGGTAGTTATTTTACATGGCATTTTCAAGCTGGTAGACAAACTTTGAAGGCATTAGGGGGTTTTGTAGCTACCGTATGAGGGTAAAGCCAACACAGAGGAAAGCCGATAAAGTGATGGGAAGAGCTAGATTTCTGAGGACACTGACTGAGAATCTGAAACCATCCATCCTCTGAAACATCCTTATCTCTGGCCTTTTACTTATAAGAGTCAATAAATTTCATTTTTGTTTTCTTTAAGCCACGTTGCATTTGACTTCTGCCAAAAGAAACCTGACTAATACAGAAATAGTTTAGCTCCAGAATAAATACAAGATACATTTGAAGGCATCCCAGTGGCCTCTTGGGTTGACCCAACCAGACTTGAGAGAACATGAGGCCACTTGCGCTTGGTACTGTCCTGAAATATTGACGCCTGGATCATTCGCTGGTACCTGGAAAGGAGCCCTTTCCTTCTATTTGTCATTTGGCATCATTTTTTACCATTAGAAAGGGAGATAAGAGCTGTAAGTAAGGAATGTTTGGGGCCTGTATCCAGGATTGTCCCCAGACAGCTGGTTCTCCAGTGGACAGCTCCAGGGACCCAGAGAAAACTCCCTTTCCCAATCTGCTGACACATCTCCTTTAGCAGATTTCTGCTGTCTTCTCCTCTCCAGCTTCTACCACTTGACCAAGAGAACCTTCTCCAGGCTGCAATAGCCTCTAATCCTTGACTAGCCTGGCCCCAGTGGGCCCTGGAAATGGACAAAGCTTGGACCAAATCTCAACCCCATCACTTATTACTTGTATGGCACTGAGCAAGTCACTTCAACTCTGAGGCTCAGGTTTCCTTTCTGTAAAGCAGGTATAATAACACCTTTCTCCAAGGTGGTGTGAGATTTTAATGAGATGATATGTAAAAGTGCTTTTGCACAGCATGCAGTAGGCATCCAATATCTGCTTTAGTCACCTAGACTCCAAGTACACAAGGACGGGCCCCTGCATGATGCATCCTTGTGCTCTTTATTGTTCTAGCAAGATCTTGGAAGAGAATAGTTGCTTAATAGCATGCTTTGAGAGAAAATATATAAAGAAAAGGATGTAGAAGCATGTAGATGTCTGGGAGGAAAGAAAGTGGAAAAATGAGGCTATCAGCCATTTATTCACTCATCCTGATTCAGTATTTTCTCTGAGCCGAGCATTTAGGACAAAGTTGTGTTCAGAGAGTTTGGTGAAGTGGGAAGGTAAGAAGAACAAGCAAGTAAATACAGCATTTTTGCTTTGGTTGCATATTACAGAAAGCTACTATAGCCGTCGTGAACAAAAGAAAAACCTATTGGATGTACGTTGAGTATGCCATGGAATGACAAGGCTTTGGGAGAGAAGAAATAACAGGGTACCCTGACCAAGGCCACTCATAATCATTCTGTCTAGAGTGCCCCCAGCCTCTCTCCCCACTTTCTAGAAAATATGTTCCTATTGCCAGAGAGACATTCTGATTGGCCCAGATTAGATCTTACATTTACTCTTAGACCAATCAGAGGTGGACCTTCGAGGCTCCCATGTCAGGGTTTGCAGGCTCTTTCTAAGACGGGTGCAGTCTCCAGAGAAGTGGTTTCTCTCACATCAAGTACTAAATAGGGAAGTGCTTTGACACACAGTACTTGATCAGGCTTGGGAGAAGTGAAGAAAAGCTTTCAAGAAGAGGTTGCAATTGAATGTGGCGGCCTTGAGGACAAGCAGGCAGGTCGTGAAAGAATCTGGATCAATAAATTTGACCTTGAAGAAAGAGGGGCTCAGTGGGGATCCAGGCCTGAAAATCACAGAAGAGCCTGTTCAGCTTGCCCAATGACCCTCAGGGGACTGGTATGACCACAAGTGGAAAACACCCTGTAAATGGTGGCTCTGGGGCATCTTGGGTGGCCAGCAAGACCAGGTGACAGTGTTGGGGGCCATTTCCACCTGAGTCGGAGCTTCTGCATAAAGTCAGGGACAGTGGGGATGGCAACGAGATAAGAGAAGAAATGAGGTTCTAGTCTGGCTCAGCCACTTATCAGCTGCATAATTATAAGAAATTCTCCCCAAGACTCAGTTATCTTAACTGGAAAGTGGAAAAAGTAATATTAGTTTTTCCGTCTGGATGTGAAGTTTAAGGGAGAAGATATATTTGAAGTCATCTGGCAAGGATCTGCCAGGACCAAATGACCCATGTCTGTGGGTTTCCTTTTTAGTTGTTCCTTTGGACACTGAGCTCTGCCTGGGCTTCAGCAATCATTTTCATGGATGAATTTTGGGAAAAGTCCATAAAAGCAACATTCAGATGCCAGGAACTCGGTGACCCTGCCTGTGTCAGTGAACTATCCGTAATCCTGGGAACTGACTGGGAGGGGTGCTTCCATATACGTGCCCAGGGAAAGTTTGTTCTATTTACGGTTCTCACTCTTCATGATTACATGGCTTTTTTTTTTTTTTTTTCCCCCATGACTGGGCGTATGAACCTCTTACTCCTGAGTTTGCCACTCCTTCTGATCATGTCTTTTTCAGAGGCTTAACCTCTGGAATTCCAGCAGAGAAAGCACTGCAAGGTATTATCCCAGTCTCAGGAGGAAGCCTCGAGTCTAATGCTATAATGTTCACATTTGTGCTCCACTCGTAGAACAGAATTTGCATTCCCCAAATGCCTCATTACATGGTGAAGTCCAGCACAAACTGACAGCCATTATTTGATTTGCCCCCTGGTTGCCTGGTGAGCCAGTTAGTGGGAGGGGAAGCAATTTCAAAGAGGCACCTGCAAAGTGGTAAGCACGCAGGCTTTGGAAGCACATACCAAGGTTTCGATCTTGTCTCTGCCACCGATAAACAGTGGGGCCTGGGACAAGTTCCTTAACTTTTCCTACTTTGTTTCATTATCTGTGAAATGGGGATGGTATCATTGGGTTGGGCTGCAGAGTGGTTAGGCTTAAGTGAGATACTTTATGTTAAGTGCTTTTATGAAACTATCTGGTTTATAGAAGGCACTCAATAAGTGTTAATTTTATTCGTTCACCTTCATTCAGGTTAAAATAACTTGCTTCTTGGGTCTCTCTTCCCTCCAATGGTTGGCTTCTCTGTAATAGTAAGTCTCTTTCTGTACTTTGCTAAGGGTATTTTGTTCCTTTTGATGGTAACAAATATGAAAGAAATGGATTGGAGACAGAGATGTGCATATCTCTAGCCTTGTCTTTTGCAAATGGAAACCTGAACACTGAGTTTGAGCCTCAATGGGGACCTTTAAGATCTCAGTCGGGCAGCACCTGAATGGGATCCACTTGAGCAATGATTGGGGGTGCAAATATTCAGGCAGGTCAAGAGCATAGGCAGAGGGAGGAGGCTGGGCCCTGGGCCTGTGTTCTTATTTCTCTCTCTGCATCTCAATTTCTTTATCTATCAGATGGAGTGAGATGGGGCTGGAACTCAACCTTTTGTTCATTTACTCAAATGGTGCTAAATAATCAGTACACTTCTTTAGGGTCTAGCAGCTCAAGTTCAGGTCCTCAAGTGACCTTGAGCCTTATTTTGCTTAGCTGTAAAATGGAAGTAGTAATCAAATCACCCTGTAGGCTTGTTGTGAGAATTAGAAATACCATTTTTAAAGCAATGAGCCCTATCCCTCATATATAGTATGTTCTCAATAAAGGGTAATTGATAAGGGGGAAATGATTCCATCATTTCTCCCAGGTGAAGTGACTTCGAGATCATTTCTTTGAGATTCTCTTAGCTCTTCAGTCTTCTGTGAGCCAGCTTTATCCCCAGGATGGTTTTCCTCATGGTTACAAGATGACTACTTACAAATTACACCCTTTTACAACCATTGCTGGGGCTAACTGCCTCCTTGGTCATACTCAAGGAGTGACAGAGGGATGTCTTTTCTCACAACTATCAAAGCAAAGTCATGAGCTTCACTCTGATTGGGTTGCCTTAGGCCACATGACCACCTCTAAACTAGTCACTGTGCGTGGCCAGGGTATGGTATATGCTGATTGGTTGAGAACTGGGATTCGTGCTAGAGTTTGAACTAATCATGTGACAAGGGGGAGGGAATTACCCTAACTGGCTTAGACATTCAAAGCCAATCCCTGGACTGGAGTAAGGTTAATCCCACTCAAAGTGCAGAAGGTAAGAATGGATGTTAGGGAAGCAAACACATATATCATGTTGTAGCAATGATAATCGTAACAATAATGGCAACAACATACCAGTAATTGCCATTTATTGAGCACTTCCTGTATGTGAATTATTATTTTATACTTTGCAAAATTTCCAATGAATGGGTGCTATCATTACTCCCAATTTATTGACAAGGAAACTGAGGCCCACAATAAACAGGTAACTCACCTGGGGTCACACTGCTTGTAGGTATTTGCAGAGCTAGGATTTTAATGCAGAATTACCAGATTCTGAAGCTCTGTATATCCCACTGCCTCTCCTTGGTTCACAGTACATACTTTTCTCACACTCCAGGTTGACTTCTTGTCCAGTGGTTTGTCTTCTCGCCTAGAATATAAGCTCCATATCTATGAGTAAAAGCTATGCCAGAGACGAGGAGCTTACCACCTCACAGGCAGCTCCTTTCCCTTAGATTGCCTCTAATTGTTATCTACAAAGACCTCACAGAGTAGCAGCTCTGAAATCTGGATGTGTTTGAGAAGAAGAACTACTTAGTTATAATCTTGGATGTGCCGTGTATCTGCTGTCCATCTACCTTCCTTGTCCAGTGCTGCCCTGTCCACTGTCTTACTAAGTGAATATGCAGTAAAGACCATGCAGGTTGTGGTGGCTTGTTTAGGGGCCACCAGTTCTGCCCATCCCAATATGCACATCCCTTTGCAATGTACCTTTTTTGCTCCTTTCATCCAGAGATGGAATTTACTTCCCATTCTCTTGAGTCTGGGCTGGCCTGTGGCTTGCTTTGACAAATTGAATGTTCTAGAAATGACACTGTGCCAAGTTCTAAAGCCTAAACCTCCTAAGGCTTGCAGCTTCCTCCTTCACTCTGTTGGGATGCCATTTGGAGACCACCATGTGGGCAAGCCCGCCTAGATACTGAAGGATAAGAGGTCGTGTCGAGGAGAACTGAGGTCCCCAGAAGTGGGGCACCAATGAGCAGGCACATGAGTGAGGCCATCTGACCATTCAGCTGAATGCAGCCCTATCAGTGATCACAGACTAGGCCAGCAGAGGAGTCACCCAGTCAACCTATAGAATTGTAGACAATAATAAACTATTGTAGATTTAAGACACAAGTTTTGAGGCAATGTGTTACAGAGCAATAGATAACTTATACACAAGTGCTAATTCCCTTTTCTTTTCCAAATTCTCTTAAACTCTTCATTGTATTCTGCAAATAAGTCTTCCCATGTCACCACGGTGGCACATATATTGCTAAGCTCTCTGTGCACCTCAGATTCTAGAGGAATGTCTAAATGGGGGCTGAGAAGTTTCCTGAGCATGAGTCAGCTAGGATGGGGGATGCAGATGGTTGAAAAAGGAGACTGAAGCATCAGGGGACCCTCAGAAGAGCAGAAGGGAAGGGCCCACTAGGCAGGAAGTCACTTGGTTGGGGTCATCCTCCAAAACATCACATTTCCGGGCCCCAAGCTGGTCCTGGGAAGGGTCTCTGAGATATGCAAATAGAAAGGGAAGTGGTTAATGAAGAGATGGGAGAGAAAGGAAAGGCTTGGGGGTGCTTGCTGCCCATGAAGCCTGCCAGATCCATCTGTCCACTCAAAGCATCATAAGTCTGCTCAGGCAAAGTAAGACCCACTCCCACTGGATCACTCATTAGAAACAAGATGCTGTTTCAGAAGAACAGATTGGGGGAGGAGGAGGAGAGGCATTTGAAAATGCAGCAAATTTGAATGACCCAGGTTCATTTCATTACTACAAAATGTGATTATTAAGAAAGCAAAATAGGCCGGGAGAGGTAATTCACGCCTGTAATCCCAGCACTTTAGGAGGCTGAAGTGAGCGGATCACTTGAGGTCAGGAGTTTGAGACCAGCCTGGCCAACATGGTAAAACTGTGTCTCTACTAAAATACAAAAATTAGCTGAGTATGGTGGCAGGTGCCTGTAATCCCACCTACTTGGGAGGCTGAGGCATGAGAATCACTTGAACCAGAAAGGCAGAGGTTGCAGTGAGCCGAGATTGCACCACTGCACTCCAGCCCTAGCCTGGGTGACAGAGCAAGACTCCATCTTAAAAAAAAAAAAAAAAAAAAAGCTAAATAAAAAGAATTTTAAAAGTCCTGTGAACAAGAAAAGAGTTCAGACAGGGAAACAAGGAGCTGATACTGAAGCAGTCCCAGCCCAGTGGTTAAGAGGTCAGACTTCAGAGTCAAATCACCCGAGGCTAAGCCTCAGCTCCTTCACTGACTTGCACGTGACCTTGAGTGAACCACTTTACTTCACTAGACTTCAGTGCAAAATGGGGAAAATAATTGTATATAATACATTGAAAATGTTTAGCATAGTGCCTATGTCTCCTGCTTAATCGACATCTATGCTGTTCTTGCTAAATGATGCCTTTGTGATTTGTCTGCACTAGTTCCTTTCATCTGGCAATAGCATCCCGGTTAATTTCCTTTGGAAAACTGCCTCTTTTCCAATGATAATTTCCTTGTGGTTTAGGTAGAACAAATCCATCTTTCTGTTCCAAGGATCTTTTGACCTAGTCCTGTTCCAATTAGGGGTTGAGTGACTGGTTTAGGGTTAGGTGAATGGCCCATGCTGGTCCAATGAGAGTCAACTGTAGTTGTGGGACTCTGGCTGGAGCCATCAGGTCAGAAAAGCACTCATTCCGCTAGATGTACTCACTTAGCAGAGTAAGTTGGGAATGGTCAGAGGTCATTCTACCTCCATGTATCTGGAGCACGTCTGATAATATGGCCCAACAGAGGAAAGTAGAATTGAGAGACATGGAGGAAGACTGCTTCCTGGTGAGTTTGAGCTCTGGATACAGCTGAGTCTGATGTCAGACCATAAGCCGGCATGAGCTGAGTTTCTGTTTCCGCAATCAAACAGGCTCTGCAAGCTATGACATTCAATCATGGCTATAAGTGCCCAGTCTACCAACTATTCCTGGTAGATCAAAAACTCTGTTTATATGGCCCTAGAACCGTCTTCACATCAAGAGTCCATGACCACAATTCCTGTTCCTTCTCTGCCAGTGACCTGTCCTGTGGCTTTGGGGATGGGGAGGTAAGACTAATCAGCTTCCTCTTTCTGTGACTCCAAAAGAATTCTGCAGAGCAATCATTTCTAAGGGAATAAGGTGTTACTTGGAGAAAAGGTTTAATAATCAAGTAGCTTTGTGAAACACTGGTCTGAAAAAAGAAAAACCTGATTTAGCACTCAAGGGCTTCTCAGATCCTTTAATGCACTAATGTTCCTATGTGCCTAAAAAGACAGCTTAATATACAGCACTTCCCAGGCATGCTTGACCATGAACTTTTTCCTCTGGAAAGACTCTCCTAGAGCTAGTGTTCTCTAGAATAAAGGAAAATACAACCAAAGGGGTGGCTGCACCATCTTAATGATGTCGGAGATTAAACACTAGTTAGGTTTAGGTTCTTAGATTAGACTTGCATATATTTATTCAAACATTTACAGGGCACCTCTCCTGTGCTTGGTACTGTGTTGGCCATGGGGTTATAGAAATTAATGCAAGCCTCTTAAATTAATGTGAGCCTCTTAAGAGCAAGGCATTGGCTGGAATAGGAGCCTGAAGCCACAGGAGACTCTTGGGAGAGCAGAAGGGAAGGGCCCACTAGGAAGGAAGTCACTTGGACTTCTGATGCCTTGTTCTGAAGAGGCTCACAGCATAGAGGAGAACATACCCACACCCACGCCCACACAAAGAAAATGGGGATGCATTTTGCTAAGGACTACAATGGGGAGAGCATGGAGCAAAAAGCTGCCCTACCAGACTGGGAGGCCAGGAATGGAGTCATTTAAATGAATTACGGAAAGATGCTCAGTAGTGTTTGAATACAGAGGAGGACACACAGGCAAGGGAACCACAGGAATGAAGGCCCAGACATCTGAAAGAACAGACGAGTAATTTTGTGAGACTGGGTTATGGGGATAAGTGGCTCATTGGTAAGCACAGCCCAGATCACAAGGCATTTGCTGAGAAGCTGAGACTCTATTTTATATGCAGTGGTGGAACCATCAAAAGCCACAGTCGTTGATCTGTCCAGATACAAGTGTGCATAAAGTTAAACTGGGGAAATAGGAATAATGGGTTACAGGGGTGATGCTGGGGTGAGAAACTCACATGAAATCTTTATGATGAGAAGCCACTGTTGAGCTTCTGATTTGTCAGGAAACAACTCCTTACATGTCCAGATCATTTGAATTAGTACGGTCTTTATGTAATGTTCATTTTAGGAATCAGACAAAACCACTAAGCAACTAATTGCTAAACTCTTGTGTTTACTAAGTATAACAAGTGAGGGCCTTAGCGTTTCTGAGACACTGGTTATTTCTCCAGTGCCTCACCTGGTATAGCATATTTTCTGATATGAACAGATTACTTTTAGGAATTCAGGTTGACTTAACAGAGCTCATAAAAAGCCCGTTGGAAAGACTGGCCTGGTACCTTGTCAACACAGTCCCTTGACCTGTGATAAGAAAGAATGGCACTTTTTTTTTTTTTTTTTTTTTTTGACAGAGTCTCGCTCTGTTGCCCAGGCTGGAGTGCAGTGGTGCTATCTCGGCTCACTACAATCTCCACCTCCTGGGTTCACGCCTTTCTCCTGCCTCAGCCTCCCGAGTAGCTGGGACTACAGGCACCTGTTACCATGCCTGGATAATTTTTTGTATTTTTAGTAGAGACGGGGTTTCGCTGTGTTAGCCAGGATGGTCTTGATCTCCTGACCTCGTGATCCACCCACATCGGCCTCCCAAAGTGCTGGGATTACAGGCGTGAGCCACTGCGCCCAGCCAAGAATGGCACTTTTTGACAGGCCCAGGAAGCTTAAGTTATTCTGGAACCTTGAGAAGAGGGGAATTCACCCAATTCATACAGGTATTACGGACAGTCTGATGACAAATCCTTGGCTTGGCTTTCTAGCCTTGAGGCTTTAAAAAATCTAATCTGAGATTCCTTATGAAAATTTCAACACAGTCAATTAAAAAGGAGCCTATGTAGCCGATTACTATTTTTCCTGCAAAGCTCTCCTTTGTGGAAGGGGGTGAGGGAGGAAATTTGCATCTGTAGAGAATCTGCATTGATGCAGTCTGGCCTTCCTTTGTCCAGTTCTAGGAAAGAAAAACTGTAAGTCTGACACCTTTAAAGGTCTGAAAGTAACATTTATCATTTCATTTCTCTGAGGGCTGCTACCTGTGAGGTTTCATCTGCCTAATAAAAAAGTCTTTGCTAGCCAAGTGTCCTTTTCTCCCCCTCCCATAACTTGTCTTACCCCAAGCCCTGATTTATCACCATAACGTTTTTGTTCGTGCTCTGAGCCCCCATTCTTTCTGTAAGATGGCATACAAGATTCTGCACTACATTGGAAGATTGGGTTTTCATTCTGGAGGCTACTGTGGCATGTAAAACTATGATCAAATAAATTTATATGTATTTTCTCCTGTTAATCTACCTCTTGTCAGTGATCCTTAGAGAATTTATACAAAGCAAGGATGCTTACTATTCCCACTAACCTTTGGCTTTTATTAAAGGTATTAGCCAACCATTTCAGGCAAGAGAAAACCACTGGAGGCATAAAAACTAGAAAGAAAAAGACCAAATTATTTCTATTTTCATTTGATATAAAAATTTACCTGAGTCCAGAAATTAACCCTTATGTTAAGGTCAATTAATTTTGGAAAAGGGTGCCAGGACAATTCAATACGGAAAGAATTATTTTTTCAACAATTGTGCTGGGACAGCTGGATATCCAAATGCAAAATAATTAAGTTGGACTGCCTCTCTCACATGTATGCAAAAAATTAACTTAAAATGGATCATAGACTTAGATTTAAGAGCAAAAACTATAAAGCTCTTGGAAGAAAACAGGAGTAAATGTTCACAACATTAGGTTAGGCAATGGTTTCTTAGATATGGCAGATTAAAGTACAAGCCACAAAAGAAAAATAGATAAATTGGATCACATTAAAGATTTTGTGTTGCAAATGATAACATTATTAAAATGAAAAGACAACACACAGAATGAGAGAGAATATTTGAAATAACATATCTGATAAGAGTCTAACATCCAGAATATACTTACGACTCAATAATAAAGACAAGCAAACAATATATTTTTTGTTCCTGAGACAGGGTCTCGTTCTGTCACCCAGGCTGGAGTGCAGTGGCACAGTCTCAGCTCACTGCAATCTCCACCTCTGAGGCTCAATTGATCTTCCCACCTCAGCCTCCTGAGTAGCTGGGACTACAGGCATGCCACCACACCTGGCTAATTAAAAAAAAAAAATTTAGTAGAAGGTCTTGCTATGTTTCCTGGGCTTTTCTCTAGCTCCAGCGCTCAAGTGATCTTCCTCCCTCAGCCTATCAAAGTGCTGGAATTATAGCCATAAGCCACCACATCTGGCCACAATTTTTTTTCAATGGCCAAATATCTGAGTAGGCATTTCTCCAAAATACACTAATGGCCATACGTACATGAAAAGATGCTCGGCATCATTAGTTATTAGGGAAATGCAAATCAAAGTCACAATGAGATACCGAGATACCACTTCATACACACTGTATTAACTATTATCATACAGATCATAACAGATGTTGGTGAAGATACGTAGAAATTGGAACTCTCATACATTGTTGATGGGAATGTAAAATGGTGTAGCCACAATGACAGTTTGGTAGCTCCTCAATATGTTAAATATGGAGTTACCTATAATGAAGTAATTCCACTCCCAGATATACACCCAAGATCAAATAAATATCCTCACAAAATTGGGTGCACAAATGTTCATAGTAACTTTATGGGTAATAACCAAAAAAATGAAACAACCCTAACATCTATTATCTGATGAATGGATAAGTAAAATGTGAAACATCTATACAGTGGGACATTATTCAGTGATAACAAGTAATGAATTACTGATCTATACTACAACATAGATGAGCCTTAAGAAGTATGCCAAGTGAAAGAAGCCAGTCACAGAAGAACACGTACGAAATGATTCCATTTCTATAGCAAGTGCCCAGAATAAAAAAAAAACTCTAGAAAAGGAGAGTAGATTATTGATTTCTTAGGACTGGGAGAGGAGGTGGGCTGAGGAGAAATGCAAAGGGTGTAAAGTTTGTTTTTACGAACTATGAAAATGTTCTAAAATGAGACTGTGGTAATGGGTGCAAATCCTATAAATATATTAAACAAATGACTTGTATACTTTAAATGAATAAATTGTATTATATGTCATGTGAATTGTATCTCAAGCTGTTAAAAATTCTACCTGATAAACCCAAAATAACAATGAAAAAAACCTATTAAAATGAAAAGATTACTTAGTAAGATGGAAGGTTATAAAATTAACATACAAAACAATAAATAGCTTTCACAATGGCCTTCCCATAACAATAACCAGTTAAAAGACACAGCGGAGGGCAAGTTCCCATGTATTGTATCAAAAATACTGAAAATTGCACTTAGCATGAAGTGTACATTCCTATATGAGGAAAAGTTCTAAATTTCTTCAATATCATAAAACTAGACTTGAAATGTCAAGACAATCCATGGTCTTGGAAAGAATAATTCAGTATCATGAAGATGTAAATTCTCCCTGAGGTAACAGATCATTGCATGCTATCTTAATGGTTATCAACAACATTATTTAATGGAATCTGTCTAGTTGATTTTAAAATTTATGTAAAGAAAAGGCAAGAATAGCAAGGAAAGCACTAAAAAGTAAAACAATGAGTATAAGTTTATTAGCTAGCTAGCTAAGTAGATAGATAGAGGTATGTTGGTAGGTAGATAGATAGATGGAGATAAGTAGATAAATAGGTAGGTAGATATGTATATTGATAGAAATAAGTACGTAGGTAGCTAGCTAGCTAGACATGAGAATTATAGCCTCTGTATTAATTTGGGGGGAGCAGGAAACAGATGACAATTGGAATAACTGGAAAATAATAATGGGACTATTTACAGGAGTGGGGACTGGTTGTGGAAATTCACAAGGGATGATTCAGTTTCCCCAGTAAGTGCTCTATTGTCGATCACCTAAGGGCACCCAAAGATGTGAGAGGAGGGAGTGGTTAGCAGAACCTAGAAGGGAGAGCTGCAGAGAGGGATGCCTTGGGAGGATTGGTGAACTTCTGTCAAGGGACACTGACAGATCAAGGAGACTCTGCAAGAAGGAGCAAGGAGAATGAATACCTTGACCTTACTCTCCCTTCTTCACATCTCCACCAGAGCTCCTCGATGGCCAAACTCAACCACGAAGCAAAGGCAAGGGGAGAGGTTTTGGTTCTTTTTGTCAACTTCCAGGGCTTAGGGCAGAGTGCAGGAACAGGGGACTGGGTCCACAGGGGCTAGTAGAAGACAAATGACACAAGCAATAATTAAAACAGTGTTGTTGATAAGTAGATAGAACCAACGTAAACAGAAAAGAAAGTCCAGAAATATAACCATGTACACGTGGAAATGTGGTAGAGGGAAGGGGCCATCACAAATTCCGGAGAAAATATGGCCTTGTAGTAAATGGTTTTGGAACAACTGGATACATATCTGAAAAATGATAAAATTGTGTCCACACCTCACCCCAGAATAACTCAAAATGCATTGGAAATTTAAACATGAAGAATTAAGCCATATAAAGATTTTTAAAATAGCGAAATTTATTTTAACCTGAGAGTGGCAAGAGGCTTTTTCCTATGACTTACAATCCAGAAGTATTAAAATAAATGATTGATAAATTCAACTTAAATTTTTAAAAGTTTTACACTACAAAGCTCCCCAAAAGTGGTCAAAACCAAGGGAAAAGCCAAGAGACAATATTTGCAACTTGTATCATAAAGGGCTAGCTTTGTTAATGCATGAAAAAGCTCTTCAAAATAAAATAGGCAAAAGGCATAAATAAACAGTCCATAGGAAAAGAAAGGCAAAGATTCTTAAACATACGAAAAGATGCTCAACTCACGTACAATAAAGGAAATGCAAACTTAAACTACATAGAAATGCTATTTCTTATCTGTCAGATTCACAGAAATTCAAGAGTTTGAAAACTCATTGTTTGCAGACGCTAATGCTCTTAGTCATTGCTGTTAGAGGTGCAAAATGTCCAACCCTTATAAAGAAGAATTTTTTTTCCTTTTTTGAGACAGAGTCTTGCCCTGTTGCCAGGCTGGAGTGCTGTGGCGTGATTTCGGCCCACTGCAGCCTCTGCCTCCCGGGTTCAAGTGACTCTCCTGCCTCAGCCTCCCCAGTAGCTGGGATTACAGGCACGTGGCACCAGGCCCAACTCATTTTTGTATTTTTAGTAGAGATGGGGTTTCACCATGTTGGCCAGGACGGCGATCTGACCTCGCGATCTGCCCACCTTGGCCTCCCAAAGTGCTGGGATTACAGGCATGAGCCACCACGCCCGGCCCTCCCTATAAAGAAACATTTTACAGCATTTAACATGTTACATATGCATTTACACTTTGACCCAGCAATCCTACTTCAAAGAGCCTACCCTGAAGATATATGAGAAAAACCTACGTGAGAATATGAGAAAAACATATTCACTGTGGCATTATTTCCAAGAGCAAGAAGACTGGAAACAATTCAAATGTGTGTCATTCAGAGAGTGGCTGGATAAACTAGGGCATGCTCACATAGTAGACCACTATGCAGCTTTAAAAAACAACAAATAAAGGTCTCCACGTACAGATTTGGAGTGATTTTCTGCATATTTTGTTAAGAAAAGCAAGATACTGAACACTGTTTAAGGTATACCACCATCATATTTAAAAGGGTGGAAATTTATACTATTTTTACAAAAAGAAACACTAGAAGAATCAATTGGAAACTCATAAAAGTGATATTTAGCTCTACAGTCTGCGGGACCAAGGTGGAGAAACGGACTTCTGTGAGTGAATCTTTTTATGCACTTTTTGACTTTTGAATTATGGAAATGTTTTACATATTCAAAAAATAAGTAAAAAAAAAAGTAACCTAAAATACAAAATAAACAGAAGCAAATAACCCTGATTACATAAAAAATCTGTAACATTACGATATAGAGAAAAGATTTCAAGTGACTTTTGAATATAATACTTAGACCATACATCTTTAAGGACAAAAAGAATTGCAAAAATTCTTAAATTTTATTCAGAAATTTTGTTGTTAATAGATATAATTGTAGCTTTGTAATTATTTAGTGTACATTATAAGATAAAGTAAATACATGTATATATTATCAGGAACTAAAATGTTTAGTTTGAGACAAAATGAAATAAAAATGTGAATTAAAGTATTAAGAATAAACACTAGTGTTAAATTTGAATTACAAATATCAATACGAACTCATAATTTTATTAAACAAATATATTTTCTGGTTCTGTCCATTGGATAGGTCTAGAAAAAATGCTACTCTAATGGCTATGAGCTCATCTAGCACCCAGGTCTTGATTTCTATGTACCATTCACCCCTAAAAGGAAACAGGATTGGAGAAATGGGTGATTCTAAGTCTGGGGCAGGAAAAGTGCAAAATGAACCGTATTATATGAGAAAACAAGAATGTGTACGGTATGCCAAAAAGACACAGAGCCAGCTTCTAGGAACTCCCATTGGACAAAGGGGACATTTTGAGCATCAAACAGAAAAATAACTGGTTGATTGCAAAATACAGGGTGAATAAAAATTTACCAGCCCATAGTGATTATTTAAAAAATGAAAGAGCAATATGGACAGATAGATAGAAAGAGACAAACAACTCCTTGCCCTGAAAATTGGTAACTAGAGGAAGTAATTATTTACTTTGCTTTTTTAGAATAAGCCATAGTTCACCTAGTTGATAAAGAAAAGCTTTCCTTTACCAAATGATGCCAGCTAATAATTGCAGGACCAATGATATAAAAATCCCACATGTACAGCTCCTAATGGGAAATTTTCTTGCATATGGCTAGAGAATTCTGGGGTGATGCACTAGAGAGTCAACAAAGGTAGCACTCTGGATAGTGGGTTTCAAGGATGTGGGCGAGTACTGCAGGAGTAAGAGGGTTTGCTTTAGACATTTTGTCCATCTGTCTTCTTAAAATGTTTGTTATAAGCACACAGTAATTTTACAATAAAAAATTTAGGTTAAAAACTCTCTGAAACTCATATTTTTCAAATTCTCACTTTTCCTTCTGAACTTCTGTAGGCAAATTTCCCATCCATCTTAAGCAAGGGAGTTGCTCCTTTGGTGATCTTTATTATTCCACTTAAACATTTACAAACTATGATTATTGTTTACATTTCTGAGTACTCACCCCCCATGAAACCATCAGAATTTGTTTTATACTTTGTAGCCTTGGTTCCTGTTACCTGTTTGGCCCATGATAGGGTTCAATAAACGCACAGTAGGGTATTCAATAAATGCTCGCTGAGCGCTTCAGAAATGAGCTTGGAGAAAGGCTTTGGAGTGCTAATCATCATAACCAGCTCACACCTGACACTCTTCCTCTTTTAATAAAAATCTTCCAAGGAAGTTTAATTTATATAACTCAACAAGTAGTTATTTAGTTATGTAATTTCTCTGAGCCTTCAGTTTTCTTGTCTAAAACAGTATGTGGAGTAAGGAAGAGAAATCTAAACTGTTGTTAGAAATTATAGAGAAAAAACTGTGCTTAACAACTACTTGTTGGATAAATAAGTGAATAAATTGTAGAATGAATGAATGAATAAATAAATGAAAAACACAGAGATGGAAAAGGAGAAAAAGACTGTAATGATGGATGGATGGATAGATGGATGGATGGACTGATGGATAATTAGATGGATGGATGGTTGGATAGATGATGGGTGGATGATGGATGAATAAATTGATAATGGACAGATGGGTGGATGGATAGATGGATGGATGGATGAATGGGTGGATGGATGGATGGATGGGCGAGTAGTCAGGTCAGGCCTAATTTATTATCAGATTTAGGGAAGCACAGAGAGGGCCAATGGCTAGATAGAGTCAGCTAATTTTCTGTTCTGAACTTGTCCCTTTTTTCTTCTGTTCTTGTCATTGAGAATAATTGGCTTTGATGGGATGACCAAGTTCCAGACCTCACTAAAGAGATTCATTTCTAAGTCTGGGCCTAAGTCCAGTTGCACAGAAATGGATTCATTTGATTCAGCCTGGGCTCACCCTAAGAAGATTAAGTCTTTGAGCCCCTTAAGCTGATAGGAACCTACCATTTTCCCAAGTTGAAAAAGATGTTGGAAATTTACTCCCATGTGATGTAGCTGAGAGGGAAGCCACACATTTTTAGAGCAGGCTTGAATGCTCATCAATAAGAACTACAGAAAAAATAATACAACCCAAAAAATAAAAAATTTCCATCCCCCATAAATAATGAGTTAGTTTTGGCTTATGGGGTGAGGAAAATAAGCAGATGAATCAAGTAACACCGCGGGTTGTGCTTGACAACTTAGTCCAAGGCAGGGGCTTGAATTCAAATCCTAACCCTGTAGCTAACTAGCTGGGTAACCTTAGGCTTGCCTCTGCCTCAGTTTCCACATTTGGAAAATAAGGGGTGATGGTTACCACATTTACTTCCAGCACTAACTCTCAGGACCAGAAGCCCAGAGACTCTTCTGTCCAAGGCTGACGTCATCTTGAGTCCCTCCTTTAGTCTGGGTTCCTCCATCCATCATGCTGATCATAATTATGCCCTTTCTGCCCATTTTGCATGGCTGCTATGATGGATCAAATGTGATAATGGATATGAAGGTGCTTTAAAATGGCATAGATATGCTGAAAATGTGAGTGTTGGATAAAAACCCCAAGGCAGCCCCTGTAGTTCTGAAGTGGAGAGATCAGAGAGGTGAGGATGTATCAGAGAGTGAAATATATCTTTGGAAAGTATTTTTTTCTGTCCCAAGCTCCACAGCAGCCTCTCTGCTGTGCTGCCTCCCTCTGAGGAGAGGGTGGTCTGGGGCAGTAGTTTCCCAGGTACAGAAGGCTCAGCAGGAGACAGGGTAGCCTCAGGTAAGCTTCCTATCTGTTCTGTGCCCCTGGTTCTGTGGGTGAGAGGGGAGAGGTGGACTGACTTGGCCTGGACAACCTGCCCTTTGACCTCAGGCAATTGACACCCCTTCTCTGAAGGCTCAGTTCCTCAGACGAAAAATGGGACAATATAATCCCCCCTGTTTGGGTTGCTGCAAGAATCAACTGGATGACATGGTAATTGGAAGTGTGCTGAAGATAGGAATTCCTTTCCCAAGCTGAAATTAAAGAGTTCTCTGGGAAATAGTTAAAGCCTTAGAAAAATTTAAGGTAGTGTTTCCTAGGCCCTCTCAGCTTCTGAGAATCTTGAGAGTTTCCCCACAGCATCCTGATACTCCAAAGTAAAGAGAAGCCTGTCTCAAAAATAACTACCGCTGTGGCTTGCAGGCATGGAGTCCAGCACCATCAGATTCATAAGAAACCCATGCAGAAATTTTAAATGACTTTTAGCAGCTTGGGACAGAGTAAGCTGAAAAATGAAAAGAAGATTCAGGGCTCCCAAATTTCTATGGATAGGAAGCAGGCCGAGAAAGCTACTCAGCTGCAAACATGGCCCAGTTCTTAACAAAAGGATAAAAAATTATCTCAGAGGGCAGAGCCCTAGGTCCTCACAGTAGAGACAAGAGCAGCTTAGAGTGTCACTCCAGTAAGCAGACCTGGATCTTAAATAAGAAACATTCCCTTCTTTGGCCGGGCGTGGTGGCTCACGCCTGTAATCCCAGCACTTTGGGAGGCCGAGGCGGGTGGATCATGAGGTCAGGAGATCGAGACCATCTTGGCTAACACAGTGAAATCCTGTCTCTACTAAAAATAAAAAAAAAATAAAAAATAAAAAATTAGCCGGGCGTGGTGGTGGGCGTCTGCAGTCCCAGCTACTCGGGAGGCTGAGGCGGGAGAATGGCGTGAACCTGGAAGGCAGAGCCACTGAGCCGAGATCGCGCCACTGCACTCCAGCCTGGGCCACAGAGCAAGACTCCATTTCCAAAAAAAAAAAAAAAAAAAGGAAAAGAAACATTTCCTTCTTCCAGAGTAGTGAAGCAAACAGCAAGTGCCCAGCTGAAGCAGCTGAAGTTCAGAATTTCTGTGGATCACCATCTTTTTCACAATTCTTTGAGAAAAAGAACTGCATTTGAGAAGCTGTATTCAAGCAGCCTTGTCTCCATCTGGACCTGATGCAAAGCCTGAATTCATGGACTTCAGCAGATGCCATAGTTGGATGAGGCCTTGCGTGTATTAGAGGTGGATGAGCGCACGTGGAAGTGACGTGGATTTTGGGGCCAGAGAATGGGCTGCGGTATATTGCTATGTTGCCGCTCCCTGTGAATGGTGTCTCCTTGTGCCTATGCCCTTTGCAGTTCTCCACACTGATTCTGGGCTTGGGCATGTGGCTTGCCTTAGCCAAAAGGAAGGGCGTCAGCAAACATTATGTAAGCAGAGGCTTGGTAATTGCTTGCATTTCTTCTCACCACCCAGGATTCATTACTTCCTGTTCACAGACTCATGTTTTCAAAGGTTGTCTCCTCCAAACAAACTGCAGTTTTTAAAAAGTTAAATTCATGCCCCCATTTAATGAGTTAACCACTGACAAATAACTGAGACCAAAGAAGATAATCACTGTGTTTGACTGAATTCCAGCCCAGGGCAGAGAAACCTAAGTATGTGTTATCCTGGATGGCCTGATTGCAGGGAAGTGGGCTGTTGGTTTGGGAGATTTGATAAATAGCTAGTCAAGGGGCAGCTAGCAGGAGAATGAAAAGTGCTGATCTCACTGGGAGCTCATGATGGTTCCACAGAGCTAGCCCTCCTTGCGGCAATGGGAATAGGGGGTCTTTTGTCAGTCAAGAACTGCAGGTCACCTCCAGGGCAGATGTAACCACCCAGTCATTTCCCAACAAGATGACACTTGATCTAAGGGCAATTCTCAGAAAAAGGGTGTATCAGTGAGCTGTTGGCTGCCTACATGTATAGCATCTGAGGGGATGACAGCTTCCCAGACATGGGGGACAGTGGAAAGCCCCAAATAAGTCTTTAGAGTAACCCCCATAAGTAGCAACTTTGCAATTCCCCTGGGTATGTTCTATGCTCTGACCCATTACTGGCTTTTAGTTGACTTTGCCTTTTGGAGCATTGAGGTATATCTCCCAGTGCAGGCCCCAAGTTCCACAAACAGGTGCTGGCACCATGCTTCTTGTATAGCCTGCGAACTGGAAGCCAAATAGACCTCTTTTATTTGAAAATTACCCAGCCTCAGGTATTTCTTTATAGCAACACAAACCAAGACAGTTCTTTATCTCTCTATTTCCAGGAACTAGCTTGTGGGTGGCTAAAATTCTGTAATCAGTACTGGGGTCATTCTAGTTTCCCACTTAAAATGCTGGAGTCTGGAGTCAGTGGTGCTTCTGGAACAAGCCACCTTCTTTCATTCTGCATTTTCTTATTGAAGAGTATGGGTTGTGGAGCCCAGCTGATTGGGTTCCACCTGGCTCCATCACTCAACAGCTTTGCAAACTTGGGCAAATCATGCAACCTCTGTGTGTGTCAGTTTGCTCATCTATAAAATGAATAAATTAATACTCCATATTTAAAGGTTTGTTGTTAAGAGTAAATTAATTAACACATGTCAGTTGCTTAGGATGGGGCCTGACAAATGGCACACACTCAGGAAACTGTATTTGTTATTATCAGGCTTCTATCATCAGTGATGTCTTGTGTTTCTCTTGTCTTAGAATGTCCCTATGGATATCCCAGAAGTCAGTGGAGGCCTCTAGAGTTATATAGCTCTGGATGAAACAACCAGAAACCCTTAAGTACCCCAGTGGACCCTCTCCAAGATTCTGGGAATTTGGGAGAGGGGTGGTTTTATTCTCTTGTTCACACCAATTTCCAGCTCCTGCTCTTGCTATGTTCAGTGTGGGGAGCATCTACCCACCCCTGCATCCTGCTCAGTCAACCCATTTTATAGCCTATCAACCCAAAAGGAAAATTCATACCTTTTTAATAATTGTCACCAAAGAAAGCTCACACACATGCATTGGCTTTCAGGGAAGGTTCAGAGCTATATACATGAGCATGCTGGAGTGTACTCACACAAGTTACAACTCTGCCTGTATCCCTGATCCTGACGGCTTTCACTAACTTCTACAAATGTGCTTCCAGCTTCTGGCAATGTTGATCCTCCTTCTTGCTCCTCTCACTCCTTCTTTCTCACATCCTGCTAGCCCCAGGTCTGTTCACTTCTGATACTCGATTCTCTAATCACCTCTTTGGTACCTTGGTACTGCTGACACCTGCCTTCCAGACCTCGTCTTCCCCACAAGGCATTTTCCTAATGACAGTTCCTTCCCTGGGAGAAACTCCTGATGCTAGATGTTAAGATAGCATCATTGTTATCCTCCCACATCAGACATGCGGGGTGTTTGTTGGATTGTTCCATGCAAGATATGAAAGGACAGATGTAAACTGCCAGCCTGTCGACCTGCCTGGCCTGGTCTACTGATGGGTTGGAAGGGGAGGATGTGATGAGGGCAGACATCGTGGAATTAAGGGTGAAGGTTGCAAAGAGTTGTACTCTTTGATAATATCCCCAGCTATTTTGAAAGTGGGAGGTGGCAGAAGTTGGGATGGAATGTATTCAGTTGCAATGGGAATAGGAGTTTTCTCTTTCTTACATAAACTTGCTCAGAATATCCATTTTGTAGCAAAAGCATGATAACTGTTGTTTGTCCTGGGCATCAAAAAGTCAATAAAATCTAATATTGTATTAGTCAGGCTATTGCTACCTTCATTTTGTTACCCTGTGATCTCCCAAGGGACACTGCAAAGGGGTCTGGAACTGGAATTACATCACATAGGGCTAGCACCCCTGAGGCTGGTGCACAAACCCATGAGCGGGCGCAACTCTCTCGTGGCTCTGATGACCTCAGCAGATTTATCTTCATAGCCAACGTTTTCATCTTTTCAAAACAATATTATCCTTGAGAAATGTTTATAAAATAATTAAAACTTCAGGATTTGGAGCAAATAGATATGATTTCAAATCCAGACTTTCTCACTCATTGACTATGGATTTGGGAAATGTGGTTGACCTCCCTGGCTCTCAATTTCCCTATCTGCAAAACTGGAATAAATAGACGTTAAGATGGTTATCACGGTTAAGCAAGATAAAGTGTGCCAAGTGTTTGGCATGATGCACGGCCCATGACAAGCATTCAATAAATGTCAGCCAGTATTATCATCACTAAGATGAGAAATTAGCGAGATACAGAGGAGCAAGTATTTTTTCCCCAGGATTCACCAACAACAAAACTCAGCCCTGTGGGAGAAAGATGTTCTACAAGAGCTTCAGAAATTCAGTGGCTTCCAGCTCAGTTTAAAATGGAGTAACCATCAAAATAGGTAAATAGACTTTTTTCTTTATTTTGAGTCTGTTAGTCTTCCAGCTGGGGGCACACCTGCCTGGTGCATCTGTGCATCACACATTCTCTCTCACAGAGCCCTGGAGGGTGTGGCTTTCCCACTCCCTCTGTGCCATGAACCAATTTTCCCACTGAAACCCTCGAAAGGCCTTTATTCACTTGGCCACCAACTCCTTTTGACCTTGGTAATCCACCAGGGGCGGGATTTTCTAATACTTAGTGGCTTAATGCATCTATTGTTCCAAATCTCTTTTAAAAAATTATCTTGATTGCTTGACTCCTCCATATTTTAATCTGTGTTCTTTCTTAACCTGTTCAAGTGTGACATACTCTTTCTGAATTTGTTCAAATTATACATTCAATTAGCAAAGCACCGTATTAAATTGATGACATCTCACTGAACACAGAGCATTCTTGGATTCTGTATCTTAGCAATTAATTGGTGTCTAACCCACTGATAGAGTTTTCTAAATGAATAAACTTTCATTTTTCCTGATCATTTGGATCCACTTAAAAAAAATCTTTTGTCTCCCTTGTTTTGTGCCAGTTTTGCAATTTTTACAGATAAGCTTTACAGAGCTTTGAAATGGAGATCAAAGAATCTGAAAATATTTGCTGGCATTTCTGTGCGAGTGAGGACATTTTATGTTTAAATTATAGGATCTGGTACATCTGCAGAGTTTCCAGTAGGGTTTCTTTGGAAGAAGTATTCAAGAGGCTTAACAGCATCTGCTGTCAGGTCAGACACCTTGTGTGTGGTCTTCAGGGGCTTTTGGAGTTTTATTATTTTCTGTGTGTGTTGAGGGGGTGGGGGACTATTTATCAAGTATGAATTGTGTGCAGTGCATGTCTCTTGCATAACCTTCTTTAAACCAAACCCCATGATAGCCGAGCTCTGATTCTCCCCATTTTGCACTAGTTCTGCCCACAGCAAACATGGGTGTCTCTTGCAAAGACACCCTAGGCTTCCATCTACTGCCCTTGCACCCACCCAATGGCATAGGAGGCAAGAGGGCAGTGCCGTGGACAGGGTGAGTGAGTGGCTGAGTTCATAATCCTGCTCTGACCCTCACTGGCTTTAAGATCTGAGGTGGTTACTTGGCCTTTCTATGCCTTGGCTTTTACATCTGTAAAATAGGGATATAATTGTGCTGTTGACCCTCCTTATATGTGAACCCTGTAGTTGCAAATTCACCTACTTGCTGCAATTTACTTGTAGCCCCTAAACCAATACTGGTGATTTCAAAGTCACTGATTCATGGACATGCACAGAACAGTGAAACGTTTGTTACTCAACCTACATGTTCCTAGCAGAGGTGGAATAAGGTGAAAATCTGCCTTCTTGTTTTCGTTCTCATACTCTGAATATGTGTCCTTTCTGCAGCATATTCAGTTCCACGTTTTTCTCACTGTTGTGCCTTTATTGGTGATTTTTCTGTTTCAAGTTCCCCGAGCCTGGTGCTGAAGCTCTGCCATGTGTTCCTAAGTGAAGCAAGGTTGTAATATGCCTTGTGGAGAAAATATGTGTTAGAGAAGCATCATTCAGGAATAAATTATGGTGCTGTAGGCTGTGAATTCAGTGTTAGTGAATCAGCAATATGTATCACATAGGCTGTGTTTGAATAAAAACATACATACAATAAGTTTACATACCCTGATTGACAAAAATGTGAGCAGAGAGTGTTTGAATAAAAACACACATACAATAAGTTTACATACCCTGATTGACAAAAATGTTGTGAGCAGAGACTCATAGGTACCTAACCCTTTACTTCTTCTAGGAGCAATGGTTCATTATTTGCTAAGTCAATGTTCATGGAGTCTTTATAGACCATAACTACCATAAATAATGAGAATCAACTGTATTAGCCTTGCAGAGTGGTGAGATTTAAATAAGTGAGTGCATATTAGATGCTTAGAACTTGGCACAAGACAAGCATCAATAAATAGCTTCTATTATTAGTTACCTGAAAAGCCCATCTTTATCTCCATTACCTTCCCTGTCTTTCTAGGTTTTGTCCACTCTCTATTACCTTGCTCGGTTTCTACAGCCCTGGGAAGAGTGTTCCATGCTCCTCTGTGCTCCCATCTATCATTTATACAAAAGTGAACTGTAGAAACTTCTACCTTGGGTGAGAGTCAGCTGAGTGTGTGTTGCTCTTGCTGACCCTGATTGGCTTGCTGGGGGCTGCACTGAATAATCCAGATGCCATTCCTGCTTTCTGTAATGCTCACAACACCACTTGGATGTGAAGCTGTCAGCTCCCTGGAAACAGCGCTTCCTCCAGGACGGCATAAACTGCATCCAGGTGGGGGTGGTAGTCAAGAGGGACTTTGGCTTTATTTGAATATTTTAATTTTCTTACAAGGAAAATGTCTCTGTGCAATTAGAAACTTTACATTATATAATGAGCAACCTGCTCCCACTCTTTCAGTCTGTTCTCTACAGAGAGTCCTGAGTGCTTTTTAAAAACCTTTAATAAGAACGTGTCACTTTCTGGCTCACGGCTTCCCGCGACACCTACAGTGAAGCCTAAACTCATCACCAGGGCCCTTACTTGAGTTAAATAGGACATCGCCTGGGTTGACATATTGAAAAGCTCACCTTTCTTGTTTATCTAACCTCCAGGGCTGTTTGAGGCTCAAGAGTAAATAGCATCGGCCCCCATGGCCTCTAAGAAGACCTTTCCGGTGCACTGAGAGAGGACAGTTTTTGCAGTCGGGCAAACCTAGGTTCAAGTCTCTGCTGACTTACCTCCTGCCTGCATATCCCAGGCGAGGTGCCTTACCATCTTGGTCTCATGGCCTTTGACCCTACTGTGCAGTGATGGAGAGTGCATATTTTGATCCTGGCTTTTCTGTTTAATAAATGCAGGTCTCCAAATGTGTAAAATGGGGATAGTGATGCACCTTAGCACTTGGGGTTATATGAGACTACCTCAGATAATGCATGTAAGGCTCTTAGCACTGTGCCTGGCATATGGCAAGGGTTTGATAAACATCAGCAACGACCACAATGACTTTATTACTTTGATTATTGTTGTTGTTGACTATAAAGTGAGCTCACTAATGCCATTTCAGGGGTCTCTGATAATTAAATAGGAACACCTGTAGACCTCCTAGCACATGCCAGGTCTTCTATTTTCTCTCCACCATTTCCTTTCTTCCTCTTCATTTAAATATCTGCACACACGTAGACTCATAAGTGCAGTTTAAAGGCACTGTATTTAGTCTACGGCTATACAACTACTGAACTTTTAAAACCCCCAAAGCAATTTTACCTGGTCACTGGTCAGGAGAAGACTTGTTATTATTTTAAATATATATCTGGCTGGGTGCAGTGGCTCACACCTGTAATCCCAGCACTTTGGGAGGCCTAGGCAGGCAAATCACCTGAGGTCAAGAGATCGAAACCATCCTGGTCAACATGGTGAAACCCTATCTCTACTAAAAATACATAAATTAGCTGGGTGTGATGGCGGGCGCCTGTAGTCCCAGCCACTTGGGAGGCTGAGGCAGGGGAATTGCTTGAACCTGGGAGGTGGAGGTTGCAGTGAGCCAAGATCGCACCTCTGCACTCCAGCCTGGTGACAGAGTGAGACTGTCTAAAAACAAAAAAAAAATATGAAAAAATACATCTAAGATGGGTTGTAGGCTCTGCAATTTTTAAGAATGGTAGAAAGATATGCTTACAGTTGGGAAAGGTGCATTATTACATGGTGGTGTCCACATGAACACCCTCATCTTCTAATAATCTAATATCTCACTGGACATCCCTTTTTGTATGCAGCAAAAAGGCATGAATAAGAAAGCAAGAATTTTCAAGATAGAGTCTTGAAAGTCTTATTAAACACTCATTTTAGGGGAGATGAAGATTACCCATCCCATTAAACAAACAGCTCATCTGCACAGGCCGCCTGTTGCAGGAGGGTCCCCCAGCCCGCCCCAGGCTTGTTTCTCTTCTAGTTGCACCTGCAAGGAGGGCTGAGGGCAGACTGAGGAGACAAGACTCTGCTTGAAAAGCCCCAGGGACATGAAGTGCAGCTTTCTGCAAGAGCCTTCATAAATGCACCTGGCGTGAGGACAGCTGAAGCGAAAGCACTGCTTTTACAGAGAAGACTGCCAAGGCTGCTCCTAGACCGCATGTTACATCTGTCTTCTCTGAAATGGACTGAAAACTCTAAACTAAACAGTCTGGAGCCTAGACACTGGGAAGCTTATTGTGATTAATGACGAGGGTGGTGGCTGCCACTTTTGAAGAGGCTGCTTTGAGTGTTTTCCCTGCTTTAATATAATCCTCCTGACACCTTTACATTTTCCAGAGGAGGAAATAGAAGCTTAGAGATGTTATTTGGATGGTAAAGTCCTGATGGCAAGACCATCATTTGGTGCTTTCTCTTATATTATTTTACATGATCCTCACAACAGCAAGTTAGGCTTTTAATTAATCCCCATTTAACAGATGTAGAAACTGAGACTGCAATTCCCTGACTTGAGATGTCTCCTAGCTAGTAGATGAAAGAATAAAAGCTTTGAACATAAGCTTTTGTACTTCAGATTCCGTGTTCTTACCACTACCTCTCAACTCCAGCACTTATGTGTCTTTAGATGATATTATTTAGGAGATGGATAATCCAGATTGATGCTTTTTATTGCTAAGGGCATGTGATTTCATTCTCTTCCACTGGGTGATGACCAGGTCAGAGTCATTATCATCTTCCCTGGAACCACATTCTTTGCCGAAGAGACTTTCCCACATGGTGCCTCTCAACGCCTCCCCCTTTCTTCTGAGCTAACCAAAATCCCAACAAAGACATGTGACCACCATGGCCAGCTGGCAGAAAGCTCTCTGGAATCCATCTTATGACTTCACTGGCCAGAGGGCTGGGTCTCTAAACTCACCTGATTTCTGTTCTGTGGTCTCCCCAGGTTGCAGGTGTGTCCCTCAGAACCTTGTTCTAATTTGGATGAGGGATGGATCCTGACCTCTCGAGCACTTTCCCCACGTTGTTCTCCCACGACACCCATGACGTGCTGCCGGTCTCCACCACTTTTACTGTGAACTTCTCATCTACCAAGAATTGTGTCTCCTCAGCAGCACCCTGCATGCCATGACACACCCTAGATGTTCAAGAAATGTTTACTGACCGAATCAATTCACTCACCTCTGTCTTGTCCTTCTCAAGAGCAGCTGACAGCTACTGGCATCTATGCAGTGGGCATTGCTTGGGTGCCTTTCCTGTGCCTATGGTAAGGCAGTGAGGATCCAGAAATAAAGTGGAGGTCATCTATGAGGAACCCACTCTGTGCCAGCCATCATGCTCAGCACTTTGCATCCGTGATCTCATTTAACTTTTTCTACAGCCTTGTGTTTGAGTCTATCTACAGATGAGAAATTTGAAGTGCAGAGGCTAAGTAGCTTGCCTTAGCTTAGACACTGGGCTTATAGCAGAGCTTAGGTTCAAACCCAGTCAGTTTGGTGAAGATGCACAGTGTCTGGCACATAGTAGGTGTTCAATGAATGTCAGCTGTCATTGAGTCATCACTATTATTAAAGGGAGTAGGTTTTAAAGTCAGGCAGATCTGTGTTAAATCCTGGTTCTGCTAACTAGTAACTGTGTGATGTTGAGAGAGTCATGTGACCTCTCTGAGCCTCTGTTTCTACATTGTATGTGTTAGAGTTGTGTTTGGCTATAAGTACAAGAAAAGCCAAAGTAACAGTGGCTTAAACAAGATAAAAGTGTATTTTTTTTCTTACATGAAAATCTATAAGTAAGCAGTCTAGGTCTGGTTGGATGGTTTCAAAATCTTTAGGGATCCTCCCAAAGGCCCCTTTTCTCACCTTCAGCAAGCAGCGTTCACCTCCTGGCTCAACACGGCTACTAGGCTCCAACCACCATGTCCTAGTTGGAGTTAGCAGGAAGGAGTAAAGAGTACAGTGGGGTTCTTTCCTTCTCTTTAAAGGACACTTTCTGGAAGTCACACAAACTTGTGGTTTAGAGACCTTTGGACAGACTCTATCAAATGGCCTCACACACAACAAGAGATTCTGAGGAATGCAGTCTTTATTCCAGCAGCCATGTGCCCACATAAAACTAGAGCCCCGTTGCTAAGGAAGAAAGAGGAGTATTGGGGAAAATAGGCCGGCTGTGCTCCACTGCACCATCTGACAAGTTCCATATGGATTACATGGAACACACAAAACCCTCCTAGCAGAGTCTACGTTCCATGACATAAGGGCTCAGCCAGGCACACTCCCATTTCTCCACTCTGAAAAACAGTTCTGTCTTCTGGAAGGGTCTTTTCCCCACAGGTGCTTCCAAATCCTGTGTCTGGTTTGCTTGGCTCAAGCTAGACCCTGAGATGAGCCAGCTCAGGGATGGGATGTAGAATGCAGGGGTAAAGCTTCAAGGAAGAAGCCCACAGGAACTACCCGGGGCAGGAGTGACCTGGGCAGGAAGTACCCTGTTCACCCTGCCCTGGCCTTCTTTCTGACGTCTCTTGGAGCCTTCTCAGAAGCATAGATTTCTGCAATTCCCCCAGAGCCTCCTAGTCCCAGACTGGTCCCCAGCCCACACCCTGTGCAATGGACCCCTTGCCTGCCACTCAGGATGCTGCTTGGCTGTCTGATAATCATCACCCTCCTCTGACTCTGACCACCACCCCTCCACTCCCCATCATGCATCTGGAGCAACTGGGTCCTATGTGTGCCACCCAACCCCCTGCCACCATCTGGTTTATTCAGCTGTTGCAAAAGCATCCTCCCCTCTCCACTTAATTTCAGTCCTTCTGATAGCAAGAGTCATTTATCTTTCTTTGAGAGGAATGAACAAGGCTGATGATTCTTAGGAAAAATTCAACTGAAGGGGAAAGCTGTCACTCATCTTTGATGAGTGTTTCAGCTCTCATACCCCATTTCTGCCACCTACTTTATGTGTGACCTGGTGTAAGTTACTAGTTGCCTATAAGCATCTGTTTCCCAACTGCAAATGCGATCAGTAAGTGCACTTTGGTCCATGGGGTAACCCAGGTAAAACTCAAAAGAGCAACTAGCACAGGAATCAACAAGCTTTCTCTGTAAAGGGTCGGCTAGAAAATAATTTAAGTGTGTGGCCACTAAAGCAGCCACAGACAATACACAGATGAAGGGGTGTGGCTGTGTTCCAATAAAACCTTATTTACAGAAGTTTGCATTCTTATAATTTTTGTATGTCATAAAATATTACGCTTCTCTTGATTTTTTAAGTATTTAAAAATTTAGAAACTATTTTTAGTTCACAAACCCGACAAAAACAGGCAATAAGCTAGATTTGCCTGTTGATTGCAGTTTGCCCGCTTCTGACCTAGCACATAGTAATTGCTCAACAAATGCTAGCCATTGATGAGCAAGAGTTTCTTTCCTAAGTGCCTGGCTCCTCATTAGAACCAATTTCATGGCAGCTTCCTCCGAAGACCTGCAACCCTTTTAGTATTCCCTATGAACAGCCTGGAAAGCAAACTTTTTAAAGTCCTTAGTAGTGGGTGAAGACATTTTATCTGCAGTGAACTAGTTCAAGAGTGCATCAAGAGAAGGCGGACTGGTGATTAGGGCACAGGGCTTGGAGCCCAGGGAACTAGTGAGGTCTCAGCTCTGAGGGTTTAATGTGGTTATTAACTTTCATACCTGTTTTATTCAGAATGATACTGGAGATAACAGCAACAACATTAAAAGTAGCTAAAAATTATTGAGCCAGGTGCCATGGTTTACTTTTACGCATTCACTTAATTATTATAATAAACTCATGGATGCCATTATAATTCTGTTTTTACACACAAGGAAACGGAGGCACAGGCGTGTTCAGTAATTTGCCCAAGTTCACATAGCGAGGCAGAAACAGAGCCAGAATTCAAACGTGGGCATTTTGAAACCCTTCATGATGCCTAGTTCATTCTTTTAAATACTAAGCTATACTTTAGAGGTTGCATTATCCATCCTTCTAATGTGCTCATGTTTTCATATATTGATGAACCCATTCATCCATCAATCAGTTATTCCCACCTACTGTGCTGCTGGGTTAGATGGTAGGGATGCGGAAATAGACACGTGATTCTGCGTCTCCAGAATTCCCAAGGGTAAACGGCAGATGAATCCACACATCATGTAGTACCACTCAGTTGAAGTCTGAGAAAGGCAGGAGAGGGAGTTGTTGGACCTAGAGGCTGGCAAGGGGTGGTGGTGAGGAGTTGGGGGTAAGGATCAGAAAAAGCTTCACAGAAAATATCACCTTTGAGCTGAGCCTGTGAATCTCTTGGTTTGGCATTAAAGGCACTTTAGGGTCTCGATCTAGTTTACCTTCCCGGCATCCAGCCCTGCTTCTTTATTCACTGAAAGCATCACTCCCACAATACCAAAATGCTCATTCTTCCCAGCAGCTAATCCCTGGACAAGGGCAGTGAGTGGTAAAGCTTTCACCATCATTTGGCAAAAGAAAAACAACATCTATGAGTGACTCTTCCACAAACCTAAATGTGTTCAGTGGAAAAATATGCCTTTCGTTTTTACTGTGTTCTACCTAATTTGTTTTTTAACACTGGGGTGGGGCATCCCTCTATGTTGCTTGGGCTGGTCTTAAACTCCTGGGCTGCAGTGATCCTCCTGCCTCAGCCTCCCTAGTAGCTGGGATTATAGGTGTGAGCCACTGAACCTGGCTCTACCTAATGTGTTAATGTAGAAAATATCCTTTCTTCCTAGCAAAGATGTATAGATAGATTTTTTTCGTTCTGTTAATACTTTCACTTGGTATCCCCCACCCCCATAGTACCTGTCTTAGTCTTTTTGGCCTACTATAACAAAATAGTATAGACTGGGTGGCTCATGAAAAACGTAAGTTTATTTCTCACAGTTTTGGAGTCTGGGAAGTCCAAGATCAAGACACCAGCAAATTTGGTGTCTGGCGAGAGCCTGCTCTGTGGCTCATAAAGAGCAGCTTCTCGTTGGGTCTCCACTTAGTGGAAGGGCCAAGGAGTCCCTCTCAGGCCTCTTTTATGAGAGCACCAGTCCCATTGATGAGGGCTCCACCCTCACAGTCCAATCATCTCCCAAAGGCCCCATCTCCTAATAGCATCACTTTGGGGGTTAGGGTTTCAACATATGCATTTGAGGGAGATACCAACGTTCAGACCACAGTAGTTGCCAGCCCTTACCATTTTTTTTTAAAGCATTGGTCCATGAAATTGCAATGCCTATGACCACTGTTTTTTCTGCTCTACCACACACAACTATTAGCTCAGTTTTTCTCTCTGGGCTCCATTGGTTGTGATGACCTCTTACACTCATACCACTGGGGACCTGCTCCTCAGGAATCTCAGCCCTTCACCAGCCCACCCTCTTCCCTTGTGTGGCATACGCTTTTGGTTCTCTACCAGAAATGTCTTGCTTTCCCTTTCTACCTTCTTACAAAGCCTGTGCTGACCCCATGGTCCAGCTGTAAGATATTTGATTTCCCAGCCTCCTTGGAAGGAAAGGTGATCATGGGATCCAGTTCCAGCCAATGGTAGCTCTGCTAGAGGATTCTGGGAAAGACTTTGCTGCCCAATAAAAAGACAGTGTTCATTCTTTTCCTGGCACACTCTCCTCAGGGGTGATTGGGGCCATTGTTGTATGAGGATGTGGCTGTGGTACTGGGAGCAGCCATGGCCACAGCTGATACCAAGAGAATCACCAAGAAGCCAGCCCCAGGTTCTCACATCCCTGAGTTGCTGAAACAACATCAGAGTCCAGACTTCATATTGAGCTTGATCAATAGGCAATTCTTAGCCTAATTCACATGCATTGCTTAACCTCTGACCCTCAGCAGGAAAAAGAGGCCAATCACCTCTTTTTAAAAATTACTTTTAGTAAAGTTTTTCTAACATGAAGAGTACAGAGACTAATATTTGTGTACTCACCACTCAGCTTTGTCAAATCTCAATATCACCTCATTCCTTTCAGATCTTGTCAAAATATTTCTCAAATAAAACATCCACAGATAGAGTTGAAGTCCCTTAGTGCCCCATTCATTTGCTTTCTACCCTTCCTCCAAGAGAATATGTTGAAACAGAAGTGAGCATATATGCTTCCCATGTGTGTTTTTGTACTTTTGCTCCTTTAGTAGGAACCCACAACTAACATATATTATTAAGAAAATAGTACCAAAGTCTAGGAATCATTTTGAAATTTACTGTAATTCAACATTATGTTTTTGAAATGTATCCATGCACCTGTGCACCCTCGATTTTAATATGCATTATATATTCTTTTTTCCAGTTGATGGACATTTAGGTTGTTTTTAATTAGGGGATACTGCAACCAGGCATGGGTTGAACCCTTGCATATATCTTGTGCAAAGTGGGCTCCCTCTTAATAATTTCTCTCGTGTGTCTGACAATACCTGAGTAGAAAGAAACTGCAGGGCAATGAGGAAGCAGTAAGGGCCAGTATCCCTGCAAAGAAGCAAGGCTGGATCTTGACTGTGGAGGAAATTGTATCTCCCACCGGGAGAGCACAGAGATAACCTCTTCTTCAGAAATCAGATTCCAGTTAATTTCCTTTAGCTGCCTCGCCCAAAGGCCTACCCACCTGGGCCAAATTCCAGCCCCGTAGCTCTGGGGCTGGAAGGCCTGCATGATCTGCCCAGGCTGTTACCGCCTGCAGAGATTTGCAAAGACTCTTTCCTATGGCTGTTAAGTCATTTGCACAAAGTCCTCTGTGAGTTTCATAAGTCAGTCTAGAAGCCAAATAATTGAGGCAGTTTAATTTTAGCTCCTCATGTCTCCTTATAAAAGTTAGCTGTTTATGAGAAATCTAAAAATTTCCTTTTCCCCAGAAGAATTCTCTTTCAGGCCTGAAATAGTCTCATGTGGTGGCATACTCGTGGAGTATGACACGTGAGGTCGATCAAAGGACTTGTCCCAAGTTTGATGTCCCTAAAATTAGGCCTGAAACTCCAGTGTGAGCATTAGGCTGGCTCCTCTTAGGAGTTCTCTGCATTTACTTCAGAAACCGAAGGATTCGGTC